>NC_000007.14:100082536-100385566 GCF_000001405.40 Homo sapiens | reverse complement strand
TAAAAATAGCAATTTCTAGAGCAGCATAGTATGTGGTTTAATTCCATTTGTGTTGTATGTCTGTATCTGTGAGAGAACACTTCCACACAAAGTGGTAGGGACTGGGGAGATTAGGTGAATGTTACATTTTATTTGACTTCCTTCTGTATTTTTTTAAATTATGTGTAAGTATTACCAGTACTTTTATTAGTTTTTAAATTTAACACTTTTTCCAAGTACAATCAAGTACAAGTACAAGATACAATCGCATCAAGTACAAGATACAATCGGCACATAATTCAGACCCAACAAATTTCACACAACTTAGAAAAAAACAGCAGCCTCCTGCACCTGCCTCCTCACTCCCTTCCAACTCCCCAGAGGCAACTATTTTCAGCAACTTTAGCTATTTATTTTTGTGTTAACCTTCTATTTCTAAACAGCATGCGAATATTGCTGTTGCTTGATTTGCTTGTTTTAGATGGTATCTACTCACTTCCTACTATTGACATGGAGAATTTAGATCTTAAACCCCCATTTTCTTTATCTGACTCAGCTTTTCAGCATTTGATACTCCTCACTCTCCCTTTTGTGAAGTGAGTTATTCACTTGGCTTCTGGGACACCATCTCCCTTGGTTCTCCTGCCTCACTCTTACTTAGCTCCTTCTGAGACGTCTCTGTTGATTTCTCTTCATCTGCCCAAACCTAATGTCAGGGCCCAGTCCTAAAACTTCCTCTCTAGCCACACTCACTTCCCAGATGATCTCATTCACTGTGTGACATTAAATATCAGTGGTATCCTGATTGGTCTTCCTCTGTCGCCCAAGCTGGAACGCAATAGTGCAACCGTGGCTCACTGCAGCCTCCAACTCCTGGGCTCAAGCGATCTTCCCACCTCACCCTCCTGAGTAGCTGAGACTACAGGTGCACACCACCATGCCCAGATAATTTTTAAAAAAAAATTTTTTTGTGGATAGCCTGAGCAATATGGTGAAACCCCATCTCTACTAAAAATGAAAAAAAATTAGCCAGGTGTGGTAGTGCTCCCCTGCAGTCCTAGCTACTCAGGAGGCCGGGGTTGCAGTGAGCCAAGATCATGCCACTGCACTCCAGCCTGGGTGACAGAGTGAGACTCCGTCTCAAAAAAAAAAAAAAAATTTTTTTTTTTTTTTTTGGTAGAGACGGGGTTCCATTATGTTGCCCAGGCTGGGTTCCAAGTTGATATATCCAGCCAATTTTCCCCCTGCACTCTAGACTCAGAGATCTACCTGTTCACACCTCCATTTGTATGTCTAGTAACGACTCAAACGTAAGATGTCCAAAACAGAGTTCTTGATTTCCCCCTAAACCCGTTCTTCCGTTTCCCCCACTCAGTAAATGGCAATTCTGTCCTTCAAGATGCTCAGGCCAAGGACCTTAGAGTCATCCTTCCTTTCCTCCCTCTCATACCCCACATCCAATCCATCTGCAAATCCTGTCTGCCCTGTCTTCAAAATATAACCAGTATCAGCCAACTCTCACCTCGTGCACTGCCATCTCGCTAAGCCAAGCTGCGTCCTCTCTCCCCAGTCTCCCTGCTTCTGACTTCGCTCACCTATAATTTTTTCCTCCATACCATAGCGAGAGGGATGCTTTTAAGCTGTGAGTTGGGGCCGGGCATGGAGGCTTACGCCTGTAATCCCAGCACTTTGGGAGGCCGAGGCAGGCGGATCACCTGAAGTCAACAGTTCGAGACCAGCCTGGCCAACATGGTGAAACCCTGTCTCTACTAAAAACATAAAAATTAGCCGGGTGTGGTGGCAGGTACCTGTAATCCCAGCTACTCAGGAGGCTGATGCAGGAGAATCCCTTGAACCCAGGAGGCAAGAGGTTCAGTGACCGAAGACCATGCTACTGCACTCCAGCCTGGGCGACAGAGCGAGACTCCATCACAAAAAAATTAAAAAAAAAAAAAAAGTGTGAGTCAGATCTCAGCACTCCTGCAGGAAACGCTCCTTCGCTCCCATGGCACTCAGAGCAAAAGTGAGTTGTTTCCTTGGCTTTCAAAGCCACACAGGATCTTCCCCGCCTCCTTCCACCCTCTGCCTCTTCCCTGTCTTCAGCCACACTTGTCCCATGTGACTGGAACATTCTTCTCCCAACCTCCCCATTACGTTCTACCAATCAGTGTCTAGCTTGGATCTTCCTGGGGCTTCTCCAGGTCTGCTCCCAGTTCTTCTATCCCTGCGTTGTGCCTTTGGAGCTGGCCTTGGAGGACCCCATCTGTGGGCTCGGGTGCCCTGTAACAACTTCTGACTCCAGAGGCCACAGTTCCTCTCTACACATTTCTGTCTTCTCTGGGCTCCCGTCTCTTGCTTTTCAGAGGCCTGCTGCTGGTCCCAGGGTACCTCCCCGTCCCTGACTGGTTTCCCCAAGTGTGCCTCACTCTAAGGTCTCCCCAGTTACCCTACACCAGGCTCTGCTTCATCTCACAGCAGCCTTCCCTGTTCAATGTGAATACAGGGCCACCCTTAGCAATCTCTGTCCCACTCACTCCAGTTCTACTCTTTTCTCTTTTCACCATCACCTGACACAAACAGAATTGATCCATTTGTGTCCAGAATTGGTGAGTGCTCAGTCTCACTGACTTCAAGAATGAAGCCACGGACGCTTGCAGTTTGAGTGTTAACAATTCTTAAAGGCGGCGTGTCCGGAGTTTGTTCCTTCTGATGTTTGGATGTGTTCAGAGTTTCTTCCTTTTTATGGGTTCGTGGTCTCGCTGGCTTCCAGAGTGAAGCTACAAACCTTCACGGTGAGTGTTACAGCTCATAAAGGTCAGTGTGGACCCAAAGAGCAAGCAGCAGCAAGACTTAGTGCAAAAAGCAAAAGCAAAAAAAAGAAACTTTCCACACCGTAGAAGAGAACCAGAGCCAGTTGATACTGCTCAGGGGGGCAGCCTGCTTTTATTCCCTTACCTGGCACCACCCACATCCTGCTGATTGGTCTATTTTACAGAGAGCCGATTGGTCTGTTTTACAGAGAGCTGATTGGTCCGTTTTGACAGGGTGCTGATTGTTGCATTTACAATCCCTGAGCTAGACACAAAAGTTCTCCAAGTCCCCACTAAATTAGCTAGACACAGAGCGCTGATTGGTGCATTCACAAACCTTGAGCTAGATACAGAGTGGTGATTGGTGTACTTACAATCCCTTAGCTAGACATAAAGGTCCTCCAAGTCCTCACTAGATTAGCTAGATACAGAGTGCCAATTGGTGCATATGCAAACCCTGAGCTAGACACAGGGTACTGATTGGTGCATTCACAAACCTTGACGTAGATACAGAGTGCTGATTGGTGTATTTACAATCTCTTAGCTAGACATAAAGGTTTCTCCAAGTCCCCACTAGACTCAGGAGCCCAGCTGGCTTCACCCATTGGATCCCCAACCAGGCAGCAGGTAGAGCTGCCTGCCAGTTCTGCGCCTTGCTCCCGCACTCCTCGGCCCTTGGGCGGTCGATGGGACCGGGCGCCGTGGAGCAGGGGGCGGCGCTCCTCGTGGAGGCTTGGGCCGCGCTGGAGCCTACGGGGGTGGGGTGGGGGTGGGGGTGGGGACTGAGGCATGGCGGGCTGCAGGTCCCGAGCCCTGCCCTGCCGGGAGGCAGCTAAGGCCTGGCGAGAAATCGAGCACAGCGCCGGTGGGCTGGCACTGCTGGGGCACCAGGCGCACCCTCCGCAGCTGCTGGCCCAGGTGCTAAGTCCCTCACTGCCCGGGGCCGGCCGGCCACTCCGAGTGCGGGGCCCGCCAAGCCCACGCCCACCCAGAACTCTAGCTGGCCCGCAAGCGCCGCGCGCAGCCCCGGTTCCCGCCCGCGCCTCTCCCTCCACACCTGCCTGCAAGCTGAGGGAGCCGGCTCTGGCCTCGGCCATCCCAGGAAGGGGCTCCCACTGTGCAGCGGCGGGATGAAGGGCTCTTCAAGTGCGGCCAGAGTGGGCACAGAGGCCGAGGAGGCGCCTAGAGCGAGCGAGGGCTGACAGCACGCTGTCACCTCTCACATTTACATATTTATTCCCACACTCAAAAGTAAATTTCATCCTTGGGTGCATTTTTGGTTGTTTTGGTGGTGGTGGTGGGTTTTTTTAATTTTTTTTTTTTTTTTTTTTTTGAGTCAGGATCTCACTCTGTCACCCAGGCTGGAGTGCAGTGGTGGGACCACAGCTACTGCAGCCTTGACCTCCCAGCCCCAAGTGATCCTCCTGCCTCATCCTCCTGAGTAGCTGGAACTACAGGCATGTGCCACTATACCCAGCTAGTTGTTTTTTGTTTGTTTGTTTGTTTTTTGTGAGACGGTAGTCTCGCTCTGTCGCCCAGGCTGGAGTGCAGTGGCGCGATCTCGGCTCACTGCAAGCTCTGCCTCCCGGGTTCGCGCCATTCTCCTGCCTCAGCCTCCCGAGTAGCTGGGACTACAGGTGCCCGCCACCACACCCGGCTAATTTTTTGTATTTTTAGTAGGGATGGGGCTTCACCCTGTTAGCCAGGATGGTCTCAATCTCCTGACCTCGTGATCCACCCGCCTCAGCCTCCCAAAGTGCTGGGATTACAGGCGTGAGCCACCGTGTTTTTGTTTTTGTTTTTTTTGGAGATGGAGTCTCACTCTGTCACTCAGGCTGGAGTGCAGTGGTGTGATCTCAGCTCACTGCCACCTCCTCCTCCCGGGTTCAAGTGATTCTTATGCCTCAGCCTCCCAAGTAGCTGGGATTACAGGTACACACCAGCACACCTGGCTAATTTTTTTGTATTTTTAGTAGAGACAGGGAGGGTTTCGCTGTGTTGGCCAGGCTGGTCTCGACTTCTGACTTCAAGTGATCCGCCCGCCTCGGCCTACCAAACTGCTGGGATTACAGACGTGAACTATCACGACAGGCCACACCCAGCCAATTTTTAAATTGTATTTTTTTATAGAGACAGAGTCTTGCTATGTTGCCAGATTCTTGCTATGTTGCCCAGGCTGGTCTTGAACTCCTGGCCTCAAATAATCCTCCTGTCTTGGACTCCCTAAGTGCAGGAATTACAGGCATGAGCCACCACGCCCAGCCCTTTAATGGAATTTTTTATTTTTGCTATTGTATCTTAAATTTCCCAGAGCTTTCTTTGTGGTTGGCAAGTTCCTTTGTAAAGCACCCTCTCATCACATGCACGAGGTCTCTTAGCTTTCTGAGTAGAAGGAAATGCTGAGTATTTTAAAGTTTTATTCTCCCTGAACTGTTTTGGTTTCTTCCAGGTTCCTCTTTCTGTTTTTCCTGTTTGTTTTGTTCTTTGCGTTTCATGGGAGAAGTTTGTTTCATTTAATCATATAGGGACTCTAGCCTTAGGCTTCCCAAACACAGATGAGGCCAAGATATAGTCCCCGGTGCTGGGGGATTCGGTATGAGGACCAGACCCCAGTCGCCTTGCCAGTTATCCCTGGGGTGCTCCCCCAGAGGCCCTCTGGTTCATCTATTCTGGAAAGCAAACCTCTCGTCTTTGGGCTAGGGTAGGGGAATGGGGAATGGAGGTTTCCCTGCTTCTGACGTAGATTTTCAATGTCCTCTAGTTTTCAGACCCATCTTCACTCCTACTTTCAGGGGTACTCGGGGCCAGCATTACTGAAACTTTACAGAGTTTTGTGGTATAAATTGCCATTCATCTGGGTTTCCCAACACTGGCTTAGGGTTTAGCTCATCTGGGCTCCTAAACCAATTCCATTAGTCTGTTTCCAGCTTGTCAAATTTTGCTTTTGTACATCCAGTTCATATATTTCTTGTTCTTGAGGATTTCTTTCTTAAAAAATTCCCTTTGCTATCATTTTAGTAGACTCTGGGAGAGGGTGGTGGTAAACATGCATATAACCCACCATCTTGGCCAGATTTATGCATTAATTTTTTTTTTTTTTTTTTTTTTTGGAGACAGAGTCTCCGTCTGTTGCTCAGGCTGGAGTGCAGTGGTGCAATCTCGGTTCACTGCAACTTCCGTCTCCCAGGTTCAAGCGATTCTTCTGCCTCAGCCTCCTGAGTAGCTGGGACTACAGGCGCGTGCTACCACGCCCAACTAATTTTTTTGTATTTTTAGTAGAGACAGGGTTTCACCATATTGACCAGGCTGGTCTCGAACTCCTGACCTCAAGATCTACCCTCCTCGGCCTCCCAAAGTGCTGGGATTACAGAGGTGAGGCACCAAACCTGGCCTTTTTTTGAGACAGAGTCTTGCTTTGTCACCCAGGCTGCAGTGCAATGGCATGATCTGGCTCACTGCAACTGCCACCTCCTGGGTTCAAGGGATTCTCCTGCCTCAGCCTCCCGAGTGGCTGGGATTACAGGTACACACCACCATGCACAGACAAGGTTTCACCATGTTGGCCAAACTGGTCACGAACTCCTGGCCTCAGGTGATCAGCCCACCTGAGCCTCCAAAAGTGCTGGGATTACAGGCAGAAACCACTGCACCTGGCCTATGCATTACTTTTTTTTTTTTTTTTTTTGAGACAGAGTCTCGCTCTGTTGCCCAGGCTGGAGTGCAGTGGCACGATCTCTGCTCACTGCAAGCTCCGCCTCCTGGGTTGACACCATTCTCCTGCCGCAGCCTCCGGAGTAGCTGGGACTACAGGTGCTCGCCACCACAACCAGCTAATTTTTTTGTACTTTGAGCAGAGACGGGGTTTCACCATGTTAGCCAGGATGGTCTCGATCTCCTGACCTCGTGATCCACCCGCCTTGACCTCCCAAAGTGCTGGGTTTACAGGTGTGAGCCACCACGCCTGGCTGCCTATGCATTACTTTTACAATGACAATTATTAAGGATTCATAAAGTAATCTTGCATATTAATAACGAGGAAATATGGAGGGTAAAAAAATCTTTTTTCTTTTTTTTCCTGAGACAGGATCTGGCTCTGTCACCCAGGCTGGAGTGCAGTTGCATGATCTCAGCTCACTACAGACAGTTAAACAATCTTATGAGACATTTATATGATGTTTGGCAGAATACTACCAAGATTTACTGAGGGATATAAAATAGGACCTTGTTCCTGGATGGGAAGATTGTGTATTAGCCTGATTTCAGTTTCTGTCAATTGCATAATAGGTTTAATGCAACTGACTTAAAAGAGTGTTGTGTTTTTTGTTTTTGTTTTTGTTTTTCCTAAACTGGATAAACTTATTCTAACATTGGGGAAGGAACAGGCAGGCAACAACAGAAAAATATTTTTTGTTTTGCTTTGTTTTTTAAGACAGGGTCTTGCTCTGCCACTCAGGCTGGAGTGCAGTTGCGAAATCACAGCTCATTGCAGCCCCAACCTCCTGGCCTCAAGCGATCCTCCTGTCTCAGCCTCCTGAGTAGCTGGGACCATAGGTGTGCACTACCACAACTGGCTAATTTTTTTTTTTTTTTTTAGAGATGGGGGTCTCACTATGTTGCCCATGTTAAGTCTCAAACTCTTGGGCTCAAGTCATCTTCGTGCCTCAGCCTCCCAAAGTGCTGGGATTACAGGCATGAAGCCACTGCACCAAGCCTAAAAAAGTTTTTGAGGAAGGAGTAATACGTTTGAGATGAAAATAGTCTTAGGCATTGAAATGTGATAAAGTTACAATCACTAAACCTGTGTGCTGATGTAAGAAAAGACAGATCAGTGAAACAGAATCGACTGACCAGAAACAGATGCTTTTCTACAAAAATAATTTTAAAACCAGGCCTAATGTATCAATAGAGAAGCAGATAAAAATGCAATAAATGGGGTTGGGACAACTGATTATATTATTTCATATAAAGATCAATTTAGTTGTTTATGCCATATACCAAAATAAATTATCACTACATACAAATTTTTTTTTAAATTAAGAAGCCTTGCTCTGTCACTCAGGCTGGAGTGCAGTGATGCGATCTTGGCTCACTGAAACCTCCTCTGACTCCCGGGTTCAAGCAATTCTGTCTCAGCTTCCTGAGTAGCCAGGACTGCAGGCATGAGCCACTGTGTCTGGCCAATATTTTCAACCTATAGTGGAAATAGGGATTTTTGTGCTTAGAAATAAAACAGAAAAGGCCAGGCGTGTTGGCTGAAGCCTGTAATCCCAGCACTTTGGGAGGCCGAGGCGGGCAGATCACGACGTCAGGAGATCGAGACCATCCTGGCTAACACGGTGAAACCCCGTCTCTACTAAAAATACAAAAAAATTAGTCGGGCACGGTGGCGGGCACCTGTAGTCCCAGCTACTCGGGAGGCTGAGGCAGGAGAACGGCATGAACCTGGGAGGCGGAGTTTGCAGCGAGCCGAGATCATGCCACTGCACTCCAGCCTGGAAGACACAGCAAGACTCCATCTCAAAAAAAAAAAAAAAAAAAAAAAAAAAGAAATAGAAAAGTGACAAAGAAGAACACAATTAGGTTTGGTTACAAAAGTAAAATTATGTAAAAAACATTAATAAGCCAACAACAAACTTAGTTATATCTGCTACAAATATTCCTTTAGTTTGTTGCATCTTAGCATGATGGTACTTCAGCTGGATTAAAAAATTTTTTTGCCAGACACAGTGGCTCATGCCTGTATCCTAGCACTTTGGGAGGCCAAGGTAGGTGGATCACTTGAGCTCAGGAGTTTGAGACCAGCCTGGGCAACATAGCAAAATCCCATGACTACAAAAAAAATACAAATATTAGCCAGGTGTGGTGGTGCGTGCTTGTAGTCCCAGCTATTTGGGAGGCTGAGGCAAGAGAATCACTTGAGCCTGGGAGGTCGACACTGCAGTAAGCCATGATCACACTCCAGCCTGGGTGACAGAGCGAGACTCTTGTCTCAAAAAAAAAAAAAAAAAAAAAAAAAGGCAGAGCAAGGTGGCTCACACCTGTAATCCCAGCACTTTGGGAGGCCAAGCTGGGCAGATCATCTGAGGTCAGGAGTTCGAGAGCAGCCTGGCTAACATGGTGAAACCCTGTGTTAGCCTGGCATGATGGTGGGTGCCTGTAATTCTAGCTACTTGGAGGCTGAGCGGGAGAATCGCTTGAACCTGGGAGGTGGAGGCTGGAGTGAGCCAAGATCATGCCATTGCACTCCAGCCTGGGTGACAGAGAGAGATTTTGTCTCAAAAAAAAAAAAAAAAAACACTTTTTTCTCTTTTTATTACTTTCCTGAATTTTGTTTTTTATAATAAGCATGAATATTCAACTAATTGAATTAATTGAAAATACAATTTATTAGTGAAAAAAACAACAAATCTGACCTATGCAGAGAGGTGAGAAAAGCAAGCAGGAATTAAGGAAAGAGGAAGAGAAGGCCTGAGAAAAACCCAAATCTCTCAAAAAAGGCCATTTAAGGAAATATGTAGGAAATCAAAGTTCAAGGCTGTCTTGCTTCATTTAGATTATGGAGCCACTTTCCATCTGCTCCAAAACCAACACAGTGGTTAAGATGGTGCAGTGGTTTACCAGGGCGCAGGCAGCGAGAGTGTCCGTCCCTGCAGGTCCCTGCAGGGAAGAGTAATTTATCCCTGGCATTGTTTAGGATTGCCAGTGCAAGTGATTAGAAAAAACAAACCCACCTGGCCAAAGATTAGTTTCCTAAAACATTTTCTACAGACAATGCACCCCCTTCCTGCCTGGGCCTGGGAGAAACTCCCCTCACCCCACTGATCTGGAGACAGATAAACCCAGGCTCAAATTTCCCCGACGCCCTTTCTGAATAAAACAGAAGATCTATTAGTGCAACACATCCCATCACTAGGTTCAAAAGTAGGTCAAGGCGAACACTATGGTCAACTCAATAGGCGAAGCCCTGTAGCTAGAGGTTAGGTGAGAAAGCTCTGCAGCTCACCATCCCTTTCATTGTGTTTGTTTGTTTGTTTGTTTGTTTGTTTGAGGCGGAGTCTCACTTTGTCACCCAGGCTGGAGTGCAGTTGCTCGATCTCAGCTCACCTCAACCTCCACCTCCCCGGTTCAAGTGATTCTCCTGCCTCAGCCTCCCGAGTAGCTAGGATTACAGGCATGCGCCACCACACCTGGCTAATTTTTGTATGTTTAGTAGAGACGGGGTTTCACCATGTTGGCCAGGCTGGTCTCGAACTCCTGACCTCAAGTGATCCACCCACCTTGGCCTCCCAAAGTGTTGTGATTACAGGCGTCAGCCACCATGCCCATCCCTCACCATCCCTACCAAATCCCATCTGCACCACTAGTGTGATGTTGGGCACAGATATATAGGCTCTGTTAGCCTCAATTTCCCTGTCTGTAAACTGAAGAGAATAGCAGTTCCTCTTGTTATTGTGGAGTCTTGGTGAGGGTTCACTAGGGCAATGCACACGAAGCGATTTGCCAGGGCCATGCCATGGTGCCTCAATGAATGGGGGCTGCTGCTCTTGCTTCTGCAGACACATCCCTTAGTGTTGGGAAGGACAGAGTAGCAAGACCAGAGTGGAGGACAGGGAGAGCACGGCTGGAAGAACCCAGGGGCTTGTCAGGGAAAGTGGGGGCTGCAGGGGCCAGGGAGAAGTGAGGAGGGTAAAGGATGGATGCAGGAAGAGAGGGATATGATACACGAGAGAAGAGGCGAGACAGGTCAGGGAGGAGCTGAAGGACACTTCTGGGAAGCAGAGGGGGAGAAGGAAGTGGGCAGATGGGAACCCAGGTGATAGGGCTTGACCCAGGGACTGCAGGGCTCCCAGGGCCAGCCACTGGGCACCTGCTGGGGGTTCCTGAATGAGCTCCTGACTGTGAGAGATGCAAGGTATGGGGCCCACCCTGAGGCACTAACGGGGACTCCACACAGAGACACATGACAAAGAGCGGGTGAGCCACATCCTGGAGAGATCGAATCGGCCTGGAGGTTATGGGGAGAGGCCAGGCTGGAGCCTCATTTTGGAGAAAGAATGAAGGATAATTAGAGGGTCCAGCAGCTGCTGAGGCCTGAGGAGTGGGGGCGGGGCTGGATCTGGAGGGGACAGTGAGGGGGATGGTTGGGGAAAGCAGATCAGTTGTGGAGACAAGGGGAAGAGAAAAGGGGAGAGGTGGCAAAGGCCTGAGGAAGTGTTAGGGGCCAAAGAGAGAACTTAGGGGTCGTCAGAAGAAGTGGGGTCTGAGGTGCTGGGGACGATGTCACCAGTGATCATAAAAGCCTCACTGCGGTGGGCAAAGCGGGTGCCAGGGCAGCTGGACTCACCCTGGGTGATGGAGAGTTTGGTCCCCTCGATGGACTGCCACTGCTGCCTCCCTGAGCTCCGTGTGTCCAGCTCAACTCGGCAGAAATACACAGACTGGTCCTGCTTCTGCAGGTTGGAGATCCTGAGGAAGCCGCTCTTCTGACCCTCTGTCCAGTTCAGAAAGAGCCGGTTCACATAATCCTTGTGAATGGAAGGCGGCCTTGTGCTGTAGAAGGACTGCCTGTGGAAGTGGCCCCGTCTCCAGGATATTCTCACGTCGGGAGCTGTGGCTAACTCCCAGGGGTAATAGAAGGAGAAGGGGATTTCCACAGAGCCACCCATGGAGGCTGAGAGGTGTTTTGGTTGAGTGACCCCATAAAGGTAGCTTGGACCAGATCCTGTGGAGCCACCTAGAGGAGGGAGGGAGTGAGTAGGGGAGAGACCTTGAAACCACCTCAAGACACAAAGAGGGTGACCCCAGACCCTCCCGCACCTTCACCCACAGGCAGTCGTGTGACAGGTGGCTGGACTGACCTCTGGCCTGGGTCTCCCACTCTTCAGGCATGGGGGAGGGAGGAGGGGGAGAGGATGGGGTCACCCGCCCCTGTGGGACCCGCCCTTGTTTCCTGGTGGTGGGAGCCTGGGCCCTCCCCAAGATGTCCCACCTTTGTCTCGGGTTGGCCCCTCCTGTGGTTTGGGCAGAGCCCACATCTGGGTGGTCCTGGGTACTCACTAGGCTGCAGAAATGCTGGCGGCAGCAGCAAGGGCAGTAGGGGCAGCAGCAGGGGCCGACCCATGGCCTTGTTCTTCTCCAGGGGACGGGGAGACCAGCAGAGCCGTCCAGGCAGGAGAGGGGCCCTGTGGAGGGGCCGCCTGGGGGTTGAGGTGAGTGAGGAGAGCCGGGCTCAGGCTCCGAAGAGGGCTGTGGGGGCCAGGAGCCTTCCCCAAACCAGTGCACCTCCAGGGTGACCAGCACTTCCTTTATCCATCTGGCTTATTTTCCCCTATTGCAAAAGGGCCTCCCTTGTGGTCAGTGCCAAGTCAGCCCTGCCCAAAGGCCGCGGTCCCCGTCCTCCTGCCGAGGGGCTGGGCCTGACCTTGGGGGGCTGGGCCTGACCTTGGCTGGCTGGGCCCCTCCCACCTGGATCCCTGCAGACCCCACCTCACTCAGCCTCACTTCTCATCCTTCTCTCTGCCCAGGGCCAGCGCAGGCTCTTTCAGGGAGAGGAAAGGCAGGCCTGAATCTCTGTCCTTCTGCGCCCCAGATTCAGTCCTCAGAGAGGAGGAGAAGGAAGCCGGTGGAGGTCACAGGTGCTCAGCCCCCAGCCCAAGCAGAAGAGCCCCCAGCTTGTCCTCTGTCCCTCTCCCTCCCTGGCAGGGGCTCCCATGCAGTCCCCAGGCACCACCACGACCCAGCTGGCCTCTTCCTGCCCCAGGCCCTCTCTCGGTGCAGGCACCACGACCTTGCTCAAGGGGTGAGGGGGCTAATGGTCCCCTACACAGAGACTGGTCCTTCTGGAAGCCACCCCTTGACCCCCAAGACATGAGACTGGGTCTGCAGGCTCCCCTCTGACGTCCCGCCCTACACAGGAGGGGACAGGGCTCTGAGAAGCCCTGCCCCAGGCCACGTGACTTGCAGTAGTGGGTACAGGACTGGAGCCCCCTCAACCCAGATGTCTGGGCCTGGCTGAAGGGTGGAATCTCTGGGCCTCAACTTCTGAGTGCAGGACAGGAGGCTGTCCCTTCATACAGCCCCTCAGGTCATTCCCTCCACACACCTGAGCCCTTGGCTGATCCAGAAGCTTCCTTGGACACAGAAGAAAGTGAAGGCTCAGAGCAACACCCACCCCACACACAGTCCTGGGCCCATCTCTAACGGGGATCTGCCGGCCTTTGCCCGGGGGTGGTCACTGGAGCAGGGAGCTTTGGTGGTGCACAGGGCTCCCTCCGTAGGAGGCTCTGCCCACCCTCTCCAGGGTGAGGTGGCATCAGTTGAGGGGCCGTGGGGGAAGACAGGATTTCATCAGAGGAAGTGACATCAGCCTTCTTGAGACAGAAGCAGGCAGGGACGGGCCTCCCTTCTCTTAGTCTCTTCCCTGGTCCTAGTAGGCTCCTCTGTGCTTCCCAGGGCCAGCCAGGCCGGCCCGCCCTCCCTCCCTTTACAGGCCTGAGGAAACAGGTTCCCCATGCTCAGGAAACCCCTCCGTCTGAGCCAGGCCCTAAACACCTCATTCTCTGCTTCACAACATTCTGAGGTGACACATTATCTCCATTCAACCCACAGGGAAACTGAGGGACGGGGGCTTTGGGCTGAACTGGTCACAGCTGGAAAGATGGGCTGCAGAGAGGACAAGGGACCCCCTGGCTGTCTGGGCAGGGCCTCGAGAGGGTGGCCCGCCCCACCTGAGGACCTGGCTGAAAGGTCACCTGCTTACCAGGCTGTCCAATGTGGGGGCCACATAGAACTTATAGCCAACAGCCTCTGGGTAGCTCTGGAGGGCACATGCTGCCCAATGCTGCCACGTGCAGTCTCCTTAGATGCAACATGCATGTTTATGTCACTTTCAGGCCCTGGATCCAGCTGAACCCCCATGGGAGATTCCTTCTGTGTCAGGATTTCTGCTCTGGGATGGTGTGAGGTCTCCTGGATTTGTTCATCCTCCCTCCCCCAACAGCAGTGACAGAACCTGGGACTGAGCCTGGGGCTGTGGCTCTCTCACAGACAGGGCTTCTGAGAGGAGGAGGAGGGCCTGGAGGAGGGCATGATTCCAATGTGGGCAGAGCCTAAATGCAGCCCCTTAGTGCAGGTGCTCATGGGAGAGGCGTGGGAAGTCGTGTGTGGGGAGCAGGGGCAGGGAGGGGGTAAGTACCCTGCACCGCATTATGAGAACCACTGCTTGGATGTCCCCACATTCCCCCAACAAGTATCCTACTGTCCTCACTGGCCACATCCGTCCCTGCCCCCAGCCCCTCACCTCTCCTTGGCACCCACCGTTCCTGCTTTCCTCTGATCCCAATCGACATCCCATAGGCTTTGTGGAGTTCACAAGCCAACTGTAATATTCTCACAGTAATTCAAAGGACCTAGAATAGCCAAAAGGCCTTTACAAATGAAGAATGAAGGTGGAAGATTTATAATACCTGACTTCAAGACTTGCTGTAAAGCTTCTGTAATCAGGCTGTACTGTCCTCAAGGTACTAGAGTGTCCACAGACTGGAGTGTAGGGACGCGATCACCATCACTCCTGGGCTGAAGCAATTTGCTGACCTCAGCCTCCCAAGTAGTGAAGACCACAGGCACACACCACCACACACGGCTAATTTTTTTTTTTTTTTGAGAGATGGGGTCTCACTATGTTGTCTAGGCTGGTCTCAAGTTCCTGGGCTTAAGCAATCCTCCTGCCTCGGCCTCCCTCAGTGCTGGGATGACAGGTGTGAGCCACCTCACCAAGCCCCACTGGATTGCTGATATTCTGGCATCTTGGACCTCCAAGAGCAGAGAGAGGGACTGCCCCTGCCAGAGCCAGCCAGTTGTTAGAGCTAGCAAATGACCCCTCTGAGAGTGTCCCTTTTTTTTTCTGAAACAGTCTCACTCTGCTGCCAGGCTGGAGTGCAGTGGCACGGTCTCGGCTCACTGCAACCTCCACCCCTGGGTTCAAGCGATTCTCCTGCCTCAGCCTCCCAAGTTGCTGGGATTACAAGTGCGTGCCACCATGCCCAACTAATTTTTGTATTTTTAATAGAGACGGGGTTTCACCACGTTGGCCAAGATGGTCTCCATCTCCTGACCTTGTGATCTGCCCACCTCGGCCTCCCAAAGTGCTGGGATTACAGGCTTGAGCCACGGCTCCTGGCTGAGTGTGCCTTTCATATGCAAACCAGCTAATCCAGGGCCCCAACACTGAACCAGCTCTTCTAGCTGCCTCTCACCCTTCAGAAGGCAGTATTTCTCTGCCTTCATCATCCTGGGCCAGACACCAAATAACAAATGACAGCCTCTAATCCCCAGAGCCTGCTAACGTTATTCTAACTAGCCAATCCTAAACCTGCATACCCTTCCTTGCCTTTTCCAGGGAAAGCATAACAAAGGGTCTCACCCCTGTGTTCCCTTGGCTTCCTCTACTCCCTGAGGGACCCTGGTGCTTTCCCAAGTGGCCCTGCATGGCTGTGTCTCTCGTTTCTGGGGATCTGTGAGGATACACTGCTTCCCTTATGACCCTCATTTCCATGGCCATACCTGATGGAAAGAAATGGCAGGTGCATTTTGTTTTATTATTATTATTATTTTGAGACGGAGTCTCACTCTGTCGCCCAGGCTGCAGTGCAGTGGCACCATCTCGGCTCACTGCAACCTCTGCCTCCCAGGTTCAAGCGATTCTCCTGCCTCAGCCTCCCGAGTAACTGGGACTACAGGTGCCCACCACTATGCTCACCTAATTTTTGTAGTTTTAGCAGAGATGGGGTTTCACCATGTTGGCCAGGCTGGTCTTGAACTCCTTACCTCAGGTGATCCACCTGCCTAGGCCTCCCAAAGTTGCTGAGATTACAGGCATGAACCACCGCGCCCTGCCAGCAGGTGCATTTGATTTATTTTTATTTTTTGAGACGGAGTCTCGCTCTGTCACCCAGGCTGGAGTGCAATGGTACAATCTCGGCTCACTGCAACTTCCACTTCCTGAGTTCAAGTGATTCTCCTGCCTCAGCCTCCTGAGTAGCTGGGATTACAGGCACGTGCCACCATGCCCGCCCGGCTACTTTTTGTATTTTTAGTAGAGATGGAGCTTTGCTATGTTGTTCAGGCTGGTCTCGACCTCCTGACCTTGTGATCTGCCTGCCTCAGCCTCCCAAAGTGCTGGGATTACAGGTGTGAGACACTGTGCCTGGCCCAGCAGGCGCATTTTAAAAGAGCTTTTAACTCTCTGGACAATCCCAGGAGGTAGGCAGCATCTCTGTATGGTCCTCAATTTATACAGAAAGAAACGGAGGCCCTGAGGGTGGTTCTGAGCCTAGCCTGAGGTCACATGGCCCAGGAACGTCCACTGTGGCATCAGGTCTGAGCTTGGGGCCTGTGCGGCCAACCACTTCCCCATTCAGTGACATCAGCCAGCAGTCCTCTGGGCCTCTGTGACAACCATGCTTCCCTTTTCTGTGTTGTCTTCCTTCTGCACAGGGAGGTGCTTGAGGGCTGGGGCACTGGCTGGTGTAGCTTTGGGTCCTTGTCACCCAGTGCAGTGTGCCTGTCACCCAGGGCAGTTAGTGCTGACCAAATGCGTATGGAGAGGGTGGAGGCATCTTCAAGGGGTGGGGATCAGGTGACGATCATTTTCAGTAGAGATGGGGTTTCACCGTATTGGCCAGGTTTTTTGTTTTGTCTTTTTTTTTTGAGACAGGCTCTCTCTCTGTCACCCAGGCTGGAGTACAGTGGTGCAATCACAACTCACTGCAGCCTCAGTTGCCACCTGAGGGCTCAATTGATTCTCCCACCTCAGCCTCAAAATGTGCTGGGATTACAGTCATGAGCCACTGTGCCTGGCCCAATCATGCCTTTATAATGAAGCCCATAAAAACCCAAAAGGGATGCAGAGGGCTTCTGGATAACTGAACTCATGGAGCTTCCTAGAGGGTGCAGTGCCTAGAGAAGACACGGAAGCTTTGCACCCCTTCCCCCAGGCCTCCCTCTGTGTATCTCTTATATCTGGCTGTTCATAACTATCCTTTGTAATATCCTATATCTTTATTTTGAGACGGGGTCTCGCTATGTTGCCCAGGTTGGTCTCAAACTCCTGTGCTCAAGTGAACCTCCCCCCTCAACCTCCTGAAGCACAGAGATTACAGGCATGAGCCATGGCGCCAGGCCCTATAATATCCTTTATAAGGGGACACATGTAAGTAAAGGGCTTCCCTGAGTTCTAGGTACCATTCTAGAAAATTAATTGAACCCAAGGAGGGGATCATGGGAACCTCAATTTTTATAGCCCTGTGTCAGAAGCACAGGCACCACGTGAGCTTGCGACTGGCATCTGATGCTGGGGCAGCCTTGTGGAACTGAGCCCTCAACCCGTGCGATCACAGGAAGCAGCCAATTTGCTGTAGTAGCCGTGGCCAACACACTGTCTCTGACAGTGTTCTTGCCCCTGCCCACTCCTTCTTAACGATTCCCTCTCAGCCAGGCATGGTGGCTCACGCCTGTAATTGCAGCTATTTGGGAGACTGAGGCTGGAGGATTGCTTGAGCCCAGGAGTTTGAGACCAGCCTGGACAACTTGGTGAAACTCCAGTACCACTAAAAAATACAAACATTAGCTGAGTGTGGGGGTGCACGCCTGTAATCCCAACTACTTGGGAGGCTGAGGCATGAGAATGGCTTGAACCCAGGAGGCAGAGGTTGCAGTGAGCAGAGATTGCGCCACTGCACTCCAGCCTGGGTGATGAGAGTGAGGCTCTGTCTCAAAAAAAAAAAAAAAAAAAAAAAAAGATTTCCCTTCTTAAACTTGCTTCCAACTGCTTTAAATCTGTGAGTGCCATCTGTTTCTAGTGGGGAGGCTCCCTGCATCATGACTGGACTCAGGTACTGCAGAGCAGGAAGGGGCACTTGGCAGCCATGTGGGAGATGCACAGGGAAGTGTCAGCAGCATTTCACGCTATTTATTCCCCAAAACCTTCTGCCATAGAAGACAGCCACCATACAGATTGGAAAATGTGGACGAGGAGAAAAGGGGTGTATGGTAAGCAAAATAAATTGTATTTTTCCATCCTTGGGGAGGATAAAGGAACTCTTTGCACTGCTATAATAAACAGCCCCCAAATGCCAGTGGTTTAATTCAGTGGAGTTCAGACCTCATTCCTATATCATTGCAGTGTGGATGCTCCTGGATGAAGGCTCTTGTAGGTAACTCTCCTCCAGTCGGTGATTCAGGGACCCAGCCTCCTTCTGCCTTGCGGCTTTGCCTTTTAAAGGTCCTCAGGGTGCTCTCCATGTATCTTGCCAATGGGGAACGAGTGTGGAGGACTCACAAGCGGGTCTCACATCACGTCCTCCGGGGCTAATACACATCCCTTCTCCCCACACTCTGTTGGTCAGAAGTCACTGCTTGGCGCCCTGCTACCTGCAGGAGGGGAAGTGTTTTTAGATGCAGGGCCAGGATTATTAGTGAGGCAGGCGAGGCAGTTGCTTCAGAGATCAGATTTAAGTGGGAGGTGGCAAAAACTCAGGAGAATTTGTGGCAGGCTGGGCTTGTGGGGTTCTTAGCAGCACAGTCCCTGATTTCCAAACCCGTCCCCTGCCCGCACCTGTACTCCCCACTCCCTTGGGGAGGCCCAGCACTCAGCTGGCTGGGGTTGTGGCTTTAGTCCGCTGCTGACGTGTAGGGGGACCAACAGTGAGTCAGGGTGGCATCCAGGTGATAGCAGTCTCCATCCCACCTTCTCTGCTGCGCCCTAGGCTGAGGCCCTCCTTAGAGGGACCAGAGCAGCAGATCAGCTCTGCCCAAACCCATCAGGAAGGGCCTGGGACTCAGCTGGCACCCTGAGGCTCCCCCCCGACCTGTTCTCCCTGTTGTCCACCACGTCATCTCCTGAAACCGCCCCCGCAAAACCTTGCTACCCTCTGTTGGCTTCCTTCGCTCTTGAGCTCTCTGCTCAGCCCCAACCTGGCTCCCTCTATCGCTGAGCCCTCGCCCACCCATCTCTTCCTTCCCTCCCCTTCCCTTGACATAGGCACCCCCACCTCTCCCTCCAGGTCCTCAGGGAGACCGCGCCTGTGGTTTCCTTCTGGGTGGCGGCTGTGTCTGCCCTCCAGCCTTGGGAGCCTCATGCTTGGGACTCATGTTTGTGGCTGTTCAAGTTCTGTTGCCACCTCTAGGCCTCCCCTCCCCTCTGGCTGGTCTCACCCTGAATCCTCTGCTGCCTCTCCCACTGTGCCCTGCCCCTCTTGTCCCCCTGGCATCCTTGCAGTGTTTCCCAAGCACTGGGCTCCTGGTCCACAGACATCCCCTCCACCATCCAGCCCCCTCCTGGGAGGGCTCCACGTCCACAGAGACACCCTCTGAACCCAGGCCTCACGGCACCCCTCAACTCCAGGGACCTCCCCTTCCACTTCTACAGGTTTTTTGTTTTTTAATGTTGGGACTGGGAACTCTGAAATATTAACTGCTAGTATCATTTTCATATTGCAACTTTCACTCCTTCCAGCCTAACACCTAAGGTGGGTGCGGTGGCTCACGCGGTGATAATCCCAGGATTGGGAGGCCAAGGTGGGCAGATCACCTGAGGTCAGGAGTTCGAGATCAGCCTGAACAATATGGTGAAAACCTGTCTCTACTAAAATTACAAAAATTAGCCGGGCGTGGTGGCATGTGCCTGTACTCCCAGCTACTCAGGAGGCTGATGCAGAAGAATTGCTTGACCCTGGGAGGTGGAGGTTGTAGTGAGCCAAGATCGCACCACTGCACTCCAGCCTGGGTGACAAAGCGAGACTCTGTCTAAAAAAAAAAAAAAAAAAAAAAACCACCTAGAATTTACCATCCTAACCATTGCTTAGTGTACAGTTTGGCAGTGTTAAGTGTATTCACATGGTTGTGAGACAGATCTCCAGAACATTTTCATCTTGCGAAACTGAAACCCAAAAGTTCTTTTTTTGAGACAGAGTCTTGCTGTGTCACCCAGGCTGCTATACAGTGACGTGATCTCAGCTCACTGCAACCTCCATCTCCTGGGTTCCAGTGATTCTCCTGCCTTAGGTTCCCGAGCAGATGGGATTACAGGTGCCCCCGCCACACCAGCTTATTTTTTGTATTTTTAGTAGAGACAGGGTTTCGCCATGTTGGCCAGGCTGGGCTCGAACTCCAGGCCTCAAGTGATCCACCTACCTCAGCCTTCCAAGGCATGTTCCTCACAGGCGTGAGCCACCACACTGGGCCAGTAAAACTGAAATTCTATGTTCTTTAAATATTAACTCTCCATTCTCATCTCCTCTGTGCCCCTGACAACCACCTTTCTGCTTCCTGTTTCTAGGAATCTGGCTACTCTAGATACCATGTAAGTGGAATCAGACAGTATTTATCTTTTTGTGACTAGCTTATTTCACTTAGCATAATGTCCTCAAGGCTCATTTATACTACAGCATGTGTAAGAATTTCCTTCCCTTTAAAGGTTGAGGCCAAGCATAGTGGCTCACGCCTATAATCCTAGCACTTTGGAAGGCCGAGGTGGGTGGATCCCCTGAGGTCAGGAGTTCGAGACCAGCCTGGCCAACATGGTGAAACCCCGTCTCTACTAAAAATGCAAGAAGTAGCTGGGTGTGGTGGCACACACCTGTGATCCCAGCTACTCGGGAGGCTGAGCCAAGAGAATCCCTTGAACCCAGGAGGCGGAGGTTGCAGTGAACTGAGATTGCACTGCTGCACTCCAGCCTGGGTGACAAAGCAGGACTTTGTCTCAAAATAAATAACTAAATAAAAAAGATTCAATAATATTATTTTTTTCAGAACTTTTTTTTTTTAATAGACAGGATCTTATACTGTCACCCAGGATGGAGTGCAGTGGCACAATCATAGTTCACTACACCCTCAACCTCCTGGGCTCAGGTCATTCTCCTAACCTCAGCTTCCCGAGTAGCTTGGACTACAGACACCGTATTTTGTTTGATGGACATTTCAGTTGATTCTACGTTTGGGGTATTTTGAGTAATGCTACTACAAACATCGGTGTGCAAACACCTCTTCCTGACCCTGCTTTCAATTGGTTGGATAGATGCCCAGAAGTGAGATTGTTGGATCATATGGTAGTTCTACTTTTAATATTGTGGAGGCTAAGGCAACTCCATCTTGGAAGCTAATCTGCCATGGCAGCTTCTGATTAACCCCAGTTCTGGGAAGGCCTCTAAGATTTCCAGTTGATCTATCGTTCTTGTGTAAGAGCAGGTACGTATCATAAATCCTGCCCTGGAGTCAAACAACCTTGATGTGATCATACTTCACCTGTAGAATACAAACCATCCTTCCCCTGTGGAATAAAAACCATGGGTCTGGGGATGATGGTGCAAGGACCCACCATCTTGTCTCATCACCCTATGTTTTCTCCTGTATTTTCTTCTAGACACTGGACAGTTTTGGGTCTTACATTGAAGTCTTTAATCCATTTTGAGTTAATTTTTTGGCAGAGATGCACCTTTATGTTTTGCATGTGAGTACCCAGCTTTCTCAACACCATTTGTTGAAGAAACTATTCTTCGTCGAGTGGTCATCTTGGCACCCTTGTTGAGGATCATTTGACTATCTATGTGAGGGTTTATTTGTGGGCTCTGTATTCTATTCCACTGCTCTATTTATGTCTTTTTTTTTTTTTTTGAGATGGAGTTTCACTCTTGTTGCCCAGGCTGGAATGCAATGGCGTGATCTTGGCTGACTGCAACCTCTGCCTCCCGGGTTCAAGTGATTCTCCTGCCTCAGCCTCCCGATTAGCTGGGATTACAGACATGCGCCACCACGCCTGGCTAATTTTGTATTTTTAGTAGAGATGGGGTTTCTCCATGTTGGTCAGGCTGGTCTCGAACTCCTAATCTCAGGTGATCCACCCAGCTCAGCCTCCCAAAGTGCTGGGATTACAGGCTGAGCCACTGCACCTGGCCTATTTATGTCTTTATTTCAGTACCACATCGTTTTGATTACCATAGTTTTTAATACATTTTGAAATCAGGGAATGCGTGTCCTCTCTGTTCACGTTTCTAAAGATTATTTTGGTTTGTGGTAGTGCTTTCAGATTCCATTTGAATTTCAGGATGAATTTTTTGTTTGAGCAAAAACAATGCCATTGGGGTTTTCATAGGATTTGCATTGGATCTGGAGATTGTTGTTGGTGGCATGGACACCTTGACAATATTAATCTTTCCACTCCACGAACAAGAATGTCATCCACCTATTTGTGTCTTCTTTCATTTGTTCAGCAATGTTTTGTAGTTTCAGTGTACAAGTCTTTCACCTCCCTGGTTAGGTTTATTCCTAAAGATCTTACTTTATTTTTTGACATTATTGTAAATGGAATTGTTTTCTTAATTTTCTTTTCAGATTGTTTATGTTTAGTGCACAGAAATGTAATACATTTTTGCTTGCATGTTAAATTGGTTTCCTGGAACTTTGCTGAATTCATTCATTCAACAGGTAATTTTGTGCAATACTTAGGATTTTCTACATATGAGATCTTGTCACCTGCAAACAGAGATCATTTTGCTTGTTCCTTTTCAAATTAGATGCCTTTTTATCCCTTGCCTAATTGCCTAATTGCTCTGGCTAGGACTTCAAATCTTTTTTTTTTTTTTTTTTTTTTAAGTAGAGATGGGGTTTTGCCATGTTGGCCAGGGTGGTCTCAAACTCATAGCCTCATGTAATCCACCTGCCTCGACTTCCAAAAGTGCTGGGATTACAGGTGTGAGCCACTGTGACCAGCCTGACTTCAAATCCTGTGTTGAATAGAAGTAGTGAGATCGGGCATCCTTCTCTTATTCCTGATCTTGGAGGCAAAGATTTCAGTCTTTCACCTAAAATGACTGAAAGACTTTCAGCCATGGGCCTTGCATGACTGGCCTTTATTTTGTTGCTGTACATTCCTTCTTTTCCTGGTTTTGGAGTGTTTTACCAGGAAAGGGTGTTCAGGCTGGGCACCGTGGCTCAGCCTGCAATGCCAGCACTTTGGGAGGCCAAGGTGGGCGGATCACTTGAGGTCGGGAGTTCGAGACCAGCCTGGCCAATATAGTAAAACCACGTTTCTTCCAAAAATACAAAAATTAGCCGGGCATAGTGGTGCACACCTGTAATCCTAGCTCCTCGAAAGGATGAGGTGGAAGAATCGCTTGAACCCGGGAGGCAGAAGTTGCAGTGAGCCAAGATGGCACCACTGCACTCCAGGCTGGGCAACAGAGCGAGGCTCCATCTCAAAAAAAAAAAAGGAAAGGTGTTCAATCTTGTCCAATGTTTTTTCTGTATCAGTTGAGATGATCATGTGGGTTTTGTCCTTCATTCTGCTAATGGGGTGCACTACATTAATTTTCCTGTTTTGGGTGATACATGCATTCCAGGGCTATCTCCAACTTGGTCATGGCGTACAGTCCTTTTAACATGCTGTGAAAGTTGGTTTGCTAGAATTTTGTTGAAGATTTTCCCATCAATATTCACCAGCCTTTTCATCTGTATTTTGTGTATTGTTTTTCTTGCAGGGTCTTTATCTGGCTTTTAGGTCATGGTGTTGCTGACCTCACAGAATGAACCTGGAAGTGTTCCCTCTGTCTTTGGTCATTATCCCACCCTACCTCTTGTTGAACCTCACTGACTTTTGATCCTTTGTAATCTACTATTTTGCAGATTCTCCAAGCTTCCTGCTGACCCCCCTGCTCTCCATTCCTGCTCTCTCAGTAGTTCCTTGACCTTCTGTGATCTCCTGATCTGATTTTCTGCTAGAATCACAGGTGTGAGCCACCGCACCCGGCAAAAATTTTTTTATATAGTTAAATTTATCAGTATTTTAATATATGGCTCCTGGGTTTGGTGGTCATACTGACTGTCTCCACTCTATGGTTATAAAATAATCTCACGTGCTTCCATGAGGAAGTTGAGGCACACAACCTTTGTACCCACGAGCCTGTTTCCCTGGCAAGGTTGTGAGGGCAGGATCTGACTGCAGGCAGCCCCTACTCCATGTTCCTCCCCTCTGTGCTTTCATAGCTGATAGGGCGAATCTCCTTTCACTGAAGACTTTCTTTTTTACTTTTTATAGATGGAGTCTCGCTCTATCAGCCAGGCTGGAGTGCAGTGTCACCATCTCGGCTCACTGCAGCCTCCACCTCCTGGGTTCAAGCAATTCTCCTGCCTCAGCTTCCTGAGTAGCTTGGACTACAGGTGTCGGCCACCATGCCTGGCTAATTTTTTGTGTTTTTAATTGAGATGGGGTTTCACCATTTTGGCCAGGCTGGTCTTGAACGCCTGACCTCAGGTGATCCAGCCGCCTTGGCCTCCCAAGGTGCTGGGATTATAGGCATTAGCCACCGTGCCTGGCCTGAAGACTTTCTTGATGGTAACTTACTGTCAGGTTTGGAGGATATTGAGGTAGAACTCATTGCTGCCTGGAGCCTTGTCCTCTCTTTTGAACTGGAAATGTGTACATCCAAGTTTCCAATGGACAACTCTGCTGAGATGCCACACATGGATCTCCCGTATAACAGATTCCAAACTGGCCGGGTGCGGTGGCTCAAGCCTGTAATCCCAGCACTTTGGAAGGCCGAGGCAGGCGGATCACGAGGTCAGGAGATCGAGACCATCCTGGCTAACAGAGTGAAACCCCGTCTCTACTAAAACTACAAAAAATTAGCCAGGTGTGGTGGCGGGCGCCTGTAGTCCCAGCTACTCAGGAGGCTGAGGCAGGAGAATGGCTTGAACCCAGGAGGGGGAGCTTGCAGTGAGCCGAGATTGTGCCACTGCACTCCAGCCTGGGCGACAGAACAAAACTCTGTCTCAAAAACAAAAAACAAAACAAAACAAAAAAACAAATTCCGAACTAAACGAGGCATCGCTCCCCTCCAAACATAGTCTCCTCCTCTATTGTCTACTGTAGTTGGTGGTTTCATCATAGCCCCATGCACCCAAGTGGAAACGGGTGCTTCTTCCTGCTCCCTTGCCCCTACATCAATCTAACAATCTCATTGGTTTTTATTACTTAATCTTTTCTAGGATCTGGCCCTTTCCCTCTCTCCACCTCACTCCTGCACTGCACTGACCCAGCCTGGCCCACCTCTGGCCATTCCTCCATAGACTGAGGTCTCTCATGGGGAACTGAGGTCACCCTTTGCTGCCTCACGCTGCCTCTGGGATCAGAGGCTCTTGGATGTGATTTCTAAGGTCATCTCCTCTTCTCTCCTCTCCTGCCTCCTTCACCAGCACCAAGCTTCCTACAGCTCCTGGAATGGTTTCCTCCACCCACAAGGAAAGTGAGTGACCTCTACACAATCCTCACCTCTTGCCAGGCTAATTCTTTTCTTTTTTGAGACATCTGCAGATGCCACCTCCTGTGGGAAGTCCTCCCTGATTACCTCTCTCTCCTCCCACCCTTGTTTAGCAATACCATAGTTCTTTCTCAATGAAGCAATTAGTCCTTGAGGCAACTGACAACTCCACACCCCCAGTTCCCTGAGAGCAGAGCCTATGCTTTATATACTTTGCTTCTCCAGTTTCAAGCCAGGCCGTGGCAGGAGGGCAGTCAGCCAGTGCCTGCTGAGCTCAGCCCAATTCTGGTCCCTTCTCCTCTCTCTGTTCTTTTCCCAGGGCAGGCCCTCCCCTCCCCAGGAACCTTCAGGGGAGCGTGGATGATTGATGACTGAGAGAGAAGTTGGGGGGATCCAGCTGTGTGGAGAGGGCTGGGGGCTTTTTTTGTTTGTTTGTTTGTTTGTTTGAGACAGAGTCTTGTTCTGTCACCAGGCTGGAGTGCAGTGGCACGACCTTGACTCACTGCAACCTCTGCCTCCCGGGTTCAAGCGATTCTCCTGCCTCAGCCTCCTGAGTAGCTGGGACTATAAGCGTGTGCCACCATGCCCAGCTAATTTTTGTATTTTTAGTAGACATGGGGTGTCACCATGTTGGCCAGGATGGTCTTGATCTCTTGGCCTTGTGATCCACCTGCCTTGGGCTCCCAAAGTGCTGGGATTACAGGCATGAGCCACCGCGCCCAGGCTGGGGGTTCTCACATGTGACCCTGCACCACCCCACTGCAGGAGGCCCCCGAGATGCAGACGCCCCAGCACAGGCCAGAGTCGGCCTTGGTGGGCTTGAGGGGAGCCAGCAGGGTCTGCATATTTCTGAAGTCCCTTAGCTGCAGGTGGGCTCAGAGAAACCCCCAGCTGGGAAGCTTGAGGAGACAGTGCGTTCTGGGCACTTACCTTTCCTTCTCCTCCACCACAGGAGGAGGAGGCACAGCAGTCCCAAAATGACAGTTTTGAGCACAGCGACAGCCAATGCAACCCTGATGGCAGTGTCCAGACTTAGGTGCCATGATTCTGAGTGCCCTTTGCTTTCTGTGACCCTGAGGCCGGCTATGGTGGTTGTGCTGCTGGGCCTCCAGGTGGTGGTGGTTGTGACAGCTGGAAGAGATGAGGAATGAGCAGACCCTCTTCTGGGGGTGTGGGGCGTCTGGATGAAAGGCATGGTGTGCTGCTTTCTAGATTGGGGACATTCAGGATGAGCAAGCTGCTCTCAGAAGCCCAGACATGGAAGGGGTAGCAAGGTGAAATGCTAACAGCTCTCAATCCAGACCACTGGGTTTAAATGTGAAGACATCAGTGGTCACCAAAACCCTCACTGCGGTGGGCAAGGCAGGTGTCAGGGCAGCTGGACTCACCCTGGGTGATGGTGAGTTTGGTCCCCTTGATGGACTGCAACTGCTGCCTCCCTGATCTCCGGGTGTCCAGCTCGACTCGGCAGAAATACACAGACTGGTCCTCCTTCCGCAGGTTTGAGATCCTGAGGAAGCCGCTCTCCTGACCCTCTGTCCAGTTCAGAAAGAGCCGGTTCACATAATCCTTGTGAATGGAAGGCGGCCTTGTGCTGTAGAAGGACTGCCCGTGGAAGTGGCCCCGTCTCCAGGATATTCTCACGTTGGGAACTATGGCTAACTCCCAGGGGTAATAGAAGGAGAAGGGGATTTCCACAGAGCCACCCATGGAGGCTGAGAGGTGTTTTGGTTGAGTGACCCCATAAAGGTAGCTTGGACCAGATCCTGTGGAGCCACCTAGAGGAAGGAGGGAGTGAGTGGGGGAGAGACCTTGAAACCACCTCAGGACACAAAGAGGGTGACCCCAGACCCTCCCACACCTTCACCCACAGGCAGTCGTGTGACAGGTGGCTGGACTGACCTCTGGCCTGGGTCTCCCACTCTTCAGGCATGGGGGAGGGTGGAGGGGGAAGAGATGGCGGCACCCACCCCTATGGGACCCGCCCTTGTTTGCTGGAGGTGGGAGCCTGGCCCCTGCCCCAGATGTTCTGCCTTTGTCTTGGGTTGGCCCCTCCTGTGGTTTGGGCAGAGACCATACCTGGGCGGTCCTGGGTACTCACCAGGCTGCAGAAATGCTGGCGGCTGCAGCAGGAGCAGCAGGGGCAGCAGCAGGGGCCGACCCATGGCCTTGTTCTTCTCCAGGGGACGGGGAGACCAGCAGAGCTGTCCAGGCAGGAGAGGGGCCCTGTGGAGGGGCTGCCTGAGGGCTGAGGTGAGTGGGGAGAGCCAGGGTGAGGCTCCCCAGAGGGCTGTGGGGGCCGGGGACCTTCCCCAAACCAGTACACCTCCAGGGTGACCAGCACTTCCTTTATCCATCTGGCTTCTTATTGCAAAAGGGCCTTAGGTGCCTTTTTATCCCTTGCCTAATTGCTCCGGCCAGGACTTCAAATCCTTTTTTTTTTTTTTTTTTTAGTAGAGATGGGGTTTTGCCATGTTGGCCAGGGTGGTCTCACACTCATAGGCTCAAGTAATCTGCCCGCCTCAGCCTCCAAAAGTGCTGGGATTACAGGCGTGAGCCACTGTGCCCGGCCTGACTTCAAATCCTGTGTTGAATAGAAGTAGTGAGAGCGGGCATCCTTCTCTTGTTCCTGATCTTGGAGGCAAAGATTTCAGTCTTTCATCTAAAATGACTGAAAGACTTTCAGCCATGGGCCTTGCATGACTGGCCTTTATTTTGTTGCAGTACATTCCTTCTCTTCCTGGTTTGTGGAGTGTTTTACCAGGAAAGGGTGTTCAGGCTGGGCACAGTGGCTCAAGTCACACAAAAGTGTCAAGTCAGCCCTGCCCAAGGGCCCCAGTGCCCATCTTCCTGCTGAGGGGCTGGGCCTCACCTTGGCTGGCTGGGCCCCTCCCACCTGGATCCCTGCAGACCCCACCGCACTCAGCCTCACTTCTCATCCCTTTCTCTGTCCAAGGCCAGCGCAGGCTCTTTCAGGGAGAGGAAAGGCGGGCCTGAGTCTGTGCTCTGCTGCACCCCAGATTCAGTCCTCAGAGAGGAGAAGGAGGAAGCCAGTGGAGGTCACAGGCGCTCAGCCCCCAGCCCAAGCACCAGAGCCCCCAGCTTGTCCTCTGTCCCTCTCCCTCCCTGGCAGGGGCTCCCATGCAGTCCCCAGGCACCACCACAGCCCAGCTGGCCTCTTCCCACCCCAGGCCTGCTCCCTTGGTGCAGGGACCACAGTCTTGCTCAAGGGGTGAGGGGGCTGACGGTCCCCTACACAGAGACTGGTCCCTCTCGAGGCCACCCCTTGACCCCCAGACATGAGACTGGATCTGCAGGGTCCCCTCTGACCTCCCTGCCCTACACAGGAGGGGACAGAGCTTGGAGAAGCCCTGTCCCAGGCCACATGACTTGCAGGGCAGTCCCAGGACTGGAGCCCCCTCTACCTGGATCTCTGGGCCTCAACTTCTGAGTTGCAGGAACTCAGGCATAGGGGAGCCCCAGGAGGTTGTTCCCTCATACAGCCCCTCAGGTCATTCCCTCCACACACCTGAGCCTATGGCTGAACCAGGAAGGTTCCTTGGTGCCAGGGCAGCTGGACTCACCCTGGGTGATGGTGAGGTGGGTCCCCTTGATGGACTGCCACGACAGCCTCCCTGATCTGTATGTCCAGCTGGACTTGGCAGAAGTACACAGACTGGTCCTCCTTCCGCAGGTTCGAGATCCTGAGGAAGCCTCCCTGAGGAAGTGAAGGCTCAGAGCAACAGTGGGCACCCCGCACAAAGTCCTGGGCCCGTCTCTAACAGGGGATCTGCAGGTCTTTGCCCGGGGGTGGTCACTGGAGCTTTGGTGACCCACAGGGCTCCCTCCATAGGAGGCTCTGCCCATCCTCTCCAGAGTAAGGTGGCATCAGCTGAGGGGCCGTGGGGACAGGAAGGCAGGATTTCACCAGAGGAAGTGATAACAATCTTCTTGAGACAGAAGCAGGCAGGGACAGGCCTCCCTTCTCTTGTCAGTCTCTTCCCTGGTCCCAGTAGGCTCCTCTGTGCTTCCCAGGGCCAGTCAGGCCGATCCACCCTCCTTCCCTTCACAGGTCTGAGGAAACAGGCTCCCCATGCTCAGGAAACCCCTCCGTCTGAGCCAGGCCCTATACACCTCATTCTCCTTGTTCAACCCACAGGGAAACTGAGGCACCGGGGCTTTGGACTGAACTGGTCCCACCTGCAAAGGTGGGCCGAAAAGAGGACAAGGGACCCCCTGGCTGTTTGGGCAAGGCCTCAAGAGGGTGGCCCACCCTGCCTGAGGACTTTTTGTTTTTTTTTTTTGAGATGGATTCTCGCTGTGTTGCCCAGGCTGGAGTGCAATGGTGTGATCTTGGCTCACGGTAACCTCTGCTTCCTGGGTTCAAGTAATTCTCCTGCCTCAGCCTTCCAAGTAGCTGGGAATTACAGGTGTGTGCCACCACACCCAGCTAATTTTTATATTTTTAGTAGAGACAGGGTTTCACCATGTTGGCCAGGCTGGTCTCAAACTCCTGGCCTCAAGTGATCTGCCCACCTCAGCCTCCCAAAGTGCTGGGATTATAGGCATGGGATACAACACCCAGCCACTGAGGACTGACTCTTCGTTCCATTCCTGCCTTGCCCGTGGCCCATGGGACCCAGCTAGAAGGTCACCTGCTTACCAGGCTGCCCAAGGAGGGGGCCACATAGAACTTTTAGCCAACAGCCTCTGGGTAGCTCTGGAGGGTACATACTCCCCAGGGGCCTCAGGCCCGGTACCGCCACGTGCATTCTCCTTAGATGCAAGGTGCGTGTTTATGTCACTTTCCGGGCTCTGGACCCAGCTGAACCCCCATGGGAGATTCCTTTTGTGTCAGGATTTCTGCTCTGGAATGGTGTGAGGCCTCCCGGATGGTTCATCCTCCCTCCCCCAACAGCAGTGACAGGGCCTGGGGCTAAGCCTGGGGCTGTGGCTCTCTCTCAGAGGGGGGTTTTGGGAGGCACCGGCCCTGGAGGAGGGCATGATTCCAACATGGGCAGAGTCTAAATCCAGCCCGTTAGCCCAGCAGGTGGCCATGGGAGAGGCATGGGATGCAGTGTTCAGCAGAGGCAGGGAGGGGGCCAGGACCCTGCCCATTTTGAGAACTGCTGCTTGTATGTCCCCACCTTCCCCCAACAACTATCCTCCTTTCCTCACCAGCCACGTCTATGCCTGCCCCAGCCCCTTGCCCCTCCTTGGCACCCACCTTGTTCTTGCTTTCCCCTTGAGATCAGGAATGAGGCACAGATGTCTGCTCTCACTGCCTCCCTTCACGGTACTGGAGTCCTAGCCAGCGCGCTATGCCTGAAGGGAAATACAAGTGCTCTGTGTCTTCTTCAATTCTGTATTGATCTATTTGGCCTCCACCCATCACAGGGCCCATATTATCTATATTTCCTGCATTCTTGGCCTCTTTTTAGTGGGGGACATGGTCTCGCTCTGCCTGTAGGTGGGACTATAGGCACGCACCACAGTTCTCCCCTAATTTTCTTTTTTGCAGAGACGTGGTGTCACTGTTACCCAGGCTGGCCTCAATCTCCCAGGCTCAAGGCATCCTCTCAGTGTGCTGGGATTACACATATGAGCCACAGGGCTGAGCCCCTTGTACATTGCCAATGCTCTGGCATCTGGTGCCTCACTGACTAGGGAGAGACTCCCCCTCCCAGGGGTAGCTGACTGTAAAATTTTTACATCAACTTATTAAATCAGCTGGTCAATTTTGACCCAGAGCCATGCTGAAATTTTGATTAAGAAGCTCCTATTCAGGCGGGGCACCGTGGCTCAAGTCTGTAATCTCAGCACTTTGGGAGGCCAAGGTGGGTGGATCACCTGAGGTCAGGAGTTCGAGACCAGCCCAGCCAAACATGGTGAAACCCGTCTCTACTGAAAAAAAAAAAAAAAATACAAAAATTAGCGGACACGATGGTGCACATCCGTAGTCCCAGCTACTCGGGAGGCTGACGCAGGAGAATCACTAGAACCCGGGAGGTGGAGGTTGAAGTAAGCCAAGATCGTGCCAATGCACTCCAGCCTGGGTGACAGAGCAAGGCTCTGAAATCCAGCCAGATTTCAGGCAAGTCCTCCTACTTTCCAGCCCTGCCTGATGCCAGCTGTGGAAGGAGGGCATCAGGACTCTAGCCCAGGCCACAGCAGGGAGCCCGGCAGAGGGACGCCAGGTCAAATCACAGGGACTTTTCTCAGGCTGAAGCCCCAGGAACCCTTGCTGCTGTCCTAGGACATGGTGGGATTGCAGCAGGGACCATCCCGCTGGGATCCCCCAATTCTGTCTAGGAAGCCACAGGTGTCCCTCAGGAAGCTCCCCCAACCCCCCGCCACCCCAAGAAGCCAGGACAGATCTCTAAGACTGGGACACTGCCCTCTCCCTGGGCCAAACCCAGCCCTGCAAGGAGGCCCCAACCCACTCTGGTTCTCACCTGGCTTCTGCCTCCCAGGGGTGGAGACTTCCTCCCCAATCTCTTCACCCCCAAAGAAGCACAGCCAAGGCCCATGTCAGAGGAACTGTGTTGCTGACTTAGTCACAGCAGGAAACGACTGGAATGGGGTACTGTTGCTCACACACTCACACCTGTGCCCACACACACCCACACATGCACACACACAGACCACATCTGCAGCAGGTGGGCCTGGCCAGGCACCTGTGGGACACTTATTAGAGGCCCAAGAATAACGTAAGGGGGTGGCACCCAGGAGGCCTGGGAAGGGGAAAGCCCAGTGGCCTCATGGTCTCTCTCATTGAACTCCTAAGGGTCCCTCCATGGCCCTGGGCCCCAAGGGTCAGGGAAAAGAGTGAGGCCAGGACCAGTGCAGGGAGGCCTCTGCCCAGCCTAAGCGTAGAGTCCATTCTCAACAGAGACAAAGCTGCCATGTGCAGGGATGGATGTGGAGGCCCAGGCAGCAGGGCCCTGGGGCCAGTGTGCGGTGTGGGTGGGGAGTGATGCCCACCAGGACGGCCCCCTGTCGGGGGTGAGCTGTGTCCAAAGTAGCTGGGCAGCAGCTGGTGTTGATAGTGGCATAAGGGACGTGGAGAGCAGCCTGGGAGGCCTGGCTGGGTGCCTGCGCGGGGGAAGGAGGATCAAGTGAGTCTGTACAGCTTGGGCCCAGCCCTGGCCCCCCCTACCCCTGCCACCTCATCCCCAAAGCAGCCCCCCTCCTCACCCATGCTCGTGCTCTCAGTGCCTAGGAGCTGGTGTGGGATGGCTGGAGCCTAGGGGCAGGGCTGGGAGAGAGCAAGGATGGTCAGAGCTCTGCACGGCATGTGGCCAGCCCAGTGTCAGGGGGACGTGGACAGGGCCCAGGTCTCACCGGTGCTTCTGTCGGCACAGCAGATGAAGGAGGTAGCCACAGTCAAAGAGAAGGACTCCTGAGACCCCCAAGATCCCGGCCAGGTCTGCCCGCAGAATGGGGGCAGGAGTCGGCGGGACAGAGAGCCCTGGGCACAGAGGCAAGAATCAGATGGATGGCCAGTTCCCGAGCCCCTCCCTGCCCTCCTGGACCCCTCACCCCGGCCCCACCTGGGTCTGAGCTGGGCGGGAGGCTCCCACAGGCCTCCCAGGAGCCCTCAGGGAAGGACGCAAACTTGCAGCAGAAGGTGGTGTTGGCGCAGGGGCTGCTGGCCCCAGAGCCTTCCAGGATGAGAGAGATGCTGCTCTGGGTTTCCCAGCGGGCCTGGCGAGCAGGGGCCCATTGCTGGATGCCAAGTTCCGGGTGCAACACAGCCAGCGTGGTCCCCCCAGCACCATCGGGGCCCCCCCTGCTCACAGTCACCAGGGAGATGGAGCCAGACTCCAGGAACCCACAACGGATGGTGAAGGACGAGAGCTCGGTGGCCTCCATCCGAACTTGTACTCACACCTCCGGGGTCCCTGTGGAACAGCAGCAAGGTGGGTGGGCTGTCGTCCTACATCACCCTCCCTGCAGCCCCTGCCCCTCTCTGGTGCCGGCACTCACCTGCAGTGACACGCAGGGTCAGCAGCACCCAGGGCAGGGCCAGGGTCCGGCGCCCCATGGCCCCCTCCAGTCCGGGTTCTGGGGGCTGCAGGGCCGGCACCTGTGCCTCTGTTCTCATCGCAGGAAGTCTTCATGTTGTCAGCAGCCAAACAGCCACTTCCTTCTCTCCTCTCACACCTTCCCCAGAGGTGGTGAGCACAAAGTGGCTGATTCCCTTCTTAAAGTGACAGTGAGGGCCTGCTCAGTCCCCAAGGCTGTGCTTCCAGGTAACAAGGCAGGGCGGCACAGGTGGGTGAGAACTCAACCCTGGCTAGGCCTGGGGAGGCCAGGGGAGGGGCAGAGAAGCTGTCAGGGGCTAGAAGGACTCCCCTTCCCTGGACAGCAGGGGGTGCCGGGCTTCCCTAGGAAAGGGCTCTGTCCTGCCCCTCACCCAGCTAAGGAATCTGGGAGGAGAAAGCCCCTGGGAGTGGGAAGCCAGCAGGGAGGACCTGAGAGCCACCCCAGCATGCATGACCCACCACCAATCTGACGTGGGTCCCACGCTTAAACCTGCAACCCAGGCCTCCCCCACAACCCCCAGCCTGGCTCGCCCACTGCCCACTCATACCTCCTGATCTACCCTGAATGCACCCCATACTGGGCTCTGCCCCAGGCGCTGTCTCCCTTGTCATAGGTGATGGCAACGGCTTCTGGCTGCTCAGGCCCAAAGCACAACCACCAGCGCCTCTTCCCTTTCACCTCCAATGCACCAGGAAATCCTGTTGGCTTCCCACCCTGACCAAAGGACCACTTCTTCTCAACATCCCCCTGCAACCCCCAGCCCCTGCTACCTTCTGACTCCAGACCTAATCTAATATTCTCCTACCTGGAAGAGCAGGAACAATGGAGAATTGGCCTGGCTAGTTTCAGTTCTCACCGCAGTGGCCAGAGTGACCCTTTCGAACCCAAGTCAGGCAGGCCACTGCCCTTCTTGACTCTCACAGCCCATGACACCCAGAGCCAATGCCTCAAGGGCCATCCATGTCCTGCCATCCCCACTTCCCCTGCCCTCCTACCTCAAGTGCATACCTCTGAGTTGAATTAAAAGCAGCAAGATTTGGAGGTGACCGGGAGGAAACAGGCTGGCCCTTGCCGTGAGGTGTGCACAGACAGGGAATGAGAGGCCAGCACTTTAGGATGAGTCCAGGAGTTCAAGACCAGCCTGGGCAACATGGTGAGACCCTATCGCTACAAAAAAAAAAAAAAAAGAAAGAAAGAAAGAAAAAGAGAGAGAGAGGGAGGGAGGGAGAGAGAGAGAGACAGAGAAAAAGAGAGAGAAAGAAAGAAGAAGAAAGAAAGAAAGAAAAAGAAAGAGAAAGAAAGAAAGAAAGAAAGAAAGAAAGAAAGAAAGAAAGCAAGCAAGCAAGCAAGCAAGCAAGCAAGCAAGCAAGCAAGCAAGCAAGAAAGAAAGAATTAGCCAGGAGTGGTGGTGGGCACCTGTAGTTTCAACTATTTGGGAGGCTGAGGTTGAAGGATCGCTTAAGCCCAGGAGGCAGAAGTTGCAGTGAACTGTGATTACACCACTGCACTCCAGTCTGGGTGACAGAGTGAGACCCTGTCTTGATAAATAAATGTTGCTCTGAATTGCTTCACTGCTTATGTCACTTTGAGGATGCCAACCTACCAGAATGCTGCTAGGCAGCAACAAGTGACCCTTTCCAGGGATCAGTTTGCTTTGTGTGCTGTGAGCCAGAATCCAGGGTCCAGTGAGAGCCCAGGGTGCTGTCTTAAGGTTGATCTCGTCCACGGTGTGGTAAGGACTGAAGAGACAGCCCTGTCCCAAGTCACCTCTCTGGGTCCTGGTTTGCCCCTGTGTCAAAGACTCATCATGTCTGCTTAATCCTGTGGTGCTGGCTGGATGTGGTGGCTCATGACTATAATCCCAGTACTTCCGGAGGCTGAGGTGGGTGGATCACTTGAGCCCAGGAGTTTGAGACCAGCCTGGGCAACATAGTGAGACCCTGCCTTTACAAAAAATAAACATTAGCCGGGTGTGGTGGCTTTCGCCTGTAGTCCCAGTTACTCGGGAGGTTGAGGCGGAAGGATCACTTGAGCCTGGGAGGTGGAGGCTGCAGTGACCCAAGATCACGCCACTACACTCCAGCATGGGTAAAAGTGAGACCCTATCTCAAAAAAAAATTTAAAAATTAAAAATTAAAAAAAAATACAAAATAAAAATCCTGTGGTGTTTGACACAAACCAACTTGGTCTCTGGGGCAAACTCTGTCCCCTCATCCACACCCTGCAGCCCATAGTAGCCTTCATGGTGCCTATGCCCGCAGCCAGTCACCCATGGCTCCCAACATTCTCTTCACCCTTTGCCCTTCGCCCAGGCCACCTGTACTAATCTCCACACCTGCCTCAGACCTGCTTTTACTGCTGTCTCCACTACCATCCCCCAGCAGGGTGTGAGACTGGTGCAAAGGGGACCTACCTCAGGTGGCCTGGCCAGCGTAGCTACAAAGCACCTAGAGCACCTGAGGCTGCTGCACATCTACCTCCCTAGTCCGGAAGACCCTTGCCTCCCACTGAAAGAAACCAAAATATTTAACCTCAGAATAGGTTTCTTTGCCATATTTTGGGACGGTTCTGTAGGCAGCTGTGGGCCTGCAACATGGTCTTCAGTCAGGGAAATCCGCCTCTGCAGAGGAGACAGTGGAGTAGACAGCGGATGCACACAGCCTTTCTCTGCAGTCCCCGTGTCTGGATCTAGGAAAGACAAACTGAGAGGCGGACCCCTTTAAGGGTCTGAAGGACTTGCCTACCACAGGCTCCGCAGAGTACCAGCTGTGAGATGTCACCTGCAGAACAAGACCTTTGCTAGCCAAGTCTCTCCTCTCCCCTTCCCCTAATCTGTCTTGCTGCGCTCCAGGCCTCCCGTTATTTCTGTAATTTCAAGATGGGTATAAAAGTGTCAACCATCTGGCCATTTATTTTTTTATATATTTTGTATGACTTGTGCACATGTGTGCACGTAGTAACATTTTTAAGTCGGTTTTTTTTCCTGTTAATGTTTTATGTTTGTTTCATAGACTCAGATTATCAAACCTTCAGGGAAAAAATTTAAACTTCCCTACACCACCTGCTGAAATCCCACTTTGTAAGAAGGAGATCAAATCCCACCACCTTCAGGAAGCTGCCCCAAAGTACTGCGCCCTTACTTCTTGGATAATCATCCAAGTGGCCTCCCAGCTGGGTTCTCGACAGTCCTGGGGGCATTTTCACAGGTGGATGCTGAGCCCTGGAGGAAGTGTGTCTTTTATTCACCCCAATATGGGGAGCCCAGAATTTATTGAGGGATTTAAAAGCCATGGTGCAAAGTTGACTACCCACCATTTTCATTTTTTTTTTCAATTTTTTAAGTCACATTATCCCCTAAATTCTCATTGTGTAAGATTCAAACAACATAGAACACAAAGTTCTCCTTTGGCCAGCTCCTTCTGTTCCCCTCCCTGTTTGAATTCTCATGAGGCTTGATCTTTAACATTATCATTTCTGTTTGTGTATTCCTTAGGAAGGCTAAGATTATGAAAATATTTTTATGGCTTTGTTTTTATGCATAACTCTATAAAGAGTTTCTTCCTAGTCCATGAAGAACTTTACTTTGGAGGTGGTGTTAAAAAGGCTGTGTAGGCCGGGCATGGTGGCTCATGCCTGTAATCCCAACACTTTGGGAGGCCGAGGCAGGCAGATCATGAGGTTAGGAGATCGAGACTGTCCTGGCTAACACGATGAAACCCTGTCTCTACTAAAAATACGAAAAAAATTAGCTGGGTGTGGTGGCGGGCGCCTGTAGTCCCAGCTACTCAGGAGGCTGAGGCAGGAGAATGGCGTGAACCCGGGAGGCGGAGCTTGCGGTGAGCAGAGATCGCGCCACTGCACTCCAGCCTGGGTGACAGAGCGAGACTCTGTCTCAAAAAAAGAAAAAAAAAAAGGCTGTGTAGCTGGGTGCAGTGGCTCATGCCTGTAATCCCAGCACTTTGGGAGGCCGAGGCAGGTGGATCACTTGAGGTCAGGAGTTCGAGACCAACCTGACCAACATGGAGAAATCCCATCTCTACTAAATATACAAAATTAGCTGGGTGTGGTGGCGCATGCCTGTAATGCCACCTACTTGGGAGGCTGAGGCAGGAGAACCGCTTAAACCCAGGGGCGGAGGTTGTGGTGAGCCGAGATCCCACCATTGCACTCCAGCCTGGGCACAAGAGCAAAACTCCGTCTCAAAAAAAGAGCCGTGTAACGTCTCAGGTGGAGGGCCAGGATTCCCCAGACCATTTGCTGCTGGGCTCCTTCCCTACTGTTTCAAAATGCCACCTTGATCATAAATTCTTACACATAGGTCTATATGTGGATTCTCTTTCACAGTCTATCCACTGGGTTGCTTATTCTAGTTTCAATATCACAAGGTCCTAACTGGAATGCTTTCATGTTCTGATATATGTGAGGGCCCTTACTCTCACAACTTCTTGAGTATTCCTTAACATTCTCCAAAATTGTGAACAGCAGAGCCACAAATAATTCCTAAGCTTGGCAATCTAAGTCCTGCATCCCACTTTCAGCCAGGAGGTACAGGCAAGATGGGACAGGTTTCACAATGGCCACCTCCTGCCTGACATTCCTTGGTGAAATCCCTGCAGCCCCAGCCCAAGTCCTGCTGAAGTAAAAGAGCCCAGTGGTCAGTCTGTAGAATCAGGCCCTCATGGGTTTGAAATAGGGCCACAATTTCATAGCTCTGCAAGCTTAACAGAGCAATTTCCCAAAGCAGCAGGATCCCAACAGGGACTGCTCCACAGAGTAAATGAGAGGATCAAGTCAGTGAGTGCAGGGGCAGCACTCTACTCAGCCCTGGCTCGTGCCCCAGTACAGGCTGTGACCGTCCTGTGATATAAAACATTCCTCGAGTTTGGTTTCTTCTCACCAGGAATCAGGATTAGCTTTCTTTGTGGCTTGTGTGAAAGATGCGATGACACAAGTTCATCTCTATTACACCTTCCCAGGCAGATCAACTGTATGTCAATGTCCCCTCTTCAGGGGCGGCTGTCTTCCGTCCTAGCACTGCTTCCACTGGAAGAGTCTGAGCTCCTCATCCTAGCCTTGGTTCTGGGCAGCAAACAGCCCAGCCCTGAGCAGCCTCTGTTCTTCTGTAGGCCCATGGGGCCCACTGCAGACAGGAACCCAGGCAGCTGATTCAGATGGCCTCAATTCCTGGGGCCAAAACACAGGGTCCTGGAGGGCCTAGTCTCACCACAGAGAAAGGGAAATGACTATAAAAATCCAAAATATTTTTGACAGAGGACTAGAGGCCTCCTCCCTCCCCTAAATGCTTTGGCACTTGACACAACCTTAGGGAAAAGGAAGGAAGCCAAGAAGACTCAGGAGTTAAATTTTCTCAGCAGCTGGGCAGAAAAAGAGCTTGAAATCATAGAGGAAAAATAAAGTTGTTTCTGCTCTTCTGAGTTTGTAGCATAAGACTTGTCACTGCTGCATTTATTTTTACATGCATGTTTTAAATGTTGTGAAAAGGGCTGCTTTTGTTCCTCTGTAACTTTAATTATAGCTTATCCTTTATCACAGTAATACAGCTAATGCAAGATAGCGTCTTCAGTGGATACTATGTGCTAAACCCATTCTCAGTGATGCACGTACATCAGCTCCATACTTAGCAATTGCTTTATGTGGGAAATAACTTGCCCGGGGTGGAAGGGCTACTTACACAATGAAGCCAAAATTTAAACCCTGACAAAAATTTTCGCTTCAGAACCCATAATATTCAGCATTATGCGGAGCTGCCTTCTCCCACACCTTGGTTAAAAAATTAAATTGAATTACAAGACTGTGTCAGCAAACGGCAGTCCTTTGCCCTGGCAGTGCAGAAGCCAGGAGTTGAACCCGTGTCTCTCACCAGGTTAAGCTGCCTCGCTAAGTTTGGATGTGACCTCAGAAACAGAGGCTATTCCAGCAATACAAGATGCTTTATTTTTCGGCTTCTACCTATGCCACCCAATCCCTTCACTGGGCCTAACTTAGTGAATCAAATTAAGTATATTTCCCTCCAAGTTTCCCCAGGATTCTGGGCTCCTTTGCACACTACAGGTTTTCTCTAAACGCCCCGGGTTTATCTATCCTTTGGTGAATTTTCAACTCTTCTCCTTATTTCTCTGCCCTGTCCTGACCAAAAATCTTCAGTGCCTGTTTCTCTCTGCCATCCAAATCCCACACACATCTAGGGGTGAATCGGTGAATCTGCACTGATGAGTGACTCGTCTTGTGAATCCTTTCTAGGATCTCAGTATTTCATCCTATCCCGAGGGAAGGCTCTAAAGAGCTCAAGGAAGACCTCACGATGTCTATGTGTGAGAAGAAACCTTTCACCCCTTCACTATCACACCCCATCATCCAAGCACACACTCCTCTTTCATCCCATAAACCCCAGTCAGTGTCACCTGGAGTAATAAGGATGGGGCGACTTACCTAGTAACTGAAGACTCTCAGTAATCTGAAAAAAAAAAATCCCTTCACATTTTAACTCAGGAGATAACACCAACAAGTCACTTCCGGCAGACCTCATGGCCACACTGCAAGTTAAAAAAGGTAAAGCCTTATTGAAAATCATTGAAAATAATCTTAAAACAATTATTCAATATTAACAGACAATGCCCAGCAGTGCCATGTGGGAGGCAAGCCACCCAGCTGCCAAGGCAAGAGACCGAGGGCACAAGCTGTTCCAGTATAATAAAGAAAATACATAGAATAAGAATAGTGATACTAGAAATAGATTATAGATATGATTATATATTAATATTACTAATCATTAGTTTATAGCATTACTCTTTATTCCAATATTATAATAATCTTTGTTCTACAATTATAACCTAGGAAAAACCAGGCCATACAGAGATAGGAGCTGAAGGGACATGGTGAGAAGTGACCAGAAGGCAGGAGTGTGAACCCTCTGTCACGCCCGGACAGGGCCACTAGAGGGCTCCCTGGTCTAGTGGTAATGCCAGTGCCTGGGAAGGCACCCGTTACTTAGCAGACCTTGGTCTAGCAGTGGTGCCAGTGCCTGGGAAGATAACTGTTACTTAGCAGACCGGGAAAGGGAGACTCCCTTTCCCTGGGGGAGTTAGAGAAGACGCTGCTCCACCACCTCTTGTGGAAGGCCTGACATCAGTCAGGCCCGCCCACAGCCATCCGGAGGCCTAACCGTCTCCCTGTGATGCTGTGCTTCAGCAGTCACCCTCCTGTTTCACTTTCATGTTCCGCTCTGTACACCTGGCTCCACCTTCTAGATGGCAGTAGCAGAATTAGTGAAAGTATTAAAGTCTTTGATCTTTCTGAGAAGAGCATAGAAGAAATAATGACGTACACTGTCCTCTCTCTCTCCGCCTCAGCTACCTAAAAGGGAAAGGCCCCCTGTCTGGTGGACACGTGACTCATGTGACCTTATCTATCAATGGAGATGACTCACACTCCTTACCCTGCCCCCTTTGCCTTGTATACAATAAATAGCAGCGCTGTCAGGCATTCAGGGCCACTACTGGTCTCCGCGTCTAGGTGGTAGTGGTCCCCCTGGCCCAGCTGTCTTTTCTTCTATCTCTTTGTCTTGTGTCTTCATTTCTACCATCTCTCATCTCCGCACACGAGGAGAAAAACCCACAGACCCAGTAGGGCTGGACCCTACAGTGCCAGCCCCTGAAAAGCACTGCTCTGCATCACTTACCAGGCTGGGCAAAGGCCTCCATGCCTGCTACCTAAGCTGGCCTCAGCTTGTCCAGCCTGGCCTGGGCCTGGCCAGTGGGAGGTGCTGCTGAGAAGCCAGAGCCCTGGGCTGTCCTGGACGGCCAGCAGGGGGCTTGCTGGCATGAACCCTTCACAGCTGAGCCTGTCAGGGTGAGGGCGTGCACAAAAAAGTATCCACAGATGTTGTGCAGTAGAAATAAAGAAACATTCTAACCTTTTAAGACAAAAAGACAGTATCGCTTCTTGGCCTTTTGGCCAAGATCAAGTGTAGATAAAAACATGATAAGTCATGATTCCCCTGGAAAATGATCAGTATCCTGAGGGAAGAGAGGCAAACCCCCAGCCCATCACCACACACTGCAGCTCACACACTTCAGGTTTTGTGCTCCCAGACAATGCCTGTCCTCATGAGAGCACTGTTGTCTGCGCCGGGAAATCATCCTCTGACCTGTTCACAAGTCTTCTAGATGAAGATTTTCAGCAGGTTTGGATCTATTTAAAAAGTGGTAACTGCAAAGAGGCACCTAATCCACTTGGATTTGCCTGTTTTTGAGAGGTACTCCTGGCAGTTATGAAGGTCATTAAAATTAAGTATCAGAATAAATTGAACTTTTTTTTTTTTTTTTTGAAACAGAGTCTCGTCCAGTTGCCAGGCTGGAGTGCAGTGGTGCAATCTCGGTTCACTGCAACCTCCGTCTCCCGGGTTCAAGCGATTCTCCTGTCTGAGCCTCCTGAGTAGCTGGGACTACAGGCGCATGCCACCAATTTTGTTGTATTTTTAGTAGAGACAGGGTTTCACCATGTTGGCCAGGATGGTCTCAATCTCTTGACCTCCTGATCTGCCCACCCTGGCCTCCCAAAGTGCTGGGATTACAGGCCTGAGCCACCGCACCCAGCACTAAACTGAACTTTCAACTGAACTTCAGAAAATGTTGAACCATGATTTAAAAAAATGTTTCTCACTTTGTTCTCACTAAACCCTTTTTTGAAAGTAAAGGGTGGCCGGGCGCGGTGGCTCACGCCTATAATCTCAGCACTTTGGGAGGCCGAGGCGGGCGGATCATGAGGTCAGGAAATCGAGACCATCCTGACTAACACAGTGAAACCTCGTCTCTACTAAAAATACAAAAGGTAGCTGGGCATGGTGGCGGGCGCCCGTAGTCCCAGCTACTCGGGAGGCTAAGGCAGGAGAATGGCGTGAACCCAGGAGGTGGAGCTTGCAGTGAGCTGAGATCGTGCCACTGCAATTCCAGCCTGGGTGACAGACCGAGACTCCGTCTCAAAAAAAAAAAAAAAAAAAAAAAAAAAAAAGAGCAAAAAGGTATTTTGCAGTGCTAACCAATGAAATATTTTAAAACACTTATTTCAACTCATGTGTTACATTTTTAATGTGTATAATATAGAAGAATTAGTATATGTTTATATAACTTACAATTTTTAAAAAAACCTTGATATAAATGTCCTAACATTGGGAGTCTTATGACTCTAAGGCCCAGTTCCAGTTGCTTTGGCTACGTAACAAACCCCTCCAGACTGAGTGCTGTCAACCACCATCTTATTATGCTCATGGACTCCACAGTCAGGAATTTGCAAAGTGCACAGAAAAGATGGGCTGTCTCTGCTCCCTGATGTCTGGACCTCAGCTGGGAAAACTGAAAAACAGGGGAGGTTGGAATCATCTGACTCCCGTCTTGACTGAGTCTGGCAGCCAACATGGATGTTGGCTGGGACCTCGGTGAGGACTGCTGGCAAGAACACCTACACACGGCCTTTTCCTTTGACTGCTGGCCTTGCTCACAGAATGGTGACCGGGTTCCCAGTGTGAACCCAGGTACAGGAAGAGACAGGAAACGGAAACTGCCAGTTTCCTTAAAATCTGGGCCCACTAACTAGCATGGCATCATTTCCACCATCTTCTATTAGTCAAGCATCACGAAGCCCATATTCAAGAGGAGACAACCTAGACCCAGCCTCTCAATAAACAGTGTCAAAGGCTTTAGAGAGCATGGTGTCAAGCTCCCAGATTCTAAGGCTGTGACTCAACCCAGTGCACTGGGCTGCCTGGCTGTACACAGGTGTCCATATTGATGCAAAGCCCCCAAGCTGCTCTTATCCTCTTGTGAAGCACCCTTAGCTTGGTTGGTATTTAAATAACTCAGGAATCGTTCCCCTCCTGGATTCTTAAAGACCTCCGCATCTTCTCCTCAGTTCTCCCACTCTGTTCCCTCATCCCACAAAACAGGCTCCTTTCCCCAGAACTATTCTACCTGAATACAGGCTAAAGATCGCCGAATGAGTTAGCCTTCCCCCACACCCCAGCTCGGACTCCCCCAGGGCTACCTTTCCAAAAGGAGACTCACAACTCAATTTCTTCTAGCTTTCATCTGGGAGGGGCAGGTGGGGGAGGGGAGGGAGAATGGAAGGGGCGAGGCGGTCTTGGCTGAGTGACCTGATCGCAGGAAGTCACGGCTCCTTCTGCACAGATCACTAGCTGGATGGCTGTGTCTGGCCTAGGAGACCACAGTGAGAACCTGTCACTAAAGCAGGTGCCCATGATGGGAAGAACTAGAAATTATATCTAAAGAGAAAGGCTGAAGCATTCCTTAAACCACAAAAGAAAACAGTGAAAGTACAAAATGACAACATCTGTCTTCAAATACTGCTTGTCAGAGGGACAAGAGAGAAGAGAGGTGCTGTGCTGCTCCACAAGGCAAAACAAGAGCAAACAAGTCTGTCTGAGTTTCAAGAGGCTGGCCCTGAGGCTGCACTGTGGCAGTCTAGGTGAGAGACGATGGTGACAATGTGTGGAGGACATAGGCCAGAGAATTTTCTTCACCAAGTCTTGACAGAATTTGGTGAAGAACTAGCTGGAGAAGGCAAGAGTGAAGGTGACATTGTCACTTGGATTTTAGGGTTGGACATTTAGAGTAACTCCTTAGTTTCCTTTTAACTCTCAGATACTGTGATTTGATCAAATTCCAAATTATGACAGGTATCTTTCGGATGAGAGGATAAAATTTCCTTTGGAAAGAACCCATGGATGAAGGCTGCCAGGACACAGGGTCTGGCCTGGCTCACGTGGGTGAGACAGGTAGTTTCACAAGGTCCTGCTCCACTCTGCCACCTGTCAGCACAACTTTTACTACTGCAGAGGCTGAGGCCACTAGATAAACTACTCACAGGCAGTCAAACTCTCCCCATCTCTACTGCCTCACCCCGCCTCTCAGTTACTAAGCAATACTTCCTGGAGAGCCTGTAGACAAAGCACCTGCGGGGTGTGGGGACACCTATACACTGGGCCATGGGACAAGGCGGACCAAGAACCTGACCTCCATCAGTTTAACGATCTCAAGCCACACCTTGGGAACGTGTGGATTCAAACATGTTTATTGAGTGAATCATTAGGACACAAAATAGGCTGAAAAAGATGTTCCAAAAATCCAGGAGACTATGGGCTACTTCCATTAAACACAGAGGTGCTGCCCTTCTCCACTCCAAACAGAACAGGAAAAAGGCAAGGGGACTGGGCCACAGTGCATTAGGGAGGACAGGGTCTCTCGGCTTCTCTACCCCAACATCACCAGAGGGAAAGGTTAGGTTAGAAAAACAATGCCCCACTCTTTCCCCTCAGAGCCCAGGGCTGAAGCCTGGGGGAATGCTTCATTTTGCTCCTTTTCTCTTTGCCTTTTCCAAATGGTCACATTCTTGAGGTAGGGAGTGGAGCTGGGGAGGGGCCCAGAGTCCTGTCAGAAATCCTATAATGAGAAAGATGAAAGGAATACACAGGTGCACCACCACGCCCAGCTACCTTTTCGTATTTTTAGTAGAGATGGGGTTTCGCCATGTTGGCCAGGCTGGTCTCGAACTCCTGACCTCAAGTGATCTGCCCGTCTTGGCCTCCCAAAGTGCTGGAGTTACAGGTGTGAGCCACTGCACCCGGCCTCCATACCTCTTTTAAAAACCAATTTTGAAAGTTCATTCAGGCTGGGCATGGTGGCCAAAAATTAGCCAAGCATGGTGGCGGGTGCCTGTAGTCCCAGCTACTTGGCAGGCTGAGGCAGGAGAATCGCCTGAACCCGGGAGGCGGAGGTGCAGTGAGCCAAGATCGCGTCACTGCACTCCAGCCTGGTGACAGAGCAAGACTCCGTTTCAAATAAAAAACTAACACACTGTACAACTGCATGTAAGGTGGAAAAGACAACTGGAATTAAAATGTGCTCAGGTCCTTGTAGAAGATAAGAAATCCAGAGGAAAGTAAGCAAAGGGGGAAAAAGAAACAGAAAAGATAAAACGAATGTACCAACTCAATACTAGGCCATAAGGCTAAGTCTCCATAAATGTCTTTTTTTTTTTTTTTTTTTGAGACAGAGTATCACTCTGTTACCCAGGCTGGAGTGCCATGGCACAATCTCAGCTCACTGCAACCTCCACCTCCTGGGTTCAAGCAATTCTCATGCCTCAGCCTCCCAAGTGGCTGGGATTACAGACAAATGCCACCACATGCAGCTAATTTTTGTATTTTTAGTAGAGATGGGGTTTCGCCATGTTGGCCAGGCTGGTCTCGAACTCCTGGCCTCAAGTGATCTGCCTGCCTCAGCCTCCCCAAGTGCTGGGATCACAGCTGTGAGCCACTGCGCCCAGCCCCTACATAAATTTCAAACACCACATTCCCTGACTACAACACAATAAAGTTAGAAATCAAATAACGAAAATATAACTAGCAAAATTCTGTATGTTTGAAAATTTTAAATATTTTCCCAGAAACTATAAAATTACACATTAATGTGGATAAATCTCAAACAATGTTAACTGAAATAATTAAATCACAGAAGCCTGAATAATGGATTCATTTACATAATTAAAGAACACATTCATAGTGGTAACACTATAATGAAATGACAAAGATTAACACAAAATTCACCCTAGTGTTTACCTATGGGTAATAAGGGGACTGTGAGGTAGGGTAGAAAGAAGGTACACAAAGGATCTCTACAGCACTATTAATGTTTCATTTCTTGAGCTGGGGCTAGAGATCTGGGTGATATCTCATTTTTATTTTTTAAACTACATATACGCTTTGTACACTTTCAGATATTAGAACTTCAATAAAATTATAAAAAAAGAAACAGAGAGAGGGAAAAATAATTAAGTATAATTGTCAAGATGGAGCTAAAAAATAACATGGGTGAACAAGGTGCCACCCACATCTAAGCTTCCTTCCCATGTCATGCAATGCCTCTCCCCATCTGCTCCATCAATCAACAAAGGCATAATCACTCCTGTGATACCTTTAAGAAAAGAACACGCTTTAAGAAAAGAAACGCTCTCTCGAAGCCGGGTGCGGTGGCTCACACCTGTAATCCCAGCACTTTGGGAGGCCGAGGCAGGCGGATCACCTGAGGTCAGGAGTTGGAGACCAGCCTGGCCGACATGGCGAAACCCCATCTCTACTAAAAATACAGAAATTAGCTAGGCATGGTGGCACATGCCTGTAAGCCCAGCTACTTGGGAGGCTGAGGCATAAGAATCGCTTGAACCCAGGAGGCAGAGGCTGCAGTGAGCTGAGACTGTGCCACTGCACTCCAGCCTGGGCAACAGAAAGAGACTCTGTCTCAAAAAAAAAAAAAAAAGAACATGCTCTCTTATTCAAGGTTACCCTTCTATCACTCCAAGGATTCACCCCATAATCTTATCTTTCTTGATATGTTACACTCACTAAAATGTTCACATCAAATCAAGTTTGTAGACACTTGTCCTTACCACCTTACAAAAAGTGAGATGGTATCAACAGAGGTAAGACACTGCTTTACCTGCATGTCACTTTTGGCAGCTTTCGCAGCATTGAAAAGATCATTGGCTGGTGGCTCTGACTGTTTCCAGCTATGACGATGTACCACTTGGGACCCTTTCTTTGGATGTTTTGCCACCTGATACACATAAAAAGATCAGAAATATGAAAAAAAGGTAACAGTGACATTAACACTTGGTTTCATCATTATCACACAAGTAGGCTTACGCTGCCAATTCCACAGCAGAGTCTGAGTTAGACTCAGTCCTAAAATAATTGATTTTTATATTATGAAGTTTATTAACTTTTTTCCCTTTAAAAAAAAATTCCTTGAGTCCCCTTCCTGTATCTCTATAACCAAACATCCTTTTCTTTTCTTTTCTCTTCGAAATTTCTCTTCTTCCTATTTCCGTCCCTTAATACTTTGTAAATCTTGTCCTTTTTTGAACCATATCACCTGAACCTCTTAGGTTTTCTCTTTTTTTTGAGACTGAGTCTCGCTCTGTCGCCCAGGCTGGCGTGCAGTGGCGTGATCTCGGCTCACTGCCAGCTCTGCCCCCGGGGTTCGTGCCATTCTCCTGTCTCAGCCTCCCGAATAGCTGGGCTGCTTCCCTGACAAGATTCAAAAACAAAACTGGCTGACTCACCGGCATTGTTTTCAGTGGTCGTTTTGTTGCTTTCTTCTTCACACCGCGATTGAAGCTGTCCTCAAATCATTTTCTTGTCTTCTTGTCTATTTGTATGAATTACTGAGTTACATTCTCATTGCTACTTATTTAAGCAAAGTATTCTTAGTTTGTTAACAACAAAGAACTACAAATTGTGTTCATTTTCTGTCCTTTCCTGTTCTTAGACTAAATTACCTGAAATACATCAAAATATATGCTGTATGCTTACCTATATCAAAACTATGTTGTTTAGGTGCCGGGCACGGTGGCTCACACCTGTAATCCCAGCACTTTGGGAGTTCAAGGCGGGCGGATCGCCTGAGGTCAGGAGTTCAAGACCAGCCTGGTCAACATGGCAAAACCCCGTCTCTACTAAAAATACAAAAATTAGCCAGGTGCAGTGGACAGCGCCTGTAATCTCAGCTACTCATGAGGCTGAGGCCTGAGAATTCCTTGAACCCAGGAGGCCAAGGTGGCAGTGAGCCGAGATCATGCCACTGCACTCCAGCCTGGGTGACAGAGTGAAACTCCGTCTGAAAAAAACAAACAAACAAAAACAAACAAAAAACCAGACCATATTGTTTAGGGATACTTAGCTGACAAAATAATAGAGACAAGCAGGACATAATTACCATAAAAATCGGGCCCTGGGATGTTGGTGGGGAAGGTTTAAGTGGAAAGAATGGAGCGGTCACAATGTGTGTCAACCTGGGAGGTGGTGACCCTGGGGTTCGCTTTGTAATTCCTCAAAATGAGCATTTATGTGCTACTCACTTTTCAGAGGATAGAATTCTGAACTAAAATGTTTAAGCAGCCATACGCAAAAAAAAAGAAAAAATATGGATAGATTTTTATTTTAATTAAAACATTTAAAAAATAGAGACAAGGCAGCTGGGCGTGGTGGCTCACGCCTGTAATCCCAGCAATTTGGGAGGCCGAGGCAGGCGAATCACGAGGTCAGGAGATCGAGACCATCCTGGCTAACACGGTGAAACCATGTCTCTACTAAAAATACAAAAAAAAGTTAGCCAGGCATGGTGGCGGGCGCCTGTAGTCCCATCTACTGGGGAGGCTGAGGCAGGAGAATGGCGTGAACCCGGGAGGTGGAGCTTGCAGTGAGCCGAGATCAGGCCACTGCATTCCAGCCTGGGCGACAGAGCAAGACTCCAACTCAAAAAAAAAAAAAAACATAGAGACAAGGGTCTTGCTATGTTGCTCAGGGTGGTCTCAAACTCTCCGGGCTCAAGCAATCCTCCCGCTTCGGTCTCCCAAAGCGCTGAGATTCCAGGCGTGAACCACCGCGCTCGACCAGGAAAGATATATATATATATAATATATATTTTATAATATATCATGTTATATATTACACATAATATACAATATGTATAATACGCATAATAAAGGTATATTTAACATATATAAAAATATATATATATATAATAATTTTTTTTTTGAGACGGAGTTTCACTCTTGCTGCCCAGGCTCGAGTGCAATGGCTCGATCTCAGCTCACTGCAAGCTCCGCCTCCAGGGTTCAAACCATTCTCCTGCCTCAGCCTCCCGAGTAGCTGGGATTACAGGCGCCCGACACATGCCCGGCTAATTTTTGCATTTTTAGTAGAGACGAGGTTTCACCATGTTGGCCAGACTGGTCTCGAACTCTTGATCTCAGGTGATCCGCCCGCCTCGGCCTCCCAAAGTGCCGGGATTACAGGCGTGAGCCACGGCGCCCGGCCTGAATAAATCTTTTAAAACATAAAAATCTGGGTGACCCCCTGGCCGGCCGGCACAGATGCCGGGGTGGGGCCGCGAATCGGTTGGGACGCACTCTATCCGGCCTAGGGGCACCTGGGCCAGCAACGGGCCGCCGCGCGTGCGCAGTGGGCGGGGGGGCCCCGCGCTCCTACCTGCAAGTGGCCAGTGCCGAGTGCTGGGCCGCCGCTCCTGCCGTGCATGTTGGGGAGCCAGTACATGCAGGTGGGCTCCACACGGAGAGGGGCGCCGACCCCGTGATAGGGCTTTACCTGGTACATCGGGGTGGCGCGTGCCAGACACCAACGGTCGGAAACCGCCAGACACCAACGCTCGGAATCCACGCCAGGCCACGACGGAGGGCGACTACCTCCCTTCTGACCCTGCTGCTGGCGTTCGGAAAAAACGCAGTCCGGTGTGCTCTGATTGGTCCAGGCTCTTTGACGTCACGGACTCGACCTTTGACAGAGCCACTAGGCGAAAAGGAGAGACGGGAAGTATTTTTTCCGCCCCGCCCGGAAAGGGTGGAGCACAACGTCGAAAGCAGCCGTTGGGAGCCCAGGAGGCGGGGCGCCTGTGGGAGCCGTGGAGGGAACTTTCCCAGTCCCCGAGGCGGATCCGGTGTTGCATCCTTGGAGCGAGCTGAGAGCTCGAGGTGAGCTGGGCTCGCGGTCGCCCCTCTCGCGCGCCCTCTTTAAGAACCACGGCGTCCAACCTCCCTGGAAATGGGGGGAACATGGCCGAGGCGCGTGGCGAGGCCGCCTCGTGGAGGCCCCGGAGCGGCATCCTCAGCGCCCCAGCGATCCGGTGCCCATTAGGTGCGCCTTGAAGCCGAGGCAAGCTCCTTCGGGGTGCTGGGCTGCGGGCAAAGAATTCGGCCCTGTGAAGAGTTGGGTTCGGCCTGTCTCAGGCCCTGCCCACATCCCATCACAGGGCCGTGGACTTGAAGCCGGAACGTGAAATCCCTATAGACTGAATGCATTTCCTTCCTACCTGTTCTCTCTCCCCTTTTATTTTTATTTTTATATTATTTTATTTTTAATTTTTACTTTATTTTTTTGTAGAGACGGGGATTTAGCTATGTTGCCCAAGCTGGTCTGGAACTCCGGAGCTCAAGCAGTCCGCCCGCCTTGGCCCCCCAAAGCGCTGGAATTACAGGCGTAATGCACTGTGCCTGGCCTTTAAAAAAAAATTGAGGTTATTTTGGGGACAGTAGAGCGTCCAGACACATCCTAATTTGCATAGCTGCGCAGTTTTAAAAAATGCAATGCATTTTTACCTGTTAGGGTATGTGATTTCTGGCTAGTAAGCTACACCGAATCTTGGCTAGCACAGTTGAATTCCATGTCAGATTTGTAAACGCAAATTTGCTCTCTGCATTTAAATATATTAGATATATTTAGGTAACTACATTTAAATGTATTGAGACATTTAAATAAATTTGCCGTCTGTATCTAAATATCTGAAGTGGACCAGGTGCGGTGGCTCACACCTATAATCCCATCACTTTGGGAGGCCAAGGCAAGTGGATCATGAGGTCAGGAGTTCACGACCAGCCTGGCCAACATGGTGAAATCCCATTTCTACTAAAAATACAAAAATTAGCTGGGCGTGGTGGCAGGCGCCTGTAATCCTAGCTACTTGGGAGGCTGAGGCAGGAGAATCGCTGGAACCCAGGAGACAGAGGTTGCAGTGAGCTGAGATTGCACCACTGCAGTCTAGCCTGGGTGACACAGCAAGACTCCATCTCAAAAAAAAAAAAGAAAAAAAATCAGAACTGGACCTGTAGCCTGTAGTGTGTTGCCAAATAAACTTATTTTTAGAGATACTTCTTTCCATTTTCTGTGAGGTCATCTGCAGTTTCACATGGTAGACAGACTTTGGTGAGATTCTTAGCAACATAGAATGAAGAGTAAAGAGGTTTGTTTATTTCACAAGGGTTTATTTAAGGCCTACAATGTGTTAAATGCTGTAGGAAATACCCACTGATTTCTCTTTTCATGGAGGTTTCCTGCCTTCTCTTAACGAGTGATCAATTAAACTGTTTACTGGAACTTGCTAAGTTAGTGAACACACGGGATACATTCTTTGGATGAGCAGACATTGGTTGGGCAGAGGAGCAAGAGGAGAGCAGTTTAGACAGAGACCTGCTTATACACTGTAGTGTTTAAAAGAGCTTGTGATGTTCAGGAAACAGTTGTTCACTGTGCTGCAATATAGGGGACGGCCAGTTGCGGTGGCTCACACCTGTAATCCTAGTGCTTTGGAAGGCCAAGGCGGGCAGATCACCTGAGGTCAGGAGTTAGAAACCAGCCTGGCCAACATGGTGAAACCCCATCTCTATTAAAAACACAAAAATTAGCTGAGTGTAATGGTGGGTGCCTATAATCCCAGCAACTTGGGAGGCTGAGACAGGAGAATCACTTGAACTTGGGAGGTGGAGGTTGCAGTGAGCCGAGATCATGCCATTGCACTCTAGCCCAGGTGAGAGGGTGAGACTCTGTCTCAAATAATAATAATAGTAATAATAATGTAGGGGACTTGATGAAGGGAAAGGATTAGAGAGATTCTGAAAAGAAGGTAGTTTGGGGCCCAGTGATGACTAGATTTTAAGTTTCATATAGTAGGAAGTGGGGCACTAGTAATTTTTCAAGCAGAAAAATTATTTGACCAGATTCGTGATTTCAAAAATAGCTCTGGTGATAGAGTGGAGGATGGGTTGGAGCAGGGAATAAGGGGAAATGAAACCGTTATAAAACTCTTAAAGCGGGCCGGGCGTGGTGGCTAACGCCTGTAATCCCAGCACTTTGGGAGGCTGAGGCAGGCGGATCACGAAGTCAGGAGATCGAGACCATCCTGGCTAAAACGGTGAAACCCTGTCTCTACTAAAAATACAAAAAATTAGCTGGGCATGGTGGTGGGCGCCTGTAGTCCCAGCCACTCAGGAGGCTGAGGCAGGAGAATGGCGTGAACCCGGGAGGCAGAGCTTGCAGTGAGCCAAGATCGTGCCACTACACTCCAGCCTGGGCGACAGGGCGACAGAGCAAGACTCCGTCTCAAAAAAAAAAAAACAAAAAACAACAAAAAAAAACTCTTAAAGCAAGTACAGCAAGAACTTTGAGGGTCTTTGCTAAGACAGCAGCTGGCAGCTTCAATCTGGAGTAGGGTATCAAAGGCAACTGTGTATAAGGAATAGTTATATAACTGGTATCCAATTTCTGAGATGATTTTGACTGAAAACATTGTGTATTTCCCAGCATACTGTTGGTTTTTCTAATTATGTGGGAAATTATGTTGCTTTTACTTTTTTTTTTGCTCATTGCCCAGCCTGGGGTGCAATGCTGCAATCTCAGCTCACTGCAACCTCCGCCTCCCAGGTTTAAGCGATTCTCCTGCCCCAGCCTCCCAAGTAGCTGGCATTACAGGCGCCCACCACCATGCCTGGCTAATTTTTTATATTTTTGGTAGAGACAGGGTTTCACGATGTTGGCCAGGCTGGTCTCAAACTCCTGATCTCAAGTGATCCGCCTGCCTCTGTGTCCCAAATTGCTGGGATTACAGGCATGAGCCACCGCACCGGCCATGCTTTCAGTTTTCAAGAAAGAAGACACCATTATTGCCAAAGATTTTGGTAATTTGAGAGATACAATGTATGTTTTCTCCATGTGGATACTAGGTAGTAAGGATCTGTTGAATTTGAAGTGTCTATCCAGAAGTATTTTGGGTACTTGTTTAAGGATTGTAAAACAATGTTTCCATTTCTGGATATAATAAATGTATTTGTTAATATAATAAATGAATAGATTAGACCCGTAAACTATTTGCAGTGTTGAGTCATTTCCCACAGTTAAAATCAGGATGAAAATATATAGCTGAATACTTGCTTTGTTTCTTGTAACTGATTTCTTTAGTACAGAACCTGCTAAGGCCATCAAACCTATTGATCGGAAGTCAGTCCATCAGATTTGCTCTGGGCCGGTGGTACCGAGTCTAAGCACTGCGGTGAAGGAGTTAGTAGAAAACAGTCTGGATGCTGGTGCCACTAATATTGGTAAGTTTGGGAGAGTTTTAAGCCACAAGAAATGATCAGTGAATGTTGTTGTAGTCAAGAAACATTTGTTATTGAAATAAGACTATCAAGTGTTGATGTAGTAATAAATTATTATTTTTAAGTTAAAGTTAGCACCTATTATGTGCCTAGTACTTAGCTAGGTAGTAATAATAATAACAACAGCTTTTATTGTGTTCTTATGGTGCGCCAGGCAGGTGTTATGCTAAGAGTTGCACAGAAATATCTCATTTAATTTGCAGAATAGCTGGGCGTGGTGTTTCACGCCTGTAATCCTAGCCCTTTGAGAGGCTGAGGTGGGGGGATTGCTTGAAGCCAAGAGTTCAAGACCAACCTGGCCAACATGGTGAGACCTCGTCTCTATTAAAAAATAAAGTAGGCCGGGTGTGGTGGCTCATGCCTGTAATCCCAGCACTTTGGGAGGCCAAGGCGGGTGGATACCTGAGGTCAGGAATTCGAGACCAGCCTGTCCAAAATGGTGAAACTCTGTCTCTACTAAAAATACAAAAATTAGCCAGACCTGGTGGCAGAAGCCTGTAATCCCAGCTACTGGGGAGGCTCAGGAATGAGAATTGTTTAAACCTGGGAGGTGGAGGTTGCAGTGAACCGAGATTGTGCCACTGCACGGCAGCCTGGGGACAGAGCAAGACTCCGTCTCAAAACAATAAAATAAAATAAAATAAAATAAAATAAATCCTGGAGTAGTGGCTCACATCTGTAATCCCAGCACTTTGGGAGGCTGAGGGGGGCTGATGCTTTGAGGTCAGGAGTTCAAGACCAGCCTAACCAACGTGGTAAAACCCTGTCTCTACTAAAAATAGAAAAATTAGCCAGATGTGATGGTGCATGGCTGTAATCTCAGCTCCTCAGAAGGCTGAGGGAGGAGAATTGCTTAAACCTGGGAGGTGGAGGTTGCAGTGAGCCAAGATCGATTGTGCCACTGCATTCCAGCCTGGGTGACAAGAGCAAAAGTCAATCTCAAAAAATTAAAAAAAAAAAAAAAGGAAAGAAAAAAAAGAAAATGACAAAATAAAAAGACAAAAAATTATTAATCTGCCAAATAACTTTATGAGATAGAACTTATTACCTCCATTTTACAGTTGAGGAAATTAAGGGACAGTAAATTACCTTTTTTGGAGATTATAAAGCTAATAAAATAGAATCTAGGAAGTCTGATTCCAGAACCAGTTCTGTTTTTTTTCTTTTTTTTTTTTTTGAGATGGAGTTTTGCTCTTGTTGCCGAGGCTGCGGTGCAATGGCACGATCTCAACTCACTGCAACCTCCGCCTCCCAGGTTCAAGCGATTCTCCTGCCTCAGCCTCACCAGTAGCTGGGATTACAGGCATGCACCACCACACCTGGCTAATTTTGTATTTTTAGTAGAGATAGAGTTTCTCCATGTTGGTCAGGCTGGTCTCGAACTACTGACCTCAGGTGATCCGCTCGCTTTGGTCTCCCAAAGTGCTGGGATTACAGGCATGAACCACCGCGCCTGGCCCCCGTTCTCCTTACTGGGTATGTTAAAATTATTTCTTTCAAAGGAAAAGGCTGGTCAAAGTGCAACGGTCTTTACAACTAATTGATCACAACCAGTTACAGATTTTTTTGTTCCTTCTCCACTCCAACTGCTTCACTTGACTAGCATAAGGAAAAAAAAAAAAAGAGGAAAGAAAGAAAATGCTAAACTATTTAATCTGGGCTAGTAAATAGCCAGAAAGAACTTTATAAAAATGAAATATACAAAATGACACTAGTATGTTTAACTAAAGGTCTAGTTACGACACTTAAATTTGCACGTTATAAATAATATCAATATAAAAACTGATAGCATGGGTCCATTTTTAATAAATATATAAATATTTTAAACTTTCTAGATCTAAAGCTTAAGGACTATGGAGTGGATCTCATTGAAGTTTCAGGCAATGGATGTGGGGTAGAAGAAGAAAACTTCGAAGGCTTAAGTAAGTTAACTTTTTCTAATCCTATTATAAAATAATTGGGCCACATGTCTTAGAATTTTGAGTAACACTGTCTTGGGAAACACAAAAACAGTTTTTTAAAGCCAGTTACTAGATATCATGTATATTTGTTGTTATAGCACTTAAGATATCTTAGTCCTTACTTTATACTCTCTTTCAGCTCTGAAACATCACACATCTAAGATTCAAGAGTTTGCCGACCTACCTCAGGTTGAAACTTTTGGCTTTCGGGGGGAAGCTCTGAGCTCACTTTGTGCACTGAGGTGATAAAATATTTTTATCCATTCACTTGACCCCTTAGAAAAACCTCTCTGAAAATTAATTGGAATCATTATTATTTACAGTTTTCTGTCTCAATATCTCAGCTTCCAGCTTCTGAATTCTGTTTTGTCTCACTGCCAATCTAAGTCCTAGTACTTCTGAAATGTGAGCAATAAATGAATGAAATGAAGCAAATAGTATTGTTAAAAAAATTGGTTACCCTTATTAAAACAGTAACTTCTCAATTTGAACATAACATATAGATAATAAATGATAGTTACCATTGGTTTTCATTATCAATTTTTAGGGAAACATTTCACCAAAGCACTATTTAATTATAGCACAGATACTAAATTTTTATAAATAATTATATGCACACACACACACACACATATATATACATATATATATATATATATATATATATATATATATATATTTTTTTTTTTTTTTTTTTTTTTTTAGACAGAGTCACACTCTGTCACCCAGGCTGGAGTGCAGTGGCACAGTCTCAGCTCACTGCAGTCTCTGCCTCCCAGGTTCAAGTGACTTTCATGCCTCAGCCTCCTGAAGAGCTGGGACTATAGCGTGCACCACCACTCCTGGCTAATTTTTGTATTTTTAGTAGAGATGGGGTTTTGCCATGTTGCCCAGGCTGGCCTGGAACTCCAGGCCTCAAGTGATCTGCCCTCCTTGGCCTCCCAAAGTGCTGGAATTACAGGCACGAGCCACCACACCCTGCCCTACATATACATTTTAATTATAATATCTTTTGGATTCTTTAAAAAAATTTTTTTAAATTTTTAAAAATTCTTTAAAAAAATTCTTTTAAAAAATTTTGTTTGAAGAGTAATAACAAAACAAATCTCTATTTGAGAATCAATAAATCTTGAGATCATTTATGGTTTTGCAATTCAACCTGAAAAATGAAGTCAAAGCTTTTATCAAAACAAAGCATGTTTAGTGCTCTCTGTCTCACTGTCTTTTAGATGCCAGACCTTAGATTTTATGATGACTCCTCAACCGTTTAGATCTCGGTTATCTCAGAGGGATCATCAGCTTTTTAAGAAAATTTTGAGAGAAAAGCAAGTGAAGAAAAGAGTAGTCAGTGCCCAACATCACGGATCTCTCACTGAACACACCATGCCTGGTATTCTCTCACAGTGATGTCACCATTTCTACCTGCCATGTATCGGCGAAGGTTGGGACTCGACTGGTGTTTGATCACTATGGGAAAATCATCCAGAAAACCCCCTACCCCCACCCCAGAGGGATGACAGTCAGTGTGAAGCAGTTATTTTCTACGCTACCTGTGCACCATAAAGAATTTCAAAGGAATATTAAGAAGGTACAGTAAATTAATCCTGGTTTTCAAGAATATTGGTTAATGCACATGAGCAAAAGATTTACTAAAGATGTTTATTCTTCAGTTGATTCCCTTCCCCTAATTTATTGAGAAATGCTTTATTTGCATTTCTCATTAAAGACTTAACTTCAGAATGATTTACTTTTTTCTTTTTATCACATAGTGTTTATTAGGACTGGGAAACATAGTGAGACTCTGTCTCTATGAAAAATTAAAAAAAAAATTGACTGGGCATGGTGGCATGCACCTGTAGTTCCAGCTACTTGGGAGGCTGAAGTGGGAGGATCACTTGAGCCCGGGAACTTGAGACTGCAGTGAGCTATGATTGCGTCACTGCACTTCAGACTGTGAGACAGAGTAAGACCCTGTCTGGAAAAATATATATACATATATATACATTTTTTTTATTTTTTATTTTTATCTTTTTTTGAGATGGAGTCTCACTTTGGTGCCCTGGTTGCAGTGCAGTGGCGCGATCTCAGTTCACTGCAACCTCCACCTGCCAAGTTCAAGCGATTCTCCTGCTTCAGCCTTCTGAGTAGCTACCATTACAGGCACGCGCCACCACGCCCAGCTAATTTTTGTATTTTCAGTGGAGACGGGGTTCCACCATGTTGTCCAGGCTGGCCAGGCTGGTCTTGAATTCCTGCCCTCAGGTGATCCGCCCACCTCGGCCTCTCAAAGTGCTGGGATTACAGGTGTGAGCCACCATGCCTGACCTTATGTACTTATATTTTTATGAGAATATTTCTCTTGGTTTTCTGATAAATGAGTTACTGGAACCCTTATGAATTTGAATGCAAATGAAACAGCTAAATGTTATATAATTGTTGTGTTTAAAAAGCAGATTATAAAACTGTCTATATTATATGATTACAGTTTTATGAAAACAAAACAACAGGCCTAAATGTGTATAGTATAAAGACTGGAAGAGTCAGCACTTCCATGTTCTCAGCGGTTATCCTTGGATGTGAGATCTCATGCACTTTTTGCTCTCTTCTTTGTGCCTTTCCATTTTGCATGCATATTTCTTATAATCTAAAAAGTTACTTAAACATATGCAGCTAAAAACTTTTTTTACTTGTAAAGCATTCGGTGCTAATTTTAACTTTTTTTTTTTAGACGGAGTCTTCTCACTCTGTCGCCCAGGCTGGAGTGCAGTGGTGTGATCTTGGCTCACTGCAACCTCCGCCTCCTGGGTTCAAGTGATTCTCCTACCTCAGCCTCCCGAGTAGCTGGGATTATAGGTGTGTGTCACCACACCCAGCTAATTTTTGTATTTTTAGTAGAGATGGGGTTTCACCATGTTGGCCAGGCTGGTCTTGCACCCCTGACCTCAAGTGATCTGCCCACCTCAGCCTCCCAAAGTGCTGGGATTACAGGCGTGAGCCACCACGCCCGGCTTTTTTTTTAAAGCTTTTTTGTAAGTCAGCCAGCAAGAACACAGGAGGAAGTACTCAAATCTCCCTTACACAGCTCGGGGCTATGTCAGGTTTTATAAGCGTAGGGTAATGAGGTGTGATTTGATTGGATCTTGCAATAAAGTAATGCTGGGAGATGTGATCTGACTGGATCCTGCCATGGGGTGACGCCAAAACTCAATCTGATTGGATCCTGGCTCCTGCCTTGGGGTGTCTGGTTCTTAAATCGGTCCGAGCTCTTCAGGCTGAGCTCTTAGGTTCCACTCCACGGTGGCACGCTTGGTTAACCTGGGCATGCACAGGGTACATGACCTTCAACCTGCGGGTCGATGGCAATTGAAAAACAACTGACAACTTCATTACATAAAAGTTGAACTGATTCGGGTGCGGTGACTCACGCCTGTAATCCCAGCACTTTGGGAGGCCAAGGCAGGTGGATCACCTGAGGTCGAGGAGTTCAAGACCAGCCTGGCCAAAATGGTGAAACCCCGTCTCTACTAAAAATATAAATATTAGCCAGGCGTGGTGGCGCACCCTTGTAATCCCAGCTACCCCAGAGGCTGAGGCAGCAGAATGCTTGAACCTAGGACGTGGAGGTTGCAGTGAGCTGAGATCGTGCCATTGCACTCCAGCCTGGGTGACAAGAGCGAAACTCCATCAAAAAAAAAAAAAAAAAAAGTTGAACTAGATTTGGTCTGATGCAGTTACAGATTTACAAACCGCGTCCCACCCTCCTGCCGACACCTTCCACTCCTCATTCTTGAGGGATTAGGGATGGAGGTCATGCTTCTGTATCGACTTCATGCTGACTAGGGGCACTTAGTCCCCTAAAGTGAGAGGAATGAAACTCTTGGGCTTCTGAGTTCAAATGAGTTCTGGGGTCACCTGGAGTAGCTTGAAAGGCTGGTATTGTTGTAATACAAGCTGAAGGTGGAAGTGTTGGATCCTGGAGGACAAACAGCTCACCATCCATTTAAATAAATAGGACCAAAAAGTAACAGAACAGTGGCCACGAGGCGCCCCAACAGAGGAAGAAACCAGGTGAGGTGTGGTATAGTGGACTCGACTGCCTTCTAAATCTCAGTGGTTGGCCAGGTGCGGTGGCTCACGCCTGTAATTCCAGCAAAAGAAGAGCCGAGGCAGGGTGATCACGAGGTCAGGAGTTCAAGACCAGCCTGGCAAACATGGTGAAACCCCGTCTCTACTGAAAATACAAAAATTAGCCAGGTGTGGTGGCGTGTGCTGTAGTCCCAGCTACTAGGGAGGCTGAGGCAGGAGAATTGCTTGAACCTGGGAGGCGGAGGTTGCAGTGAGCCGAGATTGTGCCACTGCACTCCAGCCTAGGTAACAGAGCGGGACTCCATCTCAGTCAATCAATCTCAGTGGTTGTACTACCCTTGATATGGTTCAGCTCCGTATCCCCACCCAAATCTCATGTCAAATTGCAATTCCCAGTGTTGAGGGAGGGACCTGGTAGGAGGTGATTGGCTCATGGCGGCTGACGTCCCCCTTGCTGTTCTCATGATAGTGAGTGAGCGCTCATGGGATCTGGTTGTTTAGAAGCATGCACCACCTCCCGCTTCACTCTCTCTGTCTCTCCTGCTCCACCATGGCCAGAAACGTGCCTGCTTCCCCTTCGCCTTCTGCCGTGATTGTCAGTTTCCTGAGGCCTCCCCAGCCATGCTTCCTGTACAGCCTGCAGAACTGTGAGTCAATTAAACCTGTTTTCTTCATAAATTCCCCAGTTTCCAGTAGTTCTTTATAGCAGTGTGAAAACAGACTAATGGACCCTTCTGGTTGAAGGAATGTAGCCATTCTGCTTGTTTGACTATTTCCTTTCTATTCATCTCTATTTCCCGGGAGGTGTTTATCCAAGTGCAATAGGAGATATTGGTGACTGCAGAGTCCCCTCAGTGTTCTGCTAGTAAATAGTTGAAGGTTGATCAGTGATCTCCTGCATTTTCAGTCTGGCATGGAAAAGCCCCCATGTAACTGGTAAAGGTATCAGTAAGCACCAGGAGGTATCTAAATCCACCAGGAGCCATAGGCATCATGTTGACGTCCATTTACCAGTCTTCCCTGGCAAGATTCTCTGAATTGTACTGCCTTGGCCAAAAGAGGTATGGGAGGGGCTGGGCACAGTGGCTCACGCCTGTAATCCCAGCATTTTGGGAGACCAATTCGGGTAGATCATTAGAGGTCAGGGGTTCAAGACCATCCTGGCCAACATGGTGACATTCCATCTCTACTAAAAATACAAAAAGTTAGCTGGGTTTGGTGTTGGGTGCCTGTAATCCCAGCTACTCGGGAGGCTGAGGCAGGATAATCACTTGAACCTGGGAGGTGGAGGTGGCAGTGAGCTGAGATCTCGCCATTGCACTCCAGCCTGGGCAACAAGAGCGAAACTTCATCTCAAAAAATAAAGAAGTCTGGGTGCGGTGGCTCGTGCCTGTAATCCCAGGACTTTGGGAGGCCAAGACGGGTGGATCATGAGGTCAGGAGTTCAAGACCAGCCTGGCCTAGATGGTGAAACCCTGTCTCGAGTAAAAATACAAATATTAGCTGGGCATGGTGGCACACACCTGTAATCTCAGCTACTCAGAAGTCTGAGACAGAAGAATTGCCAAAACCCGGGAGGGAGAGGTTGCAGTGAGCCGAGATCGCGCCACTGCACTCTAGCCTGGGCGACAGAGCAAGACTCTGTCTCGAAAGAAAGAAAGAGAAAGGAAATTCCCCAGGGAAGTACCTCCGCTTATTTCATGAAGAGGTACTGAAGGAAGCAGAGGCATGTGGAGGACTTCCCCACCTCGTGCAGCTATTTGGGCCGTGGCGTCTGAAATTTCTTATTTCAGAGTCACCCCTTTGATGACCTTGGCAGTGGACTGCAGTCATCTGTTTAGGCCTCTCCATGGCCCGCGTCAATGCCGGTATTTCTGTCTGTTGCGCATTTGATTTCCTTGTTGTTGGCATTTAGAAGGCCCCCTGTTTCCCAGATCACACCACGGGCATGGACCGCAGAGATTGCGTCTTGTGAGTCTGTAGAAACAGTCAAGGCCTTGTCCTCTCTTAGGTCCAGAGCTCAGGTTAATGCAGATTTTCCCGGCCGTCTGTGCTGAACTCCCTGCGGGGAGGCTCCTGGCTGGTTTCCTGTAGGTAGACAGCTACACATCCTGCCCTTCATTGGCTTCTTTTCATGAAGCTCCTGCTGTCTACAAAACATGTCTCCCTTTTCTTCTTGAACCACATCTCTGTTATTGAAACTCTAGAAGTCAGCCAGGCACGGTGGCTATGCCTGTAATCCCAGCACTTTGGGAGGCCAAGGTGGGCGGATCACCTGAGGTCAGGAGTTCAAGACCAGCCTGGCCAACATGGCGAAACCCTGTCTCTAATACAAATACTAAAATTAGCCAAGCATGGTGGCCGCTGCACTCCAGCCTGGGCGACAGAGCAAGACTCTGTCTCAAATAAAGAAAGAGAAAGTATCATGCTTTTCAGAGTTCTGTGGGTTGTTATAGTGAATTATCAAACCTGAGGACGTGGTGGGAACCTCCAAATTTGCAGCCAGTTGGTGAGAAGTACATGCAGTCTGTGGACACCCAAGCTTGCAGCTGCATCTGAAGCGAGGGCAGCCTAGCGGGGGCTGGTGGCCTTAACCTGTAGCATTTGATGTAACATCAGGGAGTTGACATCAGAATTACGTCACACAGGCCAGGTGCAGTGGCTCATGCTTATAATCCCAGCAATTAGAAAGGCAAGATAAGAAGATCGCTTGAGCTTCAGTCTGAGCCCGCAGTGAGCTGTGACCGCACCACTGCACCCCAGTCTGGGTGACAGCACAAGACCCCGACTCCAAAAATAAAAAAGAAAAATCACAAAGAATTGCATGGCAGAGCGCCTGTCTTTCACAGCTTGAACTGTTGCAGGAACTTTCTTTTTTTCTTTTTTTTCTTTTTTTTTTTGTGATGGAGTCTCGCTCTGTCACCCAGGCTGGAGTGCAGTGGCGCGATCTCAGCTCACTGCAGGCTCCACCTCCTGGGTTCACACCATTCTCCTGCCTCAGCCTCCGGAGTAGCTGGGACTATAGGCGCCTGCCACCGCGCCCAGCTAATTTTTTGTATTTTTAGCAGAGATGGGGTTTCACCATATTAGCCAGGATGGTCTTGATCTCCTGACCTTGTGATCCGCCCGCCTCAGCCTCCCAAAGTGCTGGGATTACAGTCCTGAGCCACCGCGCCTGGCCCTTTTTTTTTTTTTTTTTTTTGAGAGGGGTTGGGGAGACATATTCTCTGCTGGTGATTCTCCTGCCTGGTCTCGAACTCCTGCTGGGATCACAGGCGTGAGCCACCACGCCCAGCCACCTTTAGAGTTTTCTTACCACCTGGTTTTCCTCTCTCAATATCTTTCTCTCATTTCCTGCTTTAAAACTCTAGCCTGGGGTCTGGGCGCAGTAGCTCATGCCTATAATCCCAGCACTTTGGGAGACTGAGGCGGGTGGATCACTTGAGGTCAGGAGTTTGAGACCAGCCTGGCCAACATGGTGAAACCTTGTCTCTACTATTTTTACAAAAGTTAGTCAGACGTACAGGCGGGTGCCTGTAGTCCCAGCTACTTGGGAGGCTGAGGCAGGAGAATTTGCTTGAACGCGGAGGTGAAAGTTGCAGGGAGCCGAGGTTGTGCCACTGCACTCCAGCCTGGGAGACAGAGCGAGACTGTCTCCAAAACAAACAAACAAACAAACAAAAAAACCCTGTAGCTTGGGATCAGCCTTCTCTTCTATTGTTTTTCTTTAAAAAATAAAAATTAAAAATAGGCTTCAAGTGATCCTCCCGCCATGACCTCCAAAACTGCTGGGATTGTAGGTGTGAGCACTGCACCCAGCCTTATGTTTTTTTCTACATAAAAAACAACACAGGATTATCTTCCAGAGCTAATAAATATGTTCAAATAACCACAACCCCATTAAGGAAAAATGTCACTTGACAGCAAATAATCAATCCAGACCACAATATGATCACACTCACTGTGAAGGTGAGAAAAGTTCATCTTTATTATGTTTCCCCAAGAGATGCACTGCACTGTTCTCTTGAAAACACACAGCTCATGTCCTCCTTTAGAACACACATCCTCTTTAAAGTAACATACAAACATGCCAAAACAAGATAAAAAATTCCATCTGAATTCTCACATTTCAAACATACACTAAATATCAAATAAAAATTTATTTTTACAAGAATTTAGGGGAACTACCACATAGCTATAAATGTAATATATACATTAACTAAGTATCATAGATAAAAAGTCTGCTCCCTTCAGCAGCATATGTAGTAATAGATACAAAGATTGAAAGGTAAAAGATTTAGGATAAAAAGAATCCTCTCTTAAAAAGGAAAACAAAATTATATTTATGTGTATATAACAGTTATAATACCCATCACACAGCTTTATAGAAACAGCATCTATTCAAAAATACCAGTATTTCCAAAATATTTAAAATAATATTTAAAGTAATAACATTTAAATAAATAAATATATTTAATAAATATTTAAATAAATAAATATATTTAATAAATATTTAAATAAATAAAATAATATTTAAATAATTCTTTGCCCATCTTTTTCGAAATAAATCAATAAAATAGATAGTATATATTAGACATGTTAGTATATATATCTAAGACATGTTAAAAATCACAACTGAATTCTCACAATTCAGTCACAAACCTAAACAGCAAATAAAAATTTCTATGACCAGAATTTGGGGGAACTACCAATAGCTATAAATAGAAGAGATTATTATGGAAGTATCATAGATAAAAAGAGTGCTCGCTTCAGGAGCACATATAATAATACAGAGAAAAATTTAAAGATAATAAAAGATTTAGGATAAAAAGAATTCTCACTTAAAAATGAAAAGAAAATTATCTTTATGTATATATAACAACTATAACTCTCATCAAAAAACTCTACAGGAACAGCATGTTTTCAAAAGTACAACAATTTCCAAACTATTTGAAATAAACCTATTAATGATTCAATGGCCAACATTTTCCAAACAAACCAATAAAATGCATAGTGTGCATGAAGCTATCTGTTACAGTCTGTGGCACTCATATTTCACAAAGAATTCTGTGCCAATCTGAGCCCCTGCACTGTGCCTTCAAATGCTCCTGGACTGTGGCAACCAAGTCCGTAAGAAACAGGACCTCCAGGTTCCGCCCCAGGGAGGTTGGCATTCAGCAATATAAAAAGGGAGGTGGTGCCGCAGGAAAGGGTGGAACTGGAAACACTCCTGGTTTCTTACTTTTCTCCAAGGACTCCTAGAAGTACCCCACCCCACCCCTGCTCCTTGGAGGACAACGTGATCACTGTATTCAGCTCTGTCAAGAATGGTCCAGGTTCTTCTAGATGATCTGCACAAATGGCTCCTCTCCTCCTTCCTGATGTCTGCCATTAGCACTGGAATAAAGTTCCTGCTGAAAATCCACATCTCCCCTGGGTCCGGTGTTCTGGAAGTGAGAGAGACAATGTCACACCTCAAGGAGACAGCTCTCTAGACAGGAAGGTTATTCACGTCCCATGTCAAGTCTAGCTAGAGTTCAGAGCAATTGAGAAGTGCGATTTTATCTCCTGCCTTTCATTCTATACCCTGCTTCTGAACCATCGTGTTCAACTGTGAAACTCACGCTTTGGTGACCCTGACTCCAAAACTTAATACACCCAAGGTCAGCCCCAGTGATCTGCTTCATAGCGAGGACTTTGGGTGGGTCTTCCCAGGGAGTAGGGCACCCTCAGAGAATGTGGCTTTGGACTTCATCACAGCTAGGGTCTTTTGTGTCACTTCAGATCTAAACTTGTAACTGTGCTAGATCTGTTTCTAATGTGACAACATCACAAACCACGAGTCCAGAAGCCTAATCCATAATCCTACCTCCTCATGACGAAGTCTCATGCTCTGTGCTCAACATGGTTAGCTGCACAAGATGTAAACCAAAGCTTCACTGAACCCTCGACCCAAATCGGTAACTCAAGTGCATCAATCATAAAGAACCTCCCCGAACTCAGTATTTATGATTATTTTTGAGGCAGGGTCTCACTCTGTCGCCCCGGCTGGAGTGCAGTGGCAGGATCAGGGCTCCCTGCAGCCCCGACCTCCCAGGCTCCAGCGATCCTCCTGCCTCAGCCTCTTGAGTAGTTGGGAGTAGAGATGCCTCCCACATCGCCTGGCTAATTTTTGTATTTTTGTGGAGAGGGGATATCTCGCCACGTTGCCGAGGCTTGAAGCCAGATCAAGCAATTGGGTTCCTTGGATTTCCGAAATAGACCCCAATATTCTGCCTTTACCCCGGAGGATGCAGATGTACCTTCTCTCAGGCCGATGACCTCAGGCCTCCACGGTCCCTGGAGCTCTAGGAAAGGTGGGCGCGATCTCGCGCCCACACCCAGTGCTCTGGGTCATAAGCCTGGATCTGGAAAAACAAATGCGCTTTGAGAAGACGGGGACTCCCCAGGATACCCCTCTCTCCCCTCGTCCAGCCTCCAGCCCACCCGATTCCTCCCCACATCCTCCACCTCCCCAGGCCCCACCCACCTCCTCCAACTCCTCCGGGGAAACCCAAGCCCTGCAGCGCATGGAACAGAAGAACTGGAACCGACGCTTCTGGAACAAGGCTATCTGAGAGCAGTTCTTCCTGGCCCTCGGGTTCATGGGACGGCATAACTGGAACCAATGCTTAGGGCGCAAGGGTATGTGAGAGTGGGTCTTCCCGTACAGGAAGTAGAAGATCTTTTGTTTGGGGGCCTCGTCGTCCTCCTCCATGTCATTGGCCAGATAGCTGAGGACAGAAATCAGGTTGCTGCTCAGGGGCACCACCAGGAGAGACCTCCGGCTGAGGTCAGCTTCCCAGAGAGGAAGGTAAGGGACCGTCCCTAGCTCAGGACTGGCACCCACCCTGCAGAGAGCCACGCCTTCCTCAGGAGGGCTCTGCTGGACAGAGACCTGATCAAGGGCATCTCCCACTCCTTCAGGATGGAGACAAAAACCCAACTGGTGACCAAGAGTGGTGGCTTAGGCCTGGAATCCCAGCACACTGGGAGGCCGAAGCAGGAGGATCACTTGAGGCCAGGAGTTTGAGACAGGCCTGGGCAACATAGCAAGACCCTTGTCTCTATTAAAAATATAAAAAATACGCCAGACGTGGTGGCTCATGCCTGTAATCCCAGCACTTTGGAAGGCTGAAGCAGGTGGATTGCTTGAGACCAGGAGTTTGAGACCAGCCTGGCCAACACAGAGAAACCCCATTTATGCTAAAAATACAAAAATCAGCCTGGTGCGGTGGCACACCCATTAGTCCTAGCTACTCAAGAGGCTGAAGCATAAGAATTGTGTGAACCCAGGAGGCGGAGGTTGCAGTGAGCCAAGATTGGGCCCCTCCATTCCAGCCTGAGAGACACAGCAACACTCTTGTCTTGATAAATAAATAAATAAATAAATAAATAAATAAATAAATAACTGTCCAGGTGTGGTGGCACAGCCCTGTAGTCGGAGCTAATCAAGAGGCTGAGGTGGGAGGATCGCTTGAGCCCAGGATATGGAGGCTGCGGTGAGCTATGATCTCACCACTGCACTCCAGCTTAGGGGACAGGGCAAGTCTGTCTCAAAAAAAAAAAAAAAGCAATTGAATACATTGATATTTTGCCAGGACCCTGCCTTCTACAGGCATCTAGTCTAATGGGACTGGGAGTAATCAGGGGAGATGACCTAATCCCAATGTCACATTATAAGAGGATGTAACTGGAGAGCTACGGGCATGCAGAAGTTGGAAGATGAGGGAAGGCATCACAGAGGCTGTGGGGTGAACCGACTTCAAGGAATGGGTGCTTCCCTTCAGAACCACATGTGTGTGGGACACCCAGACAGAAAACACGAATGCAAAGTCAAGTGGAGGGCATTTGGAAGGAGCAGTGAAGCCAAGCCAGGAAACACCAAGATGGCGAGCCAGTGTGGTTGTAGAGATTGTAGAGAGGGTGGAATTGGCACTGTGGACCCTGGCCTCGATAGAGAAAGACATCAGCTAAGGAAGTTGTTCAGGTGGGCAGTGAGGTTGTCGTGCTTTGGAAAGATGTTCAGGCTGCACTAGGAAGCCCCTTGGCTTGGGGAGAGACTCCAGGAGACCCCAGCAGGGAGCATTTGACAGTGGATTCAAGTGATGCAAGGGGGACCTGGACTGTGACCTCTGTCACGGGAACCCAGAGGAGGTTGGTGGCTTTTGCGGTTGATGTGGGAAGGAGAGAGAGAGAAGAACCGGAAACGTCTGCTTGCTGGGGGAAGTGTCATGTCCGCTCCTCCGCTCCTTTTGTTCTCCCCTTAGGAGCGGTTCATGGTTCCTTTTGTTTTTTGTTCTTTTTTTTTTTTTTTTTTTTTGAGACGGAGTCTCATTCTGTCGCCCAGGCTGGAGTGCAGTGGTGCAATCTCGGCTCACTGCAAGCTCCGCCTCCCAGGTTCACGCCATTCTCCTCCCTCAGCCTCCCGAGTAGCTGGGACTACAGGTGCCCGCCACCACACCTGGCTAATTTTTTGTATTTTTTTTTTTTTTTAAGTGGAGACAGGGTTTCACCATGTTAGCCAGGATGGTTTTGCTCTCCTGACCTTGTGATCTGCCCACCTCGGCCTCCCAAACTGTTGAGATTACAGGCGTGAGCCACCGCACCTGGCCTGTTTTACTCTTTTATTTGTACACTGGCATTGGAGTTTGGTTTTTTTGCCTGTTTTTTTTTTTTTGGCTCTTTTGTTTTTAGAAAAAGTCTCACTCTGTTGCCCAGGCTGGAGTGCAGTGGCTCAACCTTAGCTTACTGCAACCTCCACCTCCTGGGTTCAAGGGGTTCTCATGCCTCAGCCTCCCAAGTAGCTTGGATAACAGGTGCACACCAACATGCCCGACTGATTTTTCTATTTTTAGTAGAGACGGGGTTTGCCATGTTGGCCAGGCTGGTCTCAAACTCCTGACCTCAGGTGATCCGCTTGCCTCGGCCTCCCAAAGTGCTGGGATTACAGGCCTGAGCCACCATGCCCAGCCTGAGTTTCTTTTTAGAGACAACAGTCTAAGATACTATAATCCTGTCTTTTTTGTACACAGAGTAAAGAGGACAAATAGGTGAAAGAATAAATGAAAGGCTGGAATCCCACTTCCCCCGCTGTCCCAGGGCGTTGGATATTGATGGATAGGAGGCAGCAAACCACTCACAGAGCCAGGAAGAAATGAATGCGTTGGTATTGCCAGGAGGGGAGGCCGGCCCGGCTGAAATACGCTATGACCATAGCCAGGAGATACTGATGGAGAGAAAGGAACACAGAGAGGGAGAGGTCACATCTTGGGAGAGGAAGATTGTGGAGATAGTGGAATGGGGGTCTGGGGAGGGGTTGCCCATCAGAGAAGGGACCTCAGCATTGGGGTGACTGTGCTCATGTGGAAATTGCGGGGTGGAGGGGTATTCGAAGGTCGGATGCAAATCCGAGAAGCCGGAGGAAGGGTTTTAGGTGATGCTCCCAGGATGGTGGGCTCCGATGGGATCTTTGGAGGGGGTGTGTCTAGGTCGGCTGGTGTCAGGAGGGTCTTTTGTGTGCCAGGCAGAGAACTGTCCCAAGGAGCTGAGAGTAGAGGGCCCAGGAGCTTCAGGACTGCAGCCAGACGGTGGCCTAGGGCTCAGATCCCAAAGGACCCATGGGAGAGGCAGGGGCCACTCATTCACTCTGCAAGAGACCAGCAGAGTCCTGAGGGAGATGCTGACAAATCATAAAAAGACAAAGAATAGCCGGGAGTGGCGGCTCAAGCCTGTGATCCCAGTACTTTTTGAGAGGTGGAGACAGGAGGATCACATGAGCCCAACAGTTGGAGAACAACCTGGGCAACACAGCGAGACCCTGTTTCTACGAAGATTTCAAAAATTCGTTGAGCATGGTGGCATGTGCCTAGTCCCAGCTCCTCAGGAGGCTAAGGAAAGAGGATTGCTTGAGCCCAGGAATTAGAGTGAGCTATGATCATGCCACTGTACTCCATCCTGGGGAGCAGAGCTGGACTCTGTCTCAGAAAAAAAAATGTGTGGGTGCCAAGACTCAAGACCATGGGAGCTGGTCGGACACAGTGCTGACGTCTGTAATCTCAGCACTTTGGGAGGCCAAGGCGGGTGGATCACCTGAGGTCAGGTGTTCGGGACCAATCTGGCCAACATGGCAAAACCCCGTCTCTACTAAAAACACAAAAATTAGCCAGGCGTGGTGGTTCACGTTTGTAATCCCAGCTGCTTGGAGGCTGAGGCAGGAGAATCGCTTGAACCCAGGAGGCATCAGCTGCAGTGAGTCAAGATCGAGACACTGCCCTCCAGCCTGGGCAACAGAGCAAGACTGTGTCTCACAAAAAAAAACAAAAACAAAAACAAAAAAAACTGTAGGAGCATCTGGTGGGAGGTGGTGGAGGGAGAACTGTGGGTTTGGAAGCTGCGCCCTCCCCCTGGCCGTGCGTTAGAACAGGAACACAGTTACATAGAGAACAACCTTACCTTGTCTGACACCCTCAGATCTTTGTCCCAGGCCAGGAATCTTTTAATGACAGGATCCTCTGTGATTAGAGAGCAGATGTCAGCGTGAGAAGCAGGACAGGGTTTCCATGGGAGCAGCAGGGCAGTGAGGAGAAGTGTGCCTCCCGGGGGAAAGTCTCAGGATTGTGGCCGCGGGTGAGGTGGATGGGAGAGGGGAGAATGACTTTCACTGGGCAAGGGAGAGAGGCTCCTGCTCTGAGACTCCCCTGAGAAGAGGCCGAAGGAGGCCCTGGGTGTGAGAATCTACAGGATGTAGAGCTGGGAATCAGCCGGGACCCCCTCCAGCAGACACGGAGGGACCACTGCAGAGTCATAAAGGAATTCCCATCATTTCCTCATGAGACAGTCACACATCAGGGTGTGACCATGGCCTTGGTATCCCCCACTATGGATGGAGACACTTAGGTTTAGAAAAGTCAGTAAGAAACATTAAGTTTCAGAGGGCACAGCTGAAACCACTTTTTTGATTTTTGATTTTGTTTTTCTTTGTTTGATTTTTATTTTTATTTATTTATTAATTTATTTTGAGACAGAGTCTTGCTCTGTGGGCCAGGCTGGAATGCATTGGCCTGATCTTGGCTCACTGCAACCTCTGCCTCCTGGGTTTAAGCAATTCTCCTGTCTCAGCCTCCCGAGTAGCTGGAACTACAGGCATGAGCTACTGTGCCCAGCCTTGGTTTTTCTTTTGACGCAGAGTTTTGCTCTGTCACCCAGGCTGGAGTGCAGTGGTGCAGTCATAGCTCACTGCAGCCTCAAAGTCCTGAGTTCAAGCAATTCTCTTGCCTCAGCCTCCCAACGTGCTGGGATCTCAGGCGGGAGCCACAGCGCCTGGCCCAAAACCAAGCTTTCTTATCCCAAGCACCGACCTTTATCAAGTCTACCTAATCCTCTGTTGACTCCTAAGTGTCCCTCATGAGTGATCACTTCAGAGTCCTCCCGCATGGAGAGCTCACCCACTGGGGCATATTTTTCCCATTGGAAAAGTGTGGTTATTGGAAGTTTCCTCTTTTTAGAAAGAACAGGATTGGAGGTGCTCTCTGGGGTGTCCTCCTACCAAGCAGCCTGTTGAAGGCCTCGTAGTACTCAGGGAGCACGAGCGACACTCGCCGTCGCTTCGCCTTCATCTTGAGGCCACACAGCGTCTCCGCCACCCAGGTCTCCTCAGGCTCAGGGGCGAGCTCCTTCTCTGGCTCATCATCAGATTCATCCAAACACTCCCTCTTCCTTTTGCAGCCAAGGGACCTACGCGGGGGGCTGGGATCTACCCCAGGGGCTGAGTAAAGAAACCAGGCCACCGTGTAATGCTTCTGCAACTGATCACGTTAGACCCCGACCCCAAACCCCAAACCACTCTCCATCCTCCCCAGCCTCTCAGACTGCTGGCTTCTCCAAGCCACCTTTCTGACTTTCTCCTCTGCTCAACCCCATGTGCCACTCCTTCCCCTCCCCATTCTTCCCTCTCTCTGTCCTCAGAACACTGCGTCATATCGTTCCCTGGTCCCTGGCTCTCTGAGGCCCTCTTTTTTTTTTTGTTTCGAGACAGAATCTTGCTTTGTCACCCAGGCTGGAGTGTAGTGGTGCAATCTCAGCTGACTGCAACATCTATCTCCCGGATTCCAGTTATTCTCCTGCCTCAGCCTCTCAGGTAGCTGGGATTACAGGTGCCTGCCATAATGCCCAGCTCAATTTTGTACTTTTAGTAGAGACGGGGGTTTCACCATGTTGGCCAGGCTGGTCTCAAACTCCTGGCCTCACGTGATCCGCCTGCCTTGGCTTCCCAAAGTGCTGGGATTACAGGTGTGAGCCACTGCACCCAGCCTGAATTTCTCCATTCTTCCCACACACCCTCCCCAGGTTCTCCTTCCTGACCTCTGACCCTTCTTTTTTTTCTTCTTCTTTTTTTTTTTTTTTTTTTTTTGAGACAGCGTCTCACTCTCTCACCCAGACTGGAGTGCAGTAGCACGATCTCGGCTCACTGCACCCTCTTCCTCCCAGGCTCAAGCGATTCTCCTGTCTCAGCCTCCCGAGTAGCTGGAACTACAGGCATGAGCTACTGTGCCCAGCCTTGGTTTTTCTTTTGACGCAGAGTTTTGCTCTGTCACCCAGGCTGGAGTGCAGTGGTGCAGTCATAGCTCACTGCAGCCTCAAAGTCCTGAGTTCAAGCAATCCTCTTGCCTCAGCCTCCCAACGTGCTGGGATCTCAGGCGGGAGCCACAGCGCCTGGCCCAAAACCAAGCTTTCTTATCCCAAGCACCGACCTTTATCAAGTCTACCTAATCCTCTGTTGTCTCCTAAGTGTCCCTCATGAGTGATCACTTCAGAGTCCTCCCGCATGGAGAGCTCACCCACTGGGGCATATTATTCCCATTGGAAAAGTGTGGTTATTGGAAGTTTCCTCTTTTTAGAAAGAACAGGATTGGAGGTGCTCTCTGGGGTGTCCTCCTACCAAGCAGCCTGTTGAAGGCCTCGTAGTACTCAGGGAGCACGAGCGACACTCGCCGTCGCTTCGCCTTCATCTTGAGGCCACACAGCGTCTCCGCCACCCAGGTCTCCTCAGGCTCAGGGGCGAGCTCCTTCTCTGGCTCATCATCAGATTCATCCAAACACTCCCTCTTCCTTTTGCAGCCAAGGGACCTACGTGGGGGGCTGGGATCTACCCCAGGGGCTGAGTAAAGAAACCAGGCCACCGTGTAATGCTTCTGCAACTGATCACGTTAGACCCCGACCCCAAACCCCAAACCACTCTCCATCCTCCCCAGCCTCGCAGACTGCTGGCTTCTCCAAGCCACCTTTCTGACTTTCTCCTCTGCTCAACCCCATGTGCCACTCCTTCCCCTCCCCATTCTTCCCTCTCTCTGTCCTCAGAACACTGCGACATATCGTTCCCTGGTCCCTGGCTCTCTGAGGCCCTCTTTTTTTTTTTTGTTTCGAGACAGAATCTTGCTTTGTCACCCAGGCTGGAGTGTAGTGGTGCAATCTCAGCTGACTGCAACATCTATCTCCCGGATTCCAGTTATTCTCCTGCCTCAGCCTCTCAGGTAGCTGGGATTACAGGTGCCTGCCATAATGCCCAGCTCAATTTTGTACTTTTAGTAGAGACGGGGGTTTCACCATGTTGGCCAGGCTGGTCTCAAACTCCTGGCCTCACGTGATCCGCCTGCCTTGGCTTCCCAAAGTGCTGGGATTACAGGTGTGAGCCACTGCACCCAGCCTGAATTTCTCCATTCTTCCCACACACCCTCCCCAGGTTCTCCTTCCTGACCTCTGACCCTTCTTTTTTCTCTTCTTCTTTTTTTTTTTTTTTTTTTGAGACAGCGTCTCACTCTCTCACCCAGACTGGAGTGCAGTAGCACGATCTTGGCTCACTGCACCCTCTTCCTCCCAGGCTCAAGCGATTCTCCTGTCTCAGCCTCCCGAGTAGCTGGAACTACAGGCATGAGCTACTGTGCCCAGCCTTGGCTTTTCTTTTGACGCAGAGTTTTGCTCTGTCACCCAGGCTGGAGTGCAGTGGTGCAGTCATAGCTCACTGCAGCCTCAAAGTCCTGAGTTCAAGCAATCCTCTTGCCTCAGCCTCCCAACGTGCTGGGATCTCAGGCGGGAGCCACAGCGCCTGGCCCAAAACCAAGCTTTCTTATCCCAAGCACCGACCTTTATCAAGTCTACCTAATCCTCTGTTGACTCCTAAGTGTCCCTCATGAGTGATCACTTCAGAGTCCTCCCGCATGGAGAGCTCACCCACTGGGGCATATTTTTCCCATTGGAAAAGTGTGGTTATTGGAAGTTTCCTCTTTTTAGAAAGAACAGGATTGGAGGTGCTCTCTGGGGTGTCCTCCTACCAAGCAGCCTGTTGAAGGCCTCGTAGTACTCAGGGAGCACGAGCGACACTCGCCGTCGCTTCGCCTTCATCTTGAGGCCACACAGCGTCTCTGCCACCCAGGTCTCCTCAGGCTCAGGGGCGAGCTCCTTCTCTGGCTCATCATCAGATTCATCCAAACACTCCCTCTTCCTTTTGCAGCCAAGGGACCTACGTGGGGGGCTGGGATCTACCCCAGGGGCTGAGTAAAGAAACCAGGCCACCGTGTAATGCTTCTGCAACTGATCACGTTAGACCCCGACCCCAAACCCCAAACCATTCTCCATCCTCCCCAGCCTCTCAGACTGCTGGCTTCTCCAAGCCACCTTTCTGACTTTCTCCTCTGCTCAACCCCATGTGCCACTCCTTCCCCTCCCCATTCTTCCCTCTCTCTGTCCTCAGAACACTGCGTCATATCCTTCCCTGGTCCCTGGCTCTCTGAGGCCCTCTTTTTTTTTTTTGTTTCGAGACAGAATCTTGCTTTGTCACCCAGGCTGGAGTGTAGTGGTGCAATCTCAGCTGACTGCAACATCTATCTCCCGGATTCCAGTTATTCTCCTGCCTCAGCCTCTCAGGTAGCTGGGATTACAGGTGCCTGCCATAATGCCCAGCTCAATTTTGTACTTTTAGTAGAGACGGGGGTTTCACCATGTTGGCCAGGCTGGTCTCAAACTCCTGGCCTCACGTGATCCGCCTGCCTTGGCTTCCCAAAGTGCTGGGATTACAGGTGTGAGCCACTGCACCCAGCCTGAATTTCTCCATTCTTCCCACACACCCTCCCCAGGTTCTCCTTCCTGACCTCTGACCCTTCTTTTTTTTCTTCTTCTTTTTTTTTTTTTTTTTTTGAGACAGCGTCTCACTCTCTCACCCAGACTGGAGTGCAGTAGCACGATCTCGGCTCACTGCACCCTCTTCCTCCCAGGCTCAAGCGATTCTCCTGTCTCAGCCTCCCGAGTAGCTGGAACTACAGGCATGAGCTACTGTGCCCAGCCTTGGTTTTTCTTTTGACGCAGAGTTTTGCTCTGTCACCCAGGCTGGAGTGCAGTGGTGCAGTCATAGCTCACTGCAGCCTCAAAGTCCTGAGTTCAAGCAATCCTCTTGCCTCAGCCTCCCAACGTGCTGGGATCTCAGGCGGGAGCCACAGCGCCTGGCCCAAAACCAAGCTTTCTTATCCCAAGCACCGACCTTTATCAAGTCTACCTAATCCTCTGTTGTCTCCTAAGTGTCCCTCATGAGTGATCACTTCAGAGTCCTCCCGCATGGAGAGCTCACCCACTGGGGCATATTTTTCCCATTGGAAAAGTGTGGTTATTGGAAGTTTCCTCTTTTTAGAAAGAACAGGATTGGAGGTGCTCTCTGGGGTGTCCTCCTACCAAGCAGCCTGTTGAAGGCCTCGTAGTACTCAGGGAGCACGAGCGACACTCGCCGTCGCTTCGCCTTCATCTTGAGGCCACACAGCGTCTCCGCCACCCAGGTCTCCTCAGGCTCAGGGGCGAGCTCCTTCTCTGGCTCATCATCAGATTCATCCAAACACTCCCTCTTCCTTTTGCAGCCAAGGGACCTACGTGGGGGGCTGGGATCTACCCCAGGGGCTGAGTAAAGAAACCAGGCCACCGTGTAATGCTTCTGCAACTGATCACGTTAGACCCCGACCCCAAACCCCAAACCACTCTCCATCCTCCCCAGCCTCTCAGACTGCTGGCTTCTCCAAGCCACCTTTCTGACTTTCTCCTCTGCTCAACCCCATGTGCCACTCCTTCCCCTCCCCATTCTTCCCTCTCTCTGTCCTCAGAACACTGCGTCATATCGTTCCCTGGTCCCTGGCTCTCTGAGGCCCTCTTTTTTTTTTCTGTTTCGAGACAGAATCTTGCTTTGTCACCCAGGCTGGAGTGTAGTGGTGCAATCTCAGCTGACTGCAACATCTATCTCCCGGATTCCAGTTATTCTCCTGCCTCAGCCTCTCAGGTAGCTGGGATTACAGGTGCCTGCCATAATGCCCAGCTCAATTTTGTACTTTTAGTAGAGACGGGGGTTTCACCATGTTGGCCAGGCTGGTCTCAAACTCCTGGCCTCACGTGATCCACCTGCCTTGGCTTCCCAAAGTGCTGGGATTACAGGTGTGAGCCACTGCACCCAGCCTGAATTTCTCCATTCTTCCCACACACCCTCCCCAGGTTCTCCTTCCTGACCTCTGACCCTTCTTTTTTTTCTTCTTTTTTTTTTTTTTTTTTGAGACAGCGTCTCACTCTCTCACCCAGACTGGAGTGCAGTAGCACGATCTCGGCTCACTGCACCCTCTTCCTCCCAGGCTCAAGCGATTCTCCTGTCTCAGCCTCCCGAGTAGCTGGAACTACAGGCATGAGCTACTGTGCCCAGCCTTGGTTTTTCTTTTGACGCAGAGTTTTGCTCTGTCACTCAGGCTGGAGTGCAGTGGTGCAGTCATAGCTCACTGCAGCCTCGAAGTCCTGAGTTCAAGCAATCCTCTTGCCTCAGCCTCCCAACGTGCTGGGATCTCAGGCGGGAGCCACAGCGCCTGGCCCAAAACCAAGCTTTCTTATCCCAAGCACCGACCTTTATCAAGTCTACCTAATCCTCTGTTGTCTCCTAAGTGTCCCTCATGAGTGATCACTTCAGAGTCCTCCCGCATGGAGAGCTCACCCACTGGGGCATATTTTTCCCATTGGAAAAGTGTGGTTATTGGAAGTTTCCTCTTTTTAGAAAGAACAGGATTGGAGGTGCTCTCTGGGGTGTCCTCCTACCAAGCAGCCTGTTGAAGGCCTCGTAGTACTCAGGGAGCACGAGCGACACTCGCCGTCGCTTCGCCTTCATCTTGAGGCCACACAGCGTCTCCGCCACCCAGGTCTCCTCAGGCTCAGGGGCGAGCTCCTTCTCTGGCTCATCATCAGATTCATCCAAACACTCCCTCTTCCTTTTGCAGCCAAGGGACCTACGTGGGGGGCTGGGATCTACCCCAGGGGCTGAGTAAAGAAACCAGGCCACCGTGTAATGCTTCTGCAACTGATCACGTTAGACCCCGACCCCAAACCCCAAACCATTCTCCATCCTCCCCAGCCTCTCAGACTGCTGGCTTCTCCAAGCCACCTTTCTGACTTTCTCCTCTGCTCAACCCCATGTGCCACTCCTTCCCCTCCCCATTCTTCCCTCTCTCTGTCCTCAGAACACTGCGTCATATCGTTCCCTGGTCCCTGGCTCTCTGAGGCCCTCTTTTTTTTTTTTTGTTTCGAGACAGAATCTTGCTTTGTCACCCAGGCTGGAGTGTAGTGGTACAATCTCAGCTCACTGCAACATCCATCTCCCGGATTCCAGTTATTCTCCTGCCTCAGCCTCTCAGGTAGCTGGGATTACAGGTGCCTGCCATAATGCCCAGCTCAATTTTGTACTTTTAGTAGAGACGGGGTTTCGCCATGTTGGCCAGGCTGGTCTCAAACTCTTGGCCTCACGTGATCCGCCTGCCTTGGCTTCCCAAAGTGCTGGGATTACAGGTGTGAGCCACTGCACCCAGCCTGAATTTCTCCATTCTTCCCACACACCCTCCCCAGGTTCTCCTTCCTGACCTCTGACCCTTCTTTTTTTTCTTCTTCTTTTTTTTTTTTTTTTTTTGAGACAGCGTCTCACTCTCTCACCCAGACTGGAGTGCAGTAGCACGATCTCGGCTCACTGCACCCTCTTCCTCCCAGGCTCAAGCGATTCTCCTGTCTCAGCCTCCCGAGTAGCTGGGATTATAGGCACACACCACTACCGCCTGGCTAATTTTTGTACTTTTAGTAGAGATGGGGTTTCACCATGTTGGCCAGGCTGGTCTTGAACTGCTGACCTCAGGTGATCTGCCCGCCTCGGCCTCCCAAAGTGTTGGTGTTACAGGGGTGAGCTACCGCACCTGGCCCCCTTCCTTCGTCTTAGTCAATCCTATGCCACCTCTTCTTCCTCCAGTCCCCTCACCTGATGGTCCCGACACTTCATCATCCACCACCTCCTGGAGGGGGTACCCTGAGGTGCTCCGCTGGGGGCTCTGCTCTTCCTGGGGCTGCGGTTGATGGCTCGTCATGATCTTTCCCAAAATCTGTCCAATCTCACCGAAGCTAGTCTCTGTTCTGTCCTTGGTCTTCTTCTGGACACTGCTGGGATCCAGAAGAGTGTGTTATCAATTCTCGAGGCTGGGAGAAGTCAGGAGTGGAGAACAGCTCTGAGAAGTTACTGTTGTTCACCTGAACTGCCAGGCGCCGACAGAGTCCGGTCCTTCCAATCAGGAAGGTCGGAATCTCTGATGTCATAGGTCATTCCAACCTGGCAACCAGTTTGAACAAAAACACATGTAACTGCCAGGCTGATCTCTTGTCCTGGAGATCCTGGGTGAATGGTATCTCCTGCCACTGTCCCAACCTCAGACCACTGTCCAAAAGCATCTTCAGGGTCTCCGCATCCCTCTGTTCCCTGTCCCAGCAGAGGCTGTGTCCTCTCCACTCAAAGCTTGAAGCGTGTTGGGGTCTCCTCTTCTCTGTACATGCCCGTTTCAGAGTCCAGTCTGGTGGGAGAGGGATCAGGATGGGAAAGAAAACTAGGGTAAGCAGAAACGATGAAACCTTATAAGAGTGAGAGTATCATGTACAAGAGATCCCAGGAACATTGACTTGATGAAAAAGTCACATCAGAGCACTCAATTTGGCAGAGCTTTTCTGCCGAATGTTTACTGATATTCACTGTCCGAGATTCTGTACTGGGTGTAACGTGTCCTCTGCCCTAAGGCATCTTTGAGTCCAAGAGATATTTTGAGGACTGGAAATCATCGGAAACTGCCCATGAGCTCACACATATTTCCAATGGTGTCCCCAGTTTCAGGGAGTCCACGGATCACCTAAAGCCAGCCCCTCCAGTTTGGCTAAGAAACTCTATATATCAAGTTTTGTATCATATGTATTGCTCTTAACTCAGAAATTCCACCATTTATAGCAGTGGTTTATTTATTTATACTATTGAAGGAAATGGTTTATTTATGAATCTATATTATGGATATTCTATAAGATACTGGGTGTACAAAAAGACTAAGTCGAAAAATCTCAGCTGTGCACAGTGGCTCATGCTTGCAATCCCATCTCTTTGGGTGGCCAAGGGAGGAAGACTGCCTGAGGCCAGCAGTTCAAGACCAGTGTAGGCAACATAGCAAGACCCCATCTCAAACAAAACAAAACAAAACAGAACAAAATTAGCCAGGTGTCGTGGCTGGCACCTGTGTTCCAACAACTTGAGAGACTGAGGTGGCAGGAGGATTGCTTGAGCCTAGGAGTTAGGGGCTGCAGTGAGCTGTGATCGTGACACCGCACTCCAGTCTGGGCAACACAGCAAGACCTTGTGTCAAAAAAATTTTTTTAATTAAATATAAAAGAGTTTCATGACATTCAGAGACCATCCAAAGAACCTGTGGGTTCCGGCCAGGCACAGTGGCTCACGCCTGTAATCCCAGCGCTTTGGGAGGCCATAGCAGGTGGATCGCTTGAGGTCAGGAGTTTAAGAGCAGCCTGGCCAACATGGTGAAACCCCATCTCTTCTAAAAATACAAAAAATTAGTCAGGCATGGTGGTGGGTGCCTGTAATCCCAGCCACTCAGGAGGCGGGGGCAGCAGAATGGCTTAAACTTGGGAGGCGGAGGTTGCAGTGAGCCAAGGTCGCACCATTGCACTCCAGCCTGGGCAACAAGAGCAAAACTACATCTCAAAAAAAAAAAAAAAACAAACAAAAAGAACCTGTGGATGAGTTCCCACATGGCTTCCTAACGGGCTGCGGCTCTCCTAGGAGTCTCTCGCTCATGGGAAAGGCACAAACTGAATGTGGAAGGAAATCCCATTGCTGTGGAAGTCCCATTGTTAGGAAGCTCTGCTTTTCTGGAGTTCAAATTTGCATTCATGACGCTTTAAACCGTCAGAGCTGGGTGTGTCCTCCTACAACAAATCACTTTACTCTCTCTCTCTCCTAGTTAACAGGCTTTCAAATATTAGAACATCCATGTTCTGACCTCATTAAAATTGCTCTTTTGTGGAATGAAAAGCTCTGATTTAACCCGTCTTTAAGCCTGGTATGCATATTCCTCTCTGTTCCGGCCACCTTGTCTAGACACACTACACTGAGGCAGTGCCCATCTTAGATGATGTTGATACATTGTCAAAAAATGGGCAAACCAGGCGCGGTGGCTCACACTTGTAATCCCAGCACTTTTGGAAGCCGATGCCGACAGATAACCAGAGGTGAGGAGGTTGAGATCAGCCTGGCCAACATGGTGAAACCTGTCTGTTTTTCTGTAAAAATACAGAAACAATGAGCTGGGTGTGGGAGTGCACTTCTGTAATTCCAGCTACTTGCGGGGCTGAGGCAGGAGAATCACTTGAACCGGGATGGTGGAGGTTCCAGTGAGCCGAGATCACGACACTACACTCCAGCCTGGGCGACAGAGTGAGACTCCGACTCAAAAAAAAAAAAAAAGTGCCAGACAGCCCAGGTTTGGTCTGATATGTTCAGAAAAAAGCAAAACAGTCACCTCTCACCTTTTCTTTTCCTGCAATGATGCCGTTTAATACAACAATGGCTGTAGGTCTGCGGCAGAAATATCATTCAAGTGAAACAGAAGGGCTTTCCTGGCTGGACACAGTGGTCACTCCTGCAATCCCAACACTTTGGTTGGCTAAGGTGGGAGGATTTCTTGCGGCCAGGAGTTCGAGGCTGCAGTGAGCTGTGATCTACCACTGCATTCCAGGCTGGGCATCAGAGTGAGGCCTGTCTCTAAAAAAAACCCTTCACTCCCCAAAAAAAGGGATTTTCAAATACCAGCCTTTCAGCATGAGGATCACATGGAGGAACATTAAGACACAGATGCTGGGACCCAGCCCTATTGATTGTAATTAAAAAACTGAGGTGAGGCCTGATTTAGCTCCATCATTGGAATCCATTCAGATTTGAAATTCTCTGAGTTGGACAGTGCAAGAGAGATCCTAAAGAAAGCAAAGTCACCGTGGACTGAAATGAGCTGACAAGGTTTTCTGAGCGTGGTGAAATATGATCTGGGCCTTGCTTGGGAGGGCTGTGGCCAGGCCTTGAGTCCGTGGCTCAGTGGGACCTTCTGAAACAGCCTCCAATCCGTGCCCCCACTTCATTTGCTAGTGGATGACCCCCTCCAGTGGCTTTGGTGCTGATGGGAATAAGTCGACCTGCAGCGGAAGTTCAGCCCAAGTTTTAGCCCAGCAGCTTCTCCACACCTGTCCGTGGTCTGGTCATGCCGCCGTCTCTGCGGTTCTCTGCGGAGTCGTGGTTTCTGTACCTTGAAGAGAACTTCCCCTCTGGGACCCAGAAACCCAGTGAATCCTCAGGAAAAAAGGGAATGAAATTACTGAAGACAACTCTGTGGCGGGGAGATGGAAAAGAGGCTCTCTCTCTTTTTTTTTCCTAATATTTTGAGACAGAGTTTCGCTCTTGTCACCCAGGCTGCAGTGCAGTGGCTCCATCTCGGCTCACTGCAACCTCTGCCTCCCAGGTTCAAGTGATTCTCCTGCCTCAGCCTCCCGAGTAGCTGAGATTACAGGCACCCACCACCACTCCCGGCTAATTTTTGTATTTTAGGGTTTCGTCATGTTTGCCAGGCTGATCTTGAACACCTGACTTCAAATGATCCACCTGCCTCTGCCTGTCAAAGTGCTGGGAATACAGGCATAAGACACTGCACCTGGCCTGTTTTTGTTTTTTAGAGACAAGGTCTCTGTTGCCTTGGCTGGGGTGCAGTGGTACAATCAGCTCTCTGTTGCCTCCTGGGCTCAAGCAATCCTCTTCTCTCACCCTCCCAAGTAGCTGAGACTACAGGTGCATGCCTGTAGTAGATATAGCATCTTGCTCTGTTGCCCAGACTGGTCTTGAACTCTTGGTCACAAGCGATCCTCTTGCCTTGGCCTCTCAGAGTGCTGGAATTACACACATGAGCCATTGAGCCCAACCAGATAAGATGATCTTTAAGGGCCCTTCCCATGGTACCATATCCAAGTCAGCGAGACTGTGGCTATAGCAAGTTTAACATAACCAGATACGCTAGTATTATGGGCTGCATGGTGTGCCCCCCACCCCTAATTCATGTATTGAAGCCATGACCCTCCAGACCTTAGAGGTGACCTTATTGGAACCAGAGTCTTTACAGAGGTGATCAAGTTAAAATGAGGTCACTAGAGGCCAGGCACGGTGGCTCACACCTGTAATCCCAGCACTTCGGGAGGCCGAGGCAGGCAGATAATGAGCCCAAGAGACCAAGACCATGATGTCCAACATGGTGAAACCCTGTCTCTACTAAAAATACAAAAATTAGCCAGGCGTGGTGGTGTGGGCCTGTAGTCCCAGCTACTCAGGAGGCTGAGGCAAGAGAATCGCTTGAACCCGGAAGGCAGAGATTGCAGTCAGCCAAGATCATGCCACTACACTCCAGCCTGGGTGACAGAGTGAGACTCTATCTCAAAAAAATAAAAATTAAAAAACTAAAAACCTACAGCACCGCCTTTTACATAATGCAATGGTTTGGTAAGCACATGCACCCCAGGGAGGTAGTGGCAGATTCAGTCAACCTTCCCAGCAGCGTGGAGACGCAGTCAGGCATAGCAGGTGTTGATGTGGTTTGAACCCACAGCTTGGCTCAAATCCACACTCCCCTACTTAGTACCGAGTGAAGCCACTTACCCTCTAAGTGCCTTACTTTTCTTTTCTTTTCTTTTTTCTTTTTTCTAGACAGAGTCTCGCTCTGTCACCCAGGCTGGAGTGCAGTGGCATGATCTTGGCTCACTGCAAACTTCGCCTTCCAGGTTCAAGCAATTCTCCTGCCTCAGCCTCCCAAGTAGCTGGGATTACAGGCGCCCACCACCATGCCGGGCTAATTTTTGTATTTTTGATAGAGATGGGGTTTCACCATATTGCCCAGGCTGGTCTCGAACTCCTGACCTCAAGTGATCTGTCTGCCTCGGCCTCCCAAAGTACTAGGATTAGAGGCATGAGCCACCACACCTGGCCACTTTTCTTATCTATATTTGTTATGTGGATGACTTGTGTTAACGCAAATAAGATGCTGCTCATCATCTTTAAAGAAAATAGGTGGCAACCTGTTATAGCAAGTCCTGTTTTTATTTGTACTTATGAGGCTTTAATTAAACACTAAGAATTAAAATGCACATAATAATAGACTTTACCTCACAAACTGGCTTCAATTATTCGATGAGACTTATATGTATTACTTAAATGAGGTTAAATTTAACCTTTAAAAAATGATTTATTGTGGCTGGGCACAGTGGCTCACACCTGTAATCCCAGCACTTTGGGAGGCCAAGGCAGATGGATCACTTGAGGCCAGGAGTTCAAGACCAGCCTGACCAACACGGCAAAACCCCATCTCCGCTAAAAATACAAAAATTAGCCAGGCATGGTGGTGCACACCTGTAATCCTAGCTACTCAGGAGGCTGAGACACAAGAATCGCTTGAACCCAGGAGGCAGAGGTTGCAAGGAGGTGAGATCACACCACTGCACTCCAGCCTGGGCAATAGAGTGAGGCTCTGCCTTAAAACAAAGAAAAATGATTTTGGGGGATGATGGGGTGTCACTATGTTGACCAGGCTTGTCTCAAACTCCTTGCCTCAAGCAATCCACCCACCTCAGCCTCCCAAGTAGCTGGAACTACAGGCGCATGCCACCACGCCTGGCTAGTGTGTGTGTGTGTGTGTGTGTGTGTGTGTGTGTGTGTGTGTGTGTGTGTGTGTAGAAACAAGGTCTTACTGTGTTGTTTAAGCTGCTCTCAAACTCCTGGGCTCAAGTGATCCTCCCACCTCGGCCTCCCAAAGCATTGGAATTACAGGTGTGAGCCACCTCACTGAGCCCTCCACCTTTCAGCTGAACGCAGAAAAGTACAATCTTTTAACCCAAAGCGTTCCTCACACTTAGGGTCAGGAAGAGCCCTTCATGCCCTGGAGGCAACTACTAACCCTCTGCTAAACACTCTGACTCTGGGTGTGAGAAACACACCTACTGTGCCCCACATATTTTTCCAAATACAACTTAATTTAGCCTTCACGACAACCCTGGAGTGAAGGATCATTAACTTTCTTTCATAGATGTGGAAACTGAGACTCAGAGGCAGGAAATGACCTCCTTCTGGAGGCTGCAAATTCTTTGATGCTCCTTTGATCAACAGGTGGGAGCTGGCCAGAGGTGGTGGCTCATACCTATAATCCCAGCACTTTGGGAGGCCAAGGTGGGAGGATTGACTGAGGCCAGGAGTTTGAAACTAGCCTGGGCAATATAGCAAGACCTCATCTCTACAAAAAATACAAAAATTAGCAGGGTGTGGTGGTGCACACCTGTAGTCACAGCCACTCGGGAGGCTGAAGTGGTAGCATTGCTTGAGCCCAGGAGGTTGAGGCTGGAGTGAGCCATGATCAAGCCACTGCACTCCAGCCGAGGAGATGGAGGTAGACCCTGTCTCAAACAACAACAAAAAAATAGGTGAGGGTCAGCCAGGCATGGTGGCTCACGCCTGTAATCCTAGAACCTTGGGAGGCCAAGGTGGGAGGATTGCTTGAGGCCAGGACTTCAAGACCAGCCTGGGCAGCCTAGCAAGATCCCATCCCTTAAAAAAAAGTTTTTAGGCTGGGCATGGTCACTCATGCCTGTAATCCTAGCACTTTGGGAGGCCAAGGCAGGCGGGTTGCCTGAGCTGAGGAGTTTGAGACCAGCCTGGGCAACATGGTGAAATCCTGTCTCTACTAAAATACAAAAAATTAGCCAGGTGTGGTGTTGGGCACCTGTAATCCCAGGTACTCAGGAGGCTGAGGCAGGAGAATTGCTTGAACCCAGGAGGCAGAGGTTGCAGTGAGCCGAGAGCGTGCCACTCCACTCCAGCCTGGACAACAGAGCGAGACTCCGTCTCAAAAAAAAATGTTTTTAATTAGCCAGGTGTGATGATGCATGCCCATGTCCCAGCTACTTGGGAGGCTGAAGCAGGAGGATTGCTTGAGCCTGGGAGGTCAAGGCTGCAGTGAGCTATGATTGCGCCCCTGCACTCCAGCCTGGGCAGCGGAGGGAGACCCTGTCTGAAAATAAAAAAAGAGGTGGGGGCCTATGACCCCCCCTTTAATTTTGGCCCAACCTTAGTAACAGGATAGTCATTGAGTAGGGCAAAAGTGATGTTATGATGTTTTTCAGCCTCCAATTTACAGTCTAAAACATGTACGCGGTGGCCCTGAGCTGTTGTGTAAATGGACTCACTGCCCTGAGGCCACCATGCTGCAAGGAAGCCCAAGCTAACCCTAGGATGTGCCCTGAGACGACATGAAGACGCATCCCCAGCCAGCCTTCCACTACCCCATCCTTCACTGCCCCATTCTCACCCCCGCCCACCTCCTTACTCCCTCCACCCCTCCACCTGCCTCCAGCCAGAATTGCACAGCCAACTACTTCCAGAATCGCTGGTCCAAAGAAATCACGACAGGCGCTAAGTTTGGGGCAATCCATTTAATGCTACTAAGTTGTGGGATGGTTTGTTTGAGCAGCCCCAGATAACAAACATTCCTTGAGGTCACACGCTAACCAAGCTGTGATTCGAACACTGCCTCTCAAATTCACGAGCAAAAGAGGGGGAATTCTGTTTAAAATGCCAAAAAGAACTCTTTCTTGCTTTTATTATTTTTAATTTATGTATAATAATTGTATGTTTATATAATAATTGTAATAATTTACGGGATACAGGTGATATTTCAATATATGTATACAATGTGTAATGATCACATCAGGGTGATTAGCGGATTCATTTCCTCAGTTATCATTTCTTTGTGTTGGGAACATTCAAAATCTGCTCTTCTACCTATTTGAATATAGAAAATAAATTGTTTTGTTTTGTTTTTGAGAAAGAGTCTCCCTCTATCGCCCAGGCTGGAGTGCAGTGGCGCAATCTCGGCTCACTGCAACCTCTGCCTCCCAGGTTCAAGCAATTCTCCTGCCTCAGCCTCCTGAGTAGATGAGATTACAGGCATGTGCCTCCACTCCCAGCTAATTTTTGTATTCTTGGTAGAGACGGGGTTTCACCCTGTTGGCCAGCCTGGTCTAGAACTCCTGACCTCAGGTGATCCGCCTGCCTTGGCCTCCCAAAGTGCTGAGATTACACACGTGAGCCACCGTACCTGGCCTCTCCTCTCTAATTCTGAGATTAACTTTTTTAGCTACCACATGTTAACACAATCATGCGGCATTTGTCTTCTTTTTTTTTTCATTGAGACAGGGTCTCATTCTGTCACCCAGGTTGGAGTGCAGTGATGCAATCATAGCTCACTGCAGCCTCAACCTTCTGGGCTCAAGCAATCCTCCTGCCTCAGCCTTCCTGGTAACTAGGACTGTAGGGGCACACCATCACGCCTAGCTAATTTCTTATTTTTATTTTGTGTAGGCATGGGGTTTCTCTCTGTTACCAAAGCTGGTGTCGAACTCCTGGGCTCAAGCAATCCCCCCACCTCCACAAAGTACTGGGATTACAGGCACGAGCCACCACACCCAGCCCATTTGTCTTGCTGTGCCTGACTTATTTCACTTAACATAATGGTCTCCAAGCTCACCCGTGTTCCTGCAAATGACAGAATTTCACTCTTCCAAAGATAATTTTTTTTTTTTTTTGAGATGGAGTCTTGCTCTGTCACCCAGGCTGGACTGCAGTGGCACAGTCTCAGCTCACTGCACCCTCCACCTCCCAGGTTCAAGCGATTCTCCTGCCTCAGCCTCCTGAGTAGCTGGGATTACAGACCTGCACCACCACCCCCCGCTACTTTTTGTATTTTGTAGAGACGGGGTTTCACCATGTGGCCAGGCTGGTCTGAACCCCTGATCTCAAGCAATCCACCTGCCTCGCCCTCCCAAAGTACCAGGATTACAGATGTGAGCCACCATGTCCGGCCCCAGAGAGAATTTTTAAATCACATGGGTTGTGGGATCATGTGCCTTGGAGAGAGAAAAACCGTTAGGAAAAAAGAGTAGAAAACCAACCAAGCAAACAAACAAAAAATAGCAGGAAGACAAAGGGCGTGCAGTGTGCTTTCAGTGAGGATTTACACAGGACAGAAACGGTAGGAATGGCTGTGTGGCTTTGAAATGAAAAGTAGGTTAATAGAGCTGATCAATGCACGGCGAGTCTGGATGCAGGATGCCATGAAGGATGGCTGTTTTAATGATGAGAGAGGCTGGGAGAAGGGCCGATAGGAAAACCCAGCTTTCGGGCCCAGACACTGGAGCAGCCTCCACGCTGCCATGGTCTGGAGAAAGCTATGGCAGGGTCAAGGTCTTTGACCCGTGTGCTCATCATCGGTGCCTCTGTTGGGAAGGTGGCTGCGTACTGCCAGGATAGTAGCAGGTGAGTGGCAGGCTCTGGGGTCTGCAGACCTGATTAGAAGGAGGACAGGGCAGGCCTGCTGGCTGTGCCATGACAAGGCAAATTTATAACTCTCTGACCACAAAGGAGAGTCCCACGGGGCTGAAGCCTGCGAGGGCTGAGGAGTTCATGAGATTCCCATTCAGCCAGCCCCATGGAGGGGAAGGAGGGGATGAGGGAGGCAGGGAGTGTCCTTGGCTTTTCCTCTTTTTCTTTGGGGCTGAGACTCAGCCTTCCTGGGAGGGGCTGGGAGCTGGCATTTACATTCACGGGTCTGGTCTATTTAAAAGGACAGACTTACTGTATTGACCTCAAAATTAAACCCTTGAACTTGCAGGTTCTCCACAGTTTCTTTCTTAGGGTGGGAATGGAGTTGGGTTAGAGGCATCTTTGAGAAGCTGTATTAGTTTGCTCAGGCTGCTATAACAAAATACCACAGACCAGGTGGCTTAAACAACAGAAATTTATTTTCTCATAGCTCTGGAGGCTGGAAGTCCAAGATCAAGATGTTGGCAGGGGTGGTTTCTCCTGAAGCCTCTCTCCTTGGCTTGCAGATGGCCACCTTCTTGCTGGGTTCTCACATGGTCTTTCCTCTGTGCACACACACCCCTGGTGTCTCTATCTGAATATCTTAATATCCCCTTCTTCTTTTTTTTTTTTTTTTTTTTTGTGTGTGTGTGATAGAGTCTCACTCTGCCACCCAGGCTGGAGTGCAGAGTGGTGCAATGGCACAATCTCAGCTCACTGCAACCTCCGCCTCCCAGGTTCAAGCAATTCTCCTGCCTCAGCCTCCCGAGTAGTTGGGATTACAGACTTGCACCACCACCTGCCTCTAATTTTTGTATTTTTAGTAGAGACGAGGTTTCACCATCTTGGCCAGGCTGGTCTCAAACTCCTGAGCTCAAGTGATCCGCCCACCTCGGCCTCCCAAAGTGCTGGGATTACAGGCATGAGCACCGTGTCCACCCATGCCTCCGTCTCAAAAAATATATATATATATTATATAATATAATATATATTATATAATATATATCATACATATATATATTATATATTACATTATATATTATATTATATTATATTATATATAATTGAGCCTGGAAGGTGGAGGCTGCAGTGAGCCATGATATATCATATATATATATACACACATATATATATACACATATATATATATACACATATATATACACGTGTATATATATATACACATATATATACACGTGTATATATATATACACATATATATACACATATATATACACATATATATATGTGTATATATATACATATATATACACACATAAAAGTAAAAGACTTTGTATGCATTGAATCATATTTTGTACATGCTTTCGTGTGTTACTCCTTGGTCTAATCGTTATGTTCATACATGTTGAACATGAGATTCATACATGTTGAATGAAGAAGCAGCTTCTTCTTTCTTGTTCCATTGTAAGAATATGCTACAATGGCCAGGTGCAGTGGCTCACGCCTGTCATCCCAACACTTTGGGAGGCCCAGGTGGGCAGATCCACCTGAGGTCAGGAGTTTGAGACCAGCCTGGCCAACATGGCGAAACCCTGTCTCTACTAAAAATACAAAAAATTAGACGGGGCCGGGTGCCGTGGCTCATGCCTGTAATCCCAGCACTTTGGGAGGCCAAAGAGGGTGGATCACGAGATCAGGAAATCAAGACCATCCTGGCTAAGACCCTGTCTCTGCTAAAAATACAAAAAATTAGCCAGGCATGGTTGCGGGCACCTGTATTCCCAGCTACTCAGGAGGCTGAGGCAGGAGAATGGCGTGAACCCAGGAGGCAGCGCTTGCAGTGAGCAAAGATCATGCCATTTGCACTCTAGCCTGGGCTACAAGAGTGAGACTCCGTCTCAAAAAAAAAAAAAAAAATAGCTGGGTGTGGTGGCACACACCTGTAGTCCCAGCTACTCGGTAGGCTGAGGTGGGAGAATCACTTGAATCCAGGAGGCAGAGGTTGCAGTGAGCCGAGATTGCGCCACCGCACTCCAGCCTGGGTGACAGAGTGAGACTCTGTCTCAAAAAAAAGAAAAAGAAAAAAAAGAATATGCCACAGTGCATTTGTTCATTTCTCCTGCTGGTGGACACTTGGGTCCTTCCAGCACCACTGTGAACATTGTGATGAACGTTCCTGCACACACACACCTCTCTAGAACAGTCACCAGGAGTGGAGCTGCTGGGTCATGGGGTGTGGGTGAGTCCATTGCTGGTGCTGGGGTTTCCTTGGTGTTTGTACAACTTCCATTCCCGCCAGCACATATGAGAGAATTCTTTGTTTGAAATCTCTGCCAACACTAAGTATTGATGACGCTCATCTTTTCGCAAGTGTAATGATTTTCGCAAGTGTAATGATCTGATATCATGTCACTCTCCCAATTTAAGCCCTACTTTTTTTTTTTTTTTTTTTTTTTTGGAAACAGAGTCTCACTCTGTCACCCAGGCTAGAGTACAGTGGCATAATCTCGGCTCACTGCAACCTCCACCTCCCGGGTTCGAGTGATTCTCTGATCTCAGCCTCCCAAGTATCTGGGACTATTGGTGCACGCCACCACGGTTGTCTAATTTTTTGTATTTTTGGTAGAGACGATGTTTCACCCTGTTGTCCAGGATGGTCTTGAACTCCCAAGCTCAAACAATCTGCCCACCTCGGCCTCCCAGAGTGCTGAGGTTACAGGCTGGAGCCACCCAGCCCAGCCTAGATTTTTACCTTGATGAAAATCCTGATTTGGGAATAGAGTCAGCTCCACAGCGGGTCATCTGATTTTTTTTTTTTTTTTTGAGACGGAGTCTCGCTCTGTCACCCAGGCTGGAGTGCACTGGGCTCACTGCAACCTCCACCTCCCGGGTTCAAGCGATTCCCCCGCCTCAGCCTCCCGAGTAGCTGGGATTACAGGCACCCACCACCACGCACGACTGATTTCTGTATTTTTGTAGAGATGGGGTTTCACCATGTTGAGCAAGCTGGTCTTGAACTCCTGACCTCAGATGAATCACCCGCCTCGGCCTCCTAAAGTGCTGGGATTACAGGCATGAGCCACCACACCCAGACTGTTCTTTTCTCTTACGTTTGGTCACCTGATGCCTCTGAACTCCCTCTTCCACTCTCTCTACATCCTGATGCACAATTTATTTGAAAAGGAGGAAACATTTTCTGTCCCAAGTCCCTTTTTACTCCTTTCTTTCCCAACAAAACCTGTACAGAATCCTCACACTACTGTGTTCTATAGAGGAGCGGAGAGGGAGACCAGTTCTCCACTCCCCTGGCCCTGCTGACACCTGGAGGGTGCCAGGCATGTTCATGGAAACAGCAGCATTGCAGCCTTCCTTCCTTCCCCACAGCTGTATCCGTGTGAGTCTGGACAACAAGGACTTGTCAACACGAATCTCTCTCTTCTCCTGGTGTAAGACAAAACAAAAACAAAAGACGTTGGAGTAGAGATCAGAAAAGGGTGGGTTTGAGATGTTTGGGAGGGTTGAGTGGGCATTTTGACAACTTAGCTTCTCCTTGGGTGGTATTTAGCAGACGCCCTTGTGGTTTAAACTGTAGCTTTAGATATAAAATCCACTCTTGGCCGGGTGCGGTGGCTCACGCCTGTAATCTCAGCACTCTGGGAGGCTGAGGCAGTCAGATCACAAGATCAAGATCAGCAGATTGAGACCATCCTGGCTAACACGGTGAAACCCCGTCTCTACTAAAATAATAAAAAAAAATTAGCTGGGCATAGTGGTGGGCGCCTGTAGTCCCAGCTACTGGGGAGGCTGAGGCAGAAGAATGGCATGAACCCAGGAGGCGGAGCTTGCAGTGAGCCAAGGTCGTGCCACTGCACTCCAGCCTGGGCGACAGAGCGAGACTCCGTCTCAAAAAAAAAAAAAAGAAAATCCACTTCTAATGCTACCTGGGGCCCTGCTGCTTGATGGAGAAACTGAAGAACATAAAGGATCTTGTTTGAGGGTTTTTGTTGTTGTTGTTGTTGTATATTTGTTTGTTTTGAGGCAGGGTTTTGCCCTTTCACCCAGGCTGGAGTGTGGTGGCACAATCACAGCTCACTGCAGTCTCGAACTCCTGGGCTCAGATGATCCTCCTGCCTCAGCCTCCCAAGTAGCTGGGACCACAGGCGTGCACTGCCATGCCTGGCTAAATTTTGTATTTTTTTTAGGGACAAGTTTTGCCATGTTGCCCAGGCTGGTCTTAAACTCCTAGGCTCAATCTAGCCTCCCACCTCAGCCTCCCAAAGTGCTGGAATTATAGGCATGACCCACTACACACTACACCTAGTTTTTGTTATTTATTTATTTTTTAGAGGCAGAGTCTCACTCTGTTGCTCGGCCAGGCTGGAGTTGAGTGGTGCCATCATAGCTCACTGCAGTCTTAAACTCCTGGGCTCAAATGATCCTCCAGTCTCAGCCTCCCAAGTAGCTGGAACCATAGGTGCACATCACAATGCCAGGCTAAATTTTGAAATTTTTTGTAGAGATGGGGTCTCTGATACTGCCCAGGCTGGTTTCAAGCTCCTGGGCTCACATGATCCTCCTGCTTCAGCCTTCCAAGTAGCTGGGACCACAGGCATGTACCTGGTCCAAGCCTGGCTTCTATATTTTTGTAGAGTTGGGGGATCTTGCTCCATTGCCCAGGCTGATCTCAAGCTCCTGGGCTCAAGTGTTCCTCCTGCTTCAGCCTCCCAAAGTGCTGCAATTACAGGCATGAGCCACTGCACCCAGCCTCAGCCTAACAGATTTTTTTTTTTTTTTGAGATAGAGTCTCGCTGTGTTGCCCAGGCTGGAGTGCAGTGGTGCGATCTCGGCTCACTATAACCTCCACCTCCCAGGTTCAAGTGATTCTCGTGCCTCGGCCTCCCAAGTAGCTGAGAGTACAGGTGCATGCCACCATGCTCGACTAATTTTTGGGTTTTGTTGTTGTTGTTGTTTTTTAAGATTGAGTCTCGCTCTGTCGCCCAGGCTGGAGTGCAGTGGCACGATCTCAGCTCACTGCAAGCTCCGCCTCCCGGGTTCACGCCATTCTCCTGCCTCAGCCTCCCGAGTAGCTGGGACTACAGGCGCCTGCCACCACACCCGGCTAATTTTTGTATTTTTAGTAGAGATGGGGTTTCACCATGTTAGCCAAGATGGTCTCAATCTCCTGACCTCATGATCCGCCCGCCTTGGCCTCCCAAAGTGCTGGGATTACAGGTGTGAGCCACCGCGCCTGGCCTAATTTTTGTATTTTTAATAGAGACGGCATTTCGCCGTGTTGGCCAGGCTGGTCTTGAACTCCTGACCTCATGTGATCTGCCCGCCTCAGCCTCCCAAAGTGCTGGGATTACAGGCGTGAGCCACCGCGCCTGGCCAGATCTTATTTGGAAATGGTATTCTGCATTGTAATTTTTGTTCTGTTTTACTTTTACATTTTCTTTTTACTACATATCTAGGATTTGCTTTAAAACATCCCAGCCAAGAAAAAGAGGGGAAGGGGAGGATAGTTTGGAGCACATTGGCAAAATCCTGATTGCTATTTAAGCTGGGCAGTGGGTCCACAGGGGTTCACTGTACTCTTCTGTCTACTTTTGTAAATGTTTAAAAATGTTTGTTGTAAAAAGTTCCTTGGTTTTCCTTATGTTTCTCTGGAGAGGAAAAAAGATGTTCAGTTTTATATCTTAAAATGTACAAGCTACCTTGTTAGAATAAAACTAAATGTTTATGCTGCTGGGCACCAGGGCTCATGCCTGTAATACCAGAACTTTGGGAGGCCAAGATGGTGGATCACCTGAGGTCAGGAGCTTGAGACCAACCTGGCCAGCATGATGAAACCCTGTCTCTACTAAAAATAAAAAAATTAGTCGGGAGTGGTGGTGCACTCCTGTAATCCCAGCTACTCAGGAGGCTGAGGCAGGAAGATCACTTTAATCCTGGAGGAGAAGGTTGCAGTGAGCTGAAATCTCACCACTGCACTCCAGCCTGAGCGACACAGCAAGACTCTCTCTCAAAAAAAAAACAAAAAACAAACAAACAAAAAAAACCCAGGACTAGTTCATCAAGAAGCAAAATAATATGACAAACCCTACTTAAATGATTTCATCTGGTTTCAACCACTGCCAGCTGGTTTGATCCAGTTTCAGCTGGTTTCAAATGACTTCATCCAGTTTCAGCCAGGTTAATTCAGCTTCAGCTGGTTGTGAACAGTTTGTGGCTCCTTTCAACCAGTTTCAGGTGGTTTCAGCCAAGGTCATCCAATGTTGGCTGGCTCCAACTGATTTAACTCCTGTTTCAACTGGATTCAGCTGATTTCCACTCTCCTTAAGGCTGTGCTGTCCAATTCAGTAGCTCCTAGCTACATGCAGCTCTTTACATTTAAATTGATTAAAATTAAAGGAAGGCCAAGTTCGCTGGCTCACCCTGTAATCCCAGCACTTTGGGAGGCCGAGGTGGGAGGATCACTTGAGGTCAGGAGTTCAAGACCAGGCTGGCCAACATGGTGAAACCTTGTCTCTACTAAAAATACAAAAAACATTAGCCAGGCATGGTGGTGGGTGCCTATAGTCCCAACTATTCAGGAGGCTGAGTCAGGAGAATCATTTGAACCTGGGAGGTGGAGGTTGCAGTGAGCCGAGATCACGCCACTGCACTGGCAGCCTGGGCAACAGCAAGACTCTGTCTCAAACAAATAGATAAAATGAAATCAAAATTTCATTTCTAGTGTTACAGGCAGAATGTTTGTGGACTCTCCAAAATTCATATGTCAAACTCCTAACTCCCAATGTGATGGTATTTGGAGGCAAGAAGTTTGGGAGGTGATCACGTTGAGATGAGGTTATAAGGGTGGAATTCACTTGATGGGATTAGCAGCCTTTCGAGAAGAGTCATCACAGAGCTTGCTTCCTCTCTCCCTGTCTTGGTCCATTCTGGCACTGCTATAAAGAAAAACCTGAGACTGGGTAATTTATAAAGAAAAGAGGGGTGTTTTGTTTTGTTCTTGGAGATGGAGTTTCACTGTCGTCACCCAGGCAAGAGTGCAATGGCACGATCTTGGCTCACTGCCACCTCCACCTCCTGGGTTCAAGCCATTCTCCTGCCTCAGCCTCCTGAGTAGCTGGATTACAGGCATCTGCCACCACGTCCAGCAAATTTTTGTATTTTTAGTAGAGACGGGGGTTTCACCATGTTGCCCAGGCTGGTCTCGAACTCATGACCTCAGGTGATCCACCCACCTTGGCCTCCCAAAATGCTGGGATTACAGGTGTGAGCCACCACACCCAGCCAAGAAAAGAGTTTTAATTGGCTCACGTTCCACAGGCTGTACAGGACTCATGATTCTGACATCTGCTTAGCTTCTGGGGAGGTCTCAGGAAACTTACAATCATGGTGGAAGGTAAAGGGGAAGCATGCACATCTCACATGGTCAGAGCAAGAGGATGAGAGAGAGGTGGGGAGGTGCTACTCACTTTTAAACAAGCAGAGCTCATGATAACCTACCATGAAAACAGCATGGAGGGGATGGTGCCAGCCCATTCATGAGAAATCCACCCCATGATTTAATCACCTCCTACCAGGCCCCACCTCCAACACTGGGGATTACAATTTGACATGAAACCTCTTTTTTTTTCTTTTTTTGTTTTTTTTTGAGACACAGTTTCACTCTGTCACCCAGGCTGGAGTGTAGTGGCGCCATCTGGGCTCACTGCAACTTCTGCCTCCCAGGTTCAAGCGATTCTCCTGCCTCAGCCTCCTAAGTAACTGGGATTACAGGCGCCCACCACTACACGCGGCTAATTTTGTATTTTTAGTGGAGACAGGGTTTCACCATGTGGTCCAGGCTAATCTCAAAGTCCTGGCCTCAGGTGATCCGCCCACCTCGGCCTCCCAAAGTGCTGGGATTACAGGTGTGAGCCACTGCACCTGGTCTCGACATGAGATTTAAGCGGGGGACACAGAGCCAAACTATATCACTCCCCATCATGTGAGGATACAGGGAGAAGACAGCCATCCACAAACCAGGAAGTGGGCCCTCACCAGACACCAATCTGCTGGTTCCTCAATCTTGGAATTGTGAGAGAGAAATGTGTGTTGTTAAGCCACCCAGCCTATGGTTTTCTGTAACAGAAGCCCAAATAGACTAAGATACTCAGTCACGCTGCTCACAATTCCAGTGCCCACAAGGGCCAGGACCACGTGTGTTCAAGTGGCCAGCATATTGGATGGTGCATTCATAGAACATTTCCATCACCACAGATGGTCCTTCTGGGCAGCTCTGCTCTCGGGAGGAGTTCAGATGTAGAGATCATGGCAGCAAAAGTCTCTCAGAGTCAGGTGAGAGGCAGAAAGATAAGTCTGTTATTGGCTGGGCGCGGTGGCTCACACCTATAATCCCAGCACTCTGGGAGGCCAAGGCATGCAGATCACAAGGTCAGGAGATCGAGACCATCCTGGCTGACACGGTGAAACCCTGTCTCTACTAAAAATACAAAAAATTAGCTGGACGTGTTGGCAGCTGCCTGTAGTCCCAGCTATTCAGGAGGCTGAGGCAGGAGAATGGCGTGATCCCAGGAGGCGGAGCTTGCAGTGAGCCAAGATCGTGTCTCTGCACTCCAGCCTGGGCAACGGGAGATTCTGTCCCCCACCCCCCCAAAAAAGGACGTCTGTTGTTAACACCAGGAATGATCATTGTCACTTTTTTTTTTTTTTGAGACAGAGTTTCACTGTTGTTGCCCAGGCTGGAGTGCAATGGCTCACTGCAACCTCCACCTCCTGGGTTCAAGTTGTTCTCCTGCCTCAGCTTCCTGAGTAGCTACAGGTGCCCACAACCACACCCAGCTAATTTTTGTATTTTTAGTAGAGATGGGGTTTCACCATGTTGGCCAGGCTGGTCTGGAACTCCTGACCTCAGGTGATCTGCCCACCTCAGCCTCCCAAAGTGCTGGGATTACAGGCGTGAGCCACCGTGCCCAGCCCATTGTCACTTTTTACTGAGCACCTGCTATCTACCAGGGAGTGTCAAATGCGTAAAAATGCTATCAGTATGCCTTCCAACAACTCTATAGAGTGGGCATTATCACCCATATTAACAGGGAAGGAAAATGAGGGTTTTTTCCTTTTTTGTTTGTTTGTTTGGTTTTGGTTTTGGTTACTGAGACAGGGTCATACTCTGTCTCCCAGGCTGGAGTACAGTGGCACCCCTCATAGCTCACTGCAGCCTCAACCTCCCAGGCTCAAGTAATCCCCCCAAGTAGCTGGGACTACAGGCATGCACCACCATGCCTGGCTTTTTTTTTTTTTTTTAGAGGTGGGGTCTCACTATGTTGCCCAGGCTGGTCTCAAACTCCTGTTCTCAAGCGATCCTCCTGCCTCAGCCTACCAAAGTGCTGAGGTTACAGGCGTGAGCCACTGCACCTGGCTAGGAAACTGAGTTTTTTCAGTGGTAGAGGCTCCTAGCCAGTGGCCAAGGGAAAGAGAGAGTTCTGGGTTCAGGGGCTGGCAGGAAGTCAGCAAGACACCAGGGACTCGGCTCCACTGGCTGGATCTCAGGGAAGAGCAACTGCCACAGTGGGGACCTGGAACACAAAGGGAAACTGAGGCAGCAGCTGCACCACAGGGTTGGCAGTACCTGATAAGGGAAGAGGATGACTTCCATAAGTAGGCCCACAGGTGCCCACGGCTCCCCATACCCACTGGGTGCCAGGTCTAAAACCATGAGACCAGTACCAGCACCAACCACTCAAGGAGCTGAGACGGCTGACCCACTCTCTGCCCTGGCTAGGACTGGCCCCAGCACCCCCAGTGGGGAGGCCGCAATGATCCCAGCTGCCAAGGGCCCAGGAACACTAGCAACAGAAGAATGGCCAAAGTGACAGGGAACCCTTGAGACCCTAGAGCAGCAATGCCTGGGCCAGGCCTGATCCTTCCCACCAGCCCCCAGCCATTCCTGGCCTTCTGCCATGCTTCCTGGTTGGTCTGCAAAGTGCCTGGGGCAAATACCTTCTGGGAGAAGAGTAGAGAGGGTACCCAGGCTCCATGGGCCTCAGGATTCCTGAAGTGGGAGGCTCCTCTCTGATGATAGGGTCTCCCTGCTCTGAACAGAAATTCCCTAGCCTCAGGGACATGTTGAATCTTGTCACCCAGAGGAACCAAGTGGCTGGGTGGTAGCCCAGTGCAGTGGCTCACGCCTGTAACCTCAACACTTTGGGAGGCCAAGACAGGCGGATCACGAGGTCAAGAGATTGAGACCATCCTGGCTAACATGGTAAAACCCCATCTCTACTAAAAATACAAAAATTAGCTGGGTGCGGTGGTGGGCACCTGTAATCCCAGCTACTCGGGAGGCTGAGGCAGGAGAATCGCTTGAACCTGGGAGGCAGAGGTTGCAGTGAGCTGAGATAGTGCCACTGCACTTCAGCCCGGGCAACAGAGTGAGACTCCATCTGAAAAAAAAAAAAAAAAAAAAAAAAAAAAAAAAGAGGCTGGGCAGCAAAATAAAATGGTTCCCCAGTTCAGCCTTCGGAGGTACCAACCGTCTGTTAGCAGAGCTCTAAGACCAACTGGGTTCCCACTCCAGGAATATTCCCCTCCCCACAGGGGCTGGGGAGATGGAGTCCGGGGCTGTGCTGCCCTCTGGAGCAGCCCCCTTGGACTGGCCCTCACTGTTCTCCGGGGCCCTGGGAAGCCATGCAGAGAGGCAGAGGTCCTTTAGAGGCTGCTGTCAAGGGACTGCAAATCTGCTTGAGGTGTGACATATCTGTTTTTAGAACAAGAACATCACACCAGCAGGAGCCGGTGGCCAGAGCTGGAGGGAAGGGGGGGATCCAGGTCCAATTCCCATGTATCTAGGGCACATGTGCACAGCACTGAGGGCCACTCCAGCCCCTCCCCAGCTCTCAGAGGACCCTGCTCCCACCCGCCTTTTGCTCTGCTATCAGGCAGATGGCATTGTCTCTGCTTTGCAACTGATGAAATAGGAACTCTGACTTCTGGGCTAGGCTGAGAGGGTGCTTGATGCTGCCATTCCGGGCCCAGGTGAGACATTCGGTCATGAGCATCTGTAGTCCTTGCCTGAGTCTCTGAGCCTGCCAGGGCAGAGCAGAAGCAAATGCATGAAGGCCCCTCCCCCAGGGGCTGCTCTTAGCCAGTGACTGATGAAAATGGGTGTATAAACAGCTTAGCCACATGACCCCACACAGGTGGGACAACCATGGGTTTCCACATTCTGTACTGCCTCCCAGAGGTCCCCACCAGGTTTAAGCTCAATTGCCCACACTGGTAACTGGTAACTTCCTTGATAACACTCACTTCTTTTTTCATTCTTTTGGTGTTTTTTTAGATGGAGTTTTGCTCTTGTCACCCAAGCTGGAGTGCAGTGGTGCGATCTCAGCTCACTGCAACCTCTGCCTCCCAGGTTCAAGGATTCTCCTGCCTCAGCCTCCTGAGTAGCTGGGATTACAGGCATGTGCCACCACACCCGGCTAATTTTATATTTTTAGTAGAGAGTGGGTTTCCCCATGTTGGCCAGGCTGGTCTTGAACTCCTGACATCAAGTGATCCGCCCACCTCAGCTTCCCAAAGTGCTGGGATTACAGGCATGAGCCACCGCGCCTGGCTGTTTCCTTTCTCTCTCTCTCTCTCTCTCTCTCTCTCTCTCTGGCTGGAGTGCAATGGTGTGATCTGGGCTTACTACAACCTCTTCCTGAAGAGTCCCTGTGCTGGGACTACAGGTGCACACCACGTCCAGCTAATTTTTGTGGGGTTTTTTTTTTTGTAGAGATAGGGTTTCGCCATGTTGCCCAGGCTGGTCTCAAGCAGTCCTCCTAGGTTCAAGCAATCTTCCAGCCTCAGCCTCCCAAAGTTCTGGGCTTACAGACCTGAGCCATTGTGCCCGACTAACACCCCTTTCTTGGCAGCCTTCCTGTCCATATCTGGCCTCTCTACTCCCCTACCTGGGTTTCTGGGATGACTTGCACTTAAGACCTTGAAGGGAACTTTAAGCAGAAGGATAGAGGAGAAAACTCAGAAATGGTGTGGGACCAGCAGCTTCCCCAGTGTCTGGTCTGGAGTGGAGGTGGTCCAGGGATCTGGGGAGCCTGGCTCAAGCAGGATAGAGGTGACATCCAGGCTGGCCATCAGGGGGTACAGTTCAGCACCAGAGTCTCCAGGTCTGCTCACACTTGGACTGGGGCAGGATTCTCTTCTGGGTAGCCTGTTTAGATTACAGTAGGACCTGAAGACATGAAATTGGTGTCCAGCCCTGGGAGAGGGGTCTGGCCAGGCTTGCACAGCTGGGTCCAGGCTCAGGACTGAGGTAGAAGCATAGTGTTCATCACAGCTGGAGCAAAAGTCCAGAAGAATGGACTTAACACTCCCAGTGGGTCAGAGGAGAGGCTAGCACGGGGTAGAGAGAAGATTCTGCAGACAGAGGCCAGAAGATTTTGTAGGCTACAAGATTCTGTAGACAGAGGCTCACGCCTATAATCCCAGCACTTTGGGAGGCTGAGGCAGGTGGATCACTTGAGGCCAGGAGTTCAAGACCAGCCTGGCCAACATGGTGAAACCCTGTCTCTACTAAAAATACAAAAATTAACCAGATGTGGTGGCGCGTGCCTGTAATCCCAGCTACTCAGGAGGCTGAATCAGGAGGATCACTTGAACCCAGGAGGCGGAGGTTGCAGTGAGTCGAGATCGCACCACTGCACTCCAGCCTGGGTAACAGAGCAAGACTCTGTCTAAATAAATAAATAAATAAATAAAATCATGCAGACCGCATCCCCAGGAGGCAGTCTGAAATGGCTCAGGAAAAAAAAAAAAAGCAGGTGAAATCTGTGCAGGGGGATCTCACCTGAACAAGGATCAGAAAGACAAGGGCTTGTGCCCAAACCTACCCACCCTCCTAGTGGCAGCTGGACCCTGGACCCCTTACCACCACCAGCCTGCCCCATGCTATCCATCACCAGCCAGCTCATGTCCTAAACATCTCTGCATCCCTCCTCTCTCTCCATCCACGCTGCTGCCTCACTGGTCCTGGCCACCACGGCTCTCTCAGCTAGGCTGCAGTCACTTCCAGGCTGGATTCCCCACCCCTGCCCTTGACCTTCTCCTGTCCTCTACTCCACAAGGCAGCCAGAAGAATCTGCCAATGTGTCAAGTCTTCTCTTGGGCTAGAGCCTTCTGGTGGCTTCCAATCTGCACCCATCCCAGCCCTTTGTGTCAGGCACCATCTCATCTTCATAAATCCTGTTTCTATTGCCTGGAGGACTCCCCCAGCCCTATCTTCCCCTGTTCCTAAATGACATTTTGCCACCCTTCAGATCTCAGTGTCACTTTTGAGAGAAACCTTAGCCAGGCATGGTAGCATGCACCTGTAGTCCCGGCTGCTCTGAAGACTGAGGAGAAATGATCTCTTGAAGTCAGGAGTTGGGGGTTGCAGTGAGCTAGGATTGCACCACTGCACTCCAGCCTGGACAACAGAGCAAGATCCTGTCTCTAGGCCAGGTGCAGTGGCTCACACCTGTAATCCCAGCACTTTGGGAGGCTAAGGCAGGCAGATCACCTGAGGTCAGAAGTTCGAGACCAGCCTGGCCAACATTGTGAAACCCCATCTCTACTAAAAATACAAAAATTAGCCGGGTGTGGTGGCATGCACCTGTAATCCCAGCTACTTGGGAGGCTGAGGCAGGAGAATTGCTTGAACCTGGGAGGCAGAGATTGCAGTGAGCCAAGATCACACCACTGCACTGCAGCATAGACAATGAAGCAAGAAAAAAAAGAAAAGACCTTGTCTCTAAAAAGAGAGAGAGAGAAACCCTGCATGGACCTCCATTCAGATGGCCGTTCTGTTACTAGAAGGGTCCAGACCAACACAAGAGCACTAGGAACCAAAGATGAAATTCACAAAAGAGCAATTATGAGAAATGGGAGAAAGATGGAGGGATTGCAACATAGGGCTAATGGAAGTTTTAGAAAAACAGCAGAAAATCACAGAGAAGCAACATATGATGGACAATCAATGAGAATTTTCAAAAACTAGTCTGGGCATGTTGACTCATGCCTATAGCCCCAGCACTTTGGGAGGCCGAAGCAAGTGGATCAACTGAGGTCAGGAGTTCCAGACCAGCCTGGCCAATATGGTGAAACCTCGTCTCTACTAAAAATACAAAAACTAGCCTGGCGTGGTGGCATGCACCTGTAGTCCCACCTACGCAGGAGGCTAAGGCAGGAGAATCCCTTGAACCCGGGAGGCAGAGGTTGCAGTGAGCCAATATCGTGCCACTGCACTCCAGCCTGGGTGACAGAGCAAGACTCCATCTCAAAAAAAAAAAAAAAAAAGGAAAAGAAAGAAAAAAGAACTAAAAAGACATAAGTCCTCAAATCAAAAACACTCCAAGAACAAACAGCATAAATTAATATGTCTATATAGGGTTTTATCATTATTAAACCACTTAAAATCAAGGATAAAGAGGAATTTTTTTTTTCTTTTTTTGAGATAGGGTCTCACTCTGTCACCCAGGCTGGAGTGTAGTGGTGCAATCACAGCTCACTGTAGCCTCAAACTCCTGGGCTCAAGCAATTCTCCCACCTCAGACTCCCAAGTAACTGGGACCACAAGCCTGCAAGCAGGCACCACCATGCCTAGCTAATATTTGTATTTTAAAGTGCCCATTTAGTTATTTATTTGTTTGTTTATTCAATAAACTTTTTTTTTTTTTAGATGGATTCTTGCTCTGTCACCCAGGCTGGAGTGCAATGCCTCGATGTCTGCTGACTGCAACCTCCACCTCCCAGGTTCAAGTAATTCTCCTGCCTCAGCCTCCTGAGTAGCTGGGATTACAGGCATGAGCCACCACACCCAGCTACTTTTTGTATTTTTAGTAGAGACGGAGTTTCGCCATGTTGGCCAGGCTGGTCTCGAACTCCTGACCTCATGTGATTCACCTGTCTCAGCCTCCCAAAGTGCTGGGATTACAGGCATGAGCCACTGCACCCGGCCTATTCAATAAACATGTATTCAGTCTGTACCTACTGTTCTAGGGACTGTGGACAGAGCACTGAGCAAGATAGGAAAAAACCAGCACGTACTCTGGGTGAGTGTCAGCAGAGCCGGTCTCAGGGGGCATGAGCCATGCAATTACACACTCGGTTTCATGCTGTACGGTGGCCATTTTGAAATCCTTAATAATTTTTCAACAAGAGCCCTCAAGTTTCATTTTGGAACGGGCCCTGCAAATTACGTAGCCGGTCCTGTGTGTCAGGCCAAACTAGCAGATAAGGAAATGAGGCACAGAGAGGGAAACAACTCCACCAAGGTTCACACAGGATGCAAGCCACACAGCTGGGATTGAAACCCAGGTTAGACTGGGTGCAGTGGCTCATGCCTGTAATCCCAGTACTTTGGGAGGCCAAGGCGGATGGATCATCTAAAGTCAGGAGTTCAAGACCAGCCTGACCAACATGGTAAAACTCCATCTCTACTAAAAATACAAAAATTAGCTGGGCGCGGTGGCTCACGCCTGTAATCCCAGCACTTTGGGAGGCCGAGGCGGGTGGATCATGAGGTCAGGAGATTGAGACCATCCTGGCTAACATGGTGAAACCCCATCTCTACTAAAAATACAAAAAATTAGCCGGGCGTGGTGGCAGGCGCCTGTAGTCCAAGCTCCAAGCTACTCGGGAGGCTGAGGCAGGAGAATTGCTTGAACCTGGGAGGCAGAGGTTGCAGTGAGCTGAGATCGTGCCACTGCACTCCAGCCTGGGCAACAGAGTGAGACTCCAAAAAAAAAAAAAACAGGAAAGAAAGAGAGAGAGAGAGAGAGAGAAAGAAAGAGAAAGAAAGAAGAAAGAAAGAAAGAGAGAGAGAGAGAAAGAAAGAAAGGGGAGGGGAGGGGGAAGGGAAGGGGAAGGGGGGGAAGGGAAGGGGGAGGGGAGGGGGAGGGGAAGGGGAGGGGAGGGTAAGGGGAAGGGGAGGAGAAGGGGAGGGGAAGGGGAGGGGAAGGGAAGGGGAAGGGAAGGGGAAGGGAAGGGGAAGGGAAGGGGAAGGGGAAGGGAAGGGACCCAGGCTAACAGACTCCAGATACCAGCAGCAGCCCTTGAGCCATGTTGCCTAATTGTCCCCAAGCAGAAAACTTCCCAGGTCTTCGGAGGCAGCAAAAGCTTTCCTGGCACAGAGCTAGAAAAGAAGATTCTCATGGTGTCCCATGTGGCAGGAACTACAGGAGCTGGGGTGGGTAATCCATTTAGGCCACTTGACAAACACCTATTTGTAGGTCAACTCTGAGAATAGAAAGATGAAAAAGGAGTGGCCTCTGCCATCCTGGAGCTAAGCAACTGGTATAAGGGAAGTGACAGCCCCCATGGAATCGGACCATTTCAACTTCATGCCACGAATGACAGGTCAGGGCTTCTGGGCATGATCATAGGAATGACCACAGCTAACATTGACCATGGGCCTAATTTGTGTGCTGTTTGCTTTTTTTTTTTTTGAGACGGAGTCTCACTCAAGTCGCCAGGCTGGATGGAGTGCAGTGGTGCGATCTCGGCTCACTGCAGCCTCCGCCTCCCAGGTTCAAGCAATTCTCCTGCCTCCCAGGTTCAAGCAATTCTCCTGCCTCAGCCTCCCGAGTAGCTGGGATTACAGGTGCCCTCCACCACGCCTGGCTAATTTTTGTATTTTTAGTAGAGACGGGGTTTCACCATGTTGGCCAGGATGGTCTCAATCTCTTGACCTCGTGATCCGCCCACCTCGCCCTCCCAAAGTGCTGAGATTACAGGCGCGAGCCACTGTGCCCGGCCATGCTGTGCACTTTTTAGCATTTTCTTCAGTTTTTGTTGCAACCTATGAGTCAGGAACTCTTATTATGCTGTTTTACCTAGGAGGAAAAGAGCATTCACAGAGATTAAACGGTGTGTTCAGGCCGGGTGTGGTGGTAATCACATCCATGACCGTAATCCCAGCACTTTGGGAGGCCAAAGCAGGAGGATTGTTTGAGTCCAGGAATTCAAGACCAGCCTGGGCAACTTAGTAAAACCTCCATCTCTTTTTTAAAAAAAAGATAATAAAATACTTTAGGAGGCCAAGGCAGGCAGATCACTTGAGGTCAGGAGTTCGAGATCAGCCTGGCCAACATGGTGAAACCCCGTCTCTACTATAAATACAAAAATTAGCTGGGTGTGGTGGCATGCGCCTGTAGTCCCAGCTACTCAGGAGGCTGAGGCAGGAGAATTGCTTGAACCTGGGAGGCGGAGGTTGCAGTGAGCTGAGATCACGCCACTGCACTCCAGCCTGGGCGACAGAGTGAGACTCTGTCAAAAAATAATAAGAAAAATAATCATAAAATAAGATAAAAATATAAATAAAAAATAAACAACATGCCTAAAACCACACAGCTAGAAGAAGGCAGTGTCAGAACTCAGCTATGTCTGACATCAGAGACCACGATTTTTTTTTTTTTTTTGAAACGGAGTCCTGCTCTTGTCACCCAGGCCGGAGTGTAATGGGACGATCTCAGCTCACTGCAACCTCTGCCTCCCAGGTTCAAGCGATTCTCCTGCCTCAGCCTCCCAAGTAGCTGGGATTACAGGTTCCCGCCACCACACCTGGCTAATTTTTGTATTTTTAGTAGAGACAAGGTTTCACCATGTTGGCCAGGCTGGTCTCAAACTCCTGACCTCATGATCTGTTCGCCTCAGCCTCCCAAAGTGCTGAGATTACAGGCATGAGCCACCACCCCCCCGGCCTTTTTTTGTTTTTTTTTTTGTTGTTGTTTTTTGTGTTTTTTTTTCTTTTGAGGCAGAGTCTCGCTCTGTTGCCCAGGCTGGAGTGCAGTGGCACGATCTCGGCTCACTGCAAGCTCTGCCTCCTGGGTTCACGCCATTCTCCTGCCTCAGCCTCCAGAGTAGCTGGGACTACAGGCGCCCGCCACCACGCCCAGCTAATTTTTTGTATTTTTTAGTAGAGACGGGGTTTCACTGTGTTAGCCAGGATGGTCTCGATCTCCTGACCTTGTGATCTGCCCGCCTAGGCCTCCCAAACTGCTGGGATTACAGGCGTGAGCCACAGCGCCCGGCCTTTTTTTTTTTTTTTTTTTTGAGACAGTCTCTGTTGCCCAGGCTGTAGTGTAGTGGTACAATCTCCACTCACTGCAACCTCCACCACCTAGGTTCAAGTGATCAAGTGATTTGCCTGCCTCAGCCTCCCAAGTAGCTGGGATTACAAGCATAAACCACCACACCCAGCTAATTTTTGTATTTTTAGTAGAGGGGTTTTGCCATATTGGCCAGTCTGGTCTTGAACACCTGACTTCAAAGTGATCCGCCCGCTTGGCCTCCCAAAGTGCTGAGATTACAGGCATAAGCCACCATACCTGGCCAGAAACCATGATTTTAACGAGCATATGGCCCTGCCCCGAAGAACTGTGGACATACAGGTGAGAGGCAGGCACCCCACGCTGCTGGGAAAAATCACAGAAAGCTTCCCAGAGGAGGTGATGACAGAGGTGAAATAAATATGGATCTGTCAGCCTGTACAAGAGTCAGAGGCCATGAGAGAGTATGGAAGAAGGAGAGAGATCTCTCACTGGAAGGTAAAGTACTAGGCTGGGAATAGTGGCAGATGGGACCAGAGATGTAAGCAAAGACCACACCACAGTGAGCCTTGAATGCCAAGTACATCAGTTATGGGTCTTAGCTGCAAGCAACAGAATCTACTCTGGTCAGTCTACATAGCAAAGAAATGAATGAATGAATTTATTTATTTATTTATTGAGACGAATTCTTGCTCTATTGCCCAGGCTGGAGTGCAGTGGCACGATCTTGGCTCACCGCAACCTCCGCCTCCAGGGTACAAGCTATTCTCCCACCTCAGCCTCCCAAGTAGCTGAAATTACAGGCGTGTGCCACCACATCCAGCTAATTTTTGTATTTTTAGTAGAGATGGGGTTTCACCATATTGGCCAGGCTGGTCTCGAACTCCTGACCTCAAGTGATCCACCCGCCTTGGCCTCCCAAAGTGCTGGGATTACAGGTGTGAGCCACCTCGCCTAGCCACAAATTTATTTTTAATATGTCAAATAAACTGACCAGGTGTGGTGGCTCACACCGTCATCCCAGCTCTTCGGAAGCCAAGGCAGGAGGATCACTTGAGGCCAGGAGTTTGAGACCAGCCTGGGCAACATAGCAAGACTCCATTTCTACCACACACACACACACACACACACACACACACACACACACACACACAAAATTAGCCAGCGTGAGGCTTGAATGCCAACTGTATCAGTTATGGGTCTTAGTTGCAATCAACAGAATCCATTCTGGTCAGTTTACATAGCAGAGGAATTTATTTTTAAAATATCAAGTAAACTGGCCAAGTGTGGTGGCTCCTACCAGTAATCCCAGCACTTTGGGAGTCCGAGGCGGGCAGATCACCTGAGGTCAGATCACCTGCGGTCAGGAGTTCAAGACCAGCCTAGCCAACATGGTGAAACCCTGTCTGTATTAAAAATATGGGAGGCTGAGGAGGGAGGATCACTTGAGCCCAGGAGATTGAGGCTGCAGTGAGCTATGATCACACCACTACTCTCCAGCCTGAGTGACAGAGTGAGACTGTCTCAAAGAAAATTAATTTTTTTTTTGTAAACTATCACAGCCAAGAGGAGCCTAAGAAGACATTACTACTAAATGTCACATGGTGTCATGGATGGGATCTTCGGACAGAAAAAGGAAATTGGGCCGGGCACGGTGGCTCACACCTATAATCCCATCACTTTGGGAGGCTGAGGTGGGTGGATCACCTGAGGTCGGGAGTTCAAGACCAGCCTGACCAACATGGAGAAACCCCCGTCTCTACTAAAAATACAAAATTGGCCGGGGTGGTGGCGCATGCCTGTAATCCCAGCTACTCGGGAGGCTGAGGCAGGAGAATCCCTTGAACCGGGGAGACGGAGGTTGCAGTGAGCCAAGATTGCGCCATTGCACTCCAGCCTGGGCAACAAGAGTGAAACTCTGTCTCAAAAAAAAAAAAAAAAAAAAGAAAAAGAAAAGAAAAAGGAAATTGGTAAAAATTAAGGAGGTCTAACTAAAGTATGGACTTCAGTTAATTACAATGTATTAACTTCAGTTCATTAACGGTAACAAATATACTATACCAGTGCAAGATGTTAATAAAAGGGGGAAATGGTACAGGATATATGAGAATCCTACTGTCTTAACAATTTTTCTGTAAATTTAAAAACATTGTAAGATGAAGAGTCTATTTTTAGAGCACTGAGTAAATTGCATGGAACTAAACACACACACACAATTACATGTAAAACTGATAGAACCTGGGTAAGTTCAGTGGATGGTATTGAAGGCAATTTCCTGGTTGTGAGATTGTACTCTAGTTTTGCAAGCTGTTACCGTTGGGGGAAATTGCATGAAGGGCACGAGGGCTCTCTGGGTAATAATCTCTTACAATTGCAAGTGAATCTACAATTATCTTAAGATAACAAGCCTTATTTTATTTATTTATTTTATAGAGACAAGGTTTCACTGTATTGGCCAAACTTGTCACAAACTCCTGGCCTCGAGCGATCCTCCCACCTTGGCCTCCCAAAGTGCAGAGATTACAGACATGAGCTATAGTACCTGGCCAAAAAGCTTAATTTTAAAACATTGAAAAGAGAACAGGATCTTTTGGAAAGCTGAAGAAATAAAGTCTAGGCTTAAAGTTCTAGGACCCTTACCCAGCACCGTGGGGCAGAACTGGCCTGATAAGAAAATGAAGCTGTGGGCCAGGCACAGTGGCTGACGCCTGTAATCCCAGCACTTTGGGAGGCTGAGGTGGGTGGATCACTTAAGGTCAGGAGTTCGAGACCAGCCTAGCCAACATGGTGAACCCCCATCTCTACTATACAAAAATTAGCTGGGTGTGGTGGTGGGCGCCTGTAGTCCCAGCTACTTGGGAGGCTAAGGCATGAGAATCACTTGAATCCAGGAAGCGGAGATTGCAGTGAGCCAGGATCACACCACTGAACTCCAGCCTGGGCAACAGAGCGAGACTCTGTCTCAAAAAAAAAAGAGAGAGAGAGGGAGAGAGGCAGGCAGGCAGGCAGGCAGGCAGAAAGAAAATGAAGCTGTGGCAGCTTCCACAGCCACACCTTCTCCAGGACTTCACGTTTCTAAATGGCGAGTTGTATTTTCCCAAAATGGCTGCAATAGTAACTTCATCCAACATGCTCTTCCACAAAGTAACTTTGTCACTCCTCCATCAAGAAGCAGGGTCTATGACCCTGTCTTAATCTATTTTTGTTGCTATAAAGGAATACCTGAGGCTGGGTGATTTATAAAGGAAAGAGGTGTATTTGGCTCGTGGTTCTGCAGGCTGTGCAAGAAGCATGGTGCCAGCATCTGCTGCTAGTGAGGACCGCAGGAAGCCTCCTATCATAGTGGAAGATGAAGGCGGGCCGACAAGATCACGTGGTGAGCAACAGACATGCCAGGTTCTTCTAAAGATCCAGCTCTCATGTGAATAGAGCAAGAATTCACTCATTACCACAGGGAGGGCACCAAGCCATTCATGAGGCATCTGCCCCCATGACCCAAACACCTCCCACTTGGCCTCATCTCCAATATTGGGGATCACATTTCAACACGAGATTTAGAGGGGACAAATATTCAGACTATATCAGCCCCCTCCCCTAACTCAAGCTGGGGTTGCACCTGTTTCAACCCAGAGAATACCATGCAGGTGACATCCCTATGATTTCTTTTTTTGTGTGTTGTTTTGAGATGGAGTCTTGCTCCGTTGCCCAGGCTGGAGTGCAGTGGCACAATCTCGGCTCACTGCAACCTCTGCCTCCTGGGTTCAAGCAATTCTCATGCTTCAGCTCCCGAGTAGCTGAGACTGTAGACATGCACCAGCACGCCTGGCTAATTTTTGTATTTTTAGCAGAGACAGAGTTTCACCATCTTGACCAGGCTGGCGTCAAACTCCTGGCCTCAAGTGATCTGCCCGCCTCAGCCTCGCAAAGTGCTGGGATTATAGGCACGCACCACCACACCCAGCTAATTTTTGTATTTTTAGTAGAGACAGAGTTTCACCATGTTGGCCAGGCTGGTGTCAAACTCCTGGTCTCAAATGATCCGCCCAACTCAGCCTCTCAAAGGGCTGGGATTACAGGCTTGAGCCACCGCATCCAGCAGTCACCGCACCCAGCTTGATTTCTGAGGTTAAGTCATAAAAGGCCATGTGGCTTCCAGCTGACTTTCTTGGCACATTTGCTCTCCAGACTCTCCCTGCAATGTCCTCTCTGGGAATCCAGCTGCCAAGCTGTGAGAAGCCCTAGCCCCATGGAGAGAGGCACCCATCAACCAGGCTTCAGACACAGAGTAAAGAAGCTTCCAGGCAACCCCAGCCCCCAGGCATCCAAATCACCGCCAGCATTCAAGCCTTTCCAAGTAAAGGCCAGATACCACAGAGCAAAGACAAACTTCTCACAGGCCCTGTCTGAATTCACAACCTATAGAATTCGTGAGTTCAGGCCAGGCACGGTGGCCCACACCTGTAATTCTAACACTTTGGGAGGCAGAGGTGGGAGAATCACTTGGGATCAGGAGTTTGAGACCAGTCTGGGCAACATGATGAAACCCCATCTCTACCAAAAAATACAAATATTAGCCAGGTGTGGTGGTGTGTGCCTGTAGACCCAGCTACTTGTGAGGCTGAGATAGGAGGATCGCTTGAGCCTGCAGGGAACCGTGATGACGCCACTGCACTCCAGCCTGGGTAAGAGTGAGACCCTGTCTCAAAAAAAAAAGTAGAATTCTCCCAGCACTTTGGGAGGCCGAGGCAGGCAGATCATCTGAGATCAGGACTTTGAGACCAGCCTGGCCAACATGGTGAAACCCCATCTCTACTAAAAATACAAAAAAATTAACTGGGCATGGTGGTGTGCACCTGTAATCCCAGCTACTCGGAAGGCTGAGGCATGAGAATTGCTTGAGGCGGAGGTTGCAGTGACTGAGATTGTGCCACGGCACTCCAGCCTGGGTGATGGAGTGAGGCTTCATCTCAAAAAAAAAAAAAAAAAAAGAATTCATGAGTTAATATAATGTCATTTCCTATTTTCCTTCCTTCCTGCTTTTTCTTTCTTCCTCTTTCTTTTTCTTTCTTTCTTTTTCTTTCTCTTTCTCTCTCTCTCTTGTTTTCTTTCATCTTTCTTTTCTTTCTTTCTTTCATCTTTCTTTTCTTTCTTTGGCTTTTCATTTCTTTCTTTTGTCTTTCTTTTCTTTCATTCTTTCTTTTTGACAGGGTCCTGCCTGGCTGCCCAGACAACAGTGCAGTGGTGCTATCACAGCTCACTGCAGCCTTGAACTCCTCAGTTCCAGTGATTCTCCTGCCTCAGCCTCCCAAGTAGTTGGGACAACAGGCATGTGCCACCATCCCCAGCTTTTTTTTTTTTTTTTTTAATGTTTTAAGACAGGATCTTGCTAGTCACAAACTCCTGGTCTCAAGCAATCCTCCCATCTCAGCCTCCCAAGTTGTTGGGATTACAGGCATGAGCCACCGTGCTTAGAGGCATAAGCCACTGCACCGGGCTATTTTGTCATTTTTCTCCACTAAGTGTGAGCTATGTAGTATATAGTAATTGTTACCAGACAAATCCCTGCTGCCTTCTCTGAAATCCCATCCATGCACCTTTTGCTCACTTCTGAACCTGAGCCATACACAGGTGTGATGTGCCTGCATCTTAGCCACAGGGAGGCTGCAGAAGCTCACCTTGTGAAGACAGGGCTTGTGACATGGGAAATCATCAAAATCTATGCTGGGTGGCCGCCATGCACAGAAGGCCACTAGGTCAGACGAAGTGTGGACTAACAGTAGCCTGTAACAGAAGGGACCTCCCCTCATCGCACCCTGCCCCATCATGATTTGAACCTCTCTAGAACCTGCCATGTTGAATTGGGTGCTGACTTCACTCTGCTTTTTTTTTTTTTTTTTTTTTTTTTGAGACAGAGTCTCACTCTGTTGCCCAGGCTGGAGTGCAGTGGCATGATCTCGGCTCACTGCAACCTCTGCCTCCCAGGTTTAAGCAATTCTCCTGCCTCAGCCTCCTAAATAGCTGGGATTATAGGTGCCCGCCACAACACCAAGCTAATTTTTTTGTATTTTTAGTGGAGGTGGGGTTTGGTTTCACCATGTTGGCCAGGCTGGTCTCAAACTCCTGAACTCAAGTGATCCGCCTGCCTCGACCTCCCAAAGTGCTGCCAAAATATTAGCATTTTGGCCAGGCACAGTGGTTCACATCTGTAATCCCAGCACTCTGTGAGGCTGAGGCAGGCAGATCACCTGAGGTCAGGAGTTCGAGACAAGCCTGGTCAACATGGTGAAACCCCGTCTCTACCAAAAATACAAAAATTAGCTGGGCATGATGATGCGCACTTGTACTCAGGAGGCTGAGGCAGGAGAATCGCTTGAATCCGGGAGGCAGAGGTTGCAATGAGCCAAGATCGTGCTGCTGCACTCCAGCCTGGGCGAGGGAGCAAGACTCCATTTCAAAAAAAAAAAAAAAAGGCCGGTGTGGGGGCTCATGCCTGTAATCCCAACACTTTGGAGGCCGAGGCGGGCAGATCACTTGAGGTCAGGGGTTCCAGACTAGCCTGGCCAACACAGTGAAACCCTGTCTCTGCTATAAAAAAATTAGCTGGGCGTGGTAGCGCATGCCTGTAATCTCAGCTACTCAGGAGGCTGAGGCAGGAGAATCACTTGAACACAGGAGGCAGAGGTTGCAGTGAGCCAAGATTGCGCCACTGTACTCCAGCCTGGGTGACACAGTGAGACTCCATCTCAGAAAAAAAAAAAAGTGTTTCAACATATAATCAATATTTTTAAATTATTAATAAAATAAAGTTTTTTCATAATAATCTTTGCAATCCAGGGTTCATTTTACACGATAGCACATCTCAGTTTGGATGCTCAATTTTCATTCACAATACTCGATCTGTATTTAGAGTTCATAGATTTACATAAGTAAATCGTTTCAAAGTCCTGTGACCAACTTGTCTTCCTGGAGAGTGTCCTGGTTTCGAAAATGAAAGTCTTACATCTTGAAATTCTCCTTGGTCCCAGGAAAATCAGGGCAGTTGGTCAACCTCTTCCAAACATACTTGGAGATTTTTCTTTCTTTTTTTTTTTTGTTTCTTTGAGACATAGTCTCACTCACTCTGTCGCCCAGGCTGGAGTGCAGTGTCGCCATCTTGGCTTACTGCAACTGCCATCTCCCAGGTTGAGGTGATTCTCCTGCCTCAGCCTCCCTAGTAGCTGGGATTACAGGCACATGCGACCGTTCCCAGCTAATTTTTTTGTAATTTTAGTAGAGACGGGATCTCACCATGTTGACCAGGTTAGTCTTGAACTCTTGACCTCAAGTGATCTGCCCAACTCAAGCCTCTCAACATGCTGGGATGATAGGCGTGAGCCACTGCACCCAGCTGGGTTTTGTTTTTTGGTTTGTACTGTGTTTGTTTTGTTTCTTCGAGATGAACTCTCACTCTATTGCCTAGGCTGGAGTCAGTGGTGCAATCTCAGCTCACTGCAACCTCCGCCTCCCAGGTTCAAGCGATTCTCCTGCCTCAGCCTCCTGAGTAGCTGAGATTACAGTCACTCACCAGCATGCCCTGCTAACTTTTGTATTTTTAGTAGAGGCAGGGTTTCACCACGTTGACCAGGCTGGTCTCAAATTTCTGACATCAGGCGATCCACCTGCCTCAGCCTCCCGAAGGCTTCTGTCCTTCAACCGCGCGCCCTCACTCCCTTGCTACGAACTCCCATTCATCCTTCAAAACCCAGCCTGAGTGTCCCCCTCCCCCCAGGTCACCCCCTTTGACCTGTCAATCCCCTCCCTCCGGGTCCCCAGCAAGCTTTTTGGTTTGGCTTCTCTGCACTCTCATGACCGATTGCCCTACATCTTGGCGCTCCCAGACTCGGGCCTTCTCCAGCACCGGAGTCGTCTGGTTTGCTCGCTTTACACTCCAAGCGCCTAGTACCGAGCCTGAGTGGGTGCCAGAGGGCGCGCCTAGGCTCAGGCTGGCTCCACCCGCCCCGTGCCTCCCCTCGGCCTTCCCCGTGGTCCTGAGGGTGCCCGCTCTCCTGCATTTCCCGTGCATCGGGCTGCCGGTAGCTCCGGCCGCCCGGCGGCGGCAGCAGCAGCAGCAGCACCGGGAGAGCCCCGCAGGCGGACTACAAGTCCTGGCAGGCCGCGCGCGGACCGCGCATGCGCAGTGGGGACCGGCGTTTGAGTGGCAAGTTGTTTGTTACAGCGAACACCAGCTGCTCCCCGCGCCGGCACCCGCGCGCCGCTGCTCCGCCGGCGCTGCCTCCCTCGACCCGTGGCTCCCCCTCGCAACTTGGCGGGCCTCCTCCCTTTTGTCCGGCCCGGTCCGGCCGCCGCCGCCCCCCGCGCCTGGCGCCGAGCTCCCGGGTCCCCGGGCCGGCTGTCGGTGCCGGCAGGGCGCGGAGGGGGCGGGGGCCGCGGCTCGTCCCCCAGCGGATGAGCTGCCGCGGACGGGGCGCGGGCGGACGATGGAACTCCACATCCTGGAGCACCGGCTGCAAGTTGCCAGCGTCGCCAAGGAGAGTATCCCGCTGTTCACCTACGGGCCTGATCAAACTTGCCTTCCTGTTCTCCAAGACCAGGTAAGCGCGCGGGGACGCGGCGCCTGCCGGGGACAGACAAAGGGGGCGCACCCCGGGCCGCTGTCCTCGCCGCCGCGCCTCGGAAGACAACTTCGGGCCCCGGGAGCGCCCCCGCCCCGCCCCCGCCGCCGCTTCGCTCGCGTCTGACAAAGCCGGAGCCGCAGGGTCCTGGCTCCCGGACCCCTCGCAACCCTCCACCCCTCGGTGCGCCACCCCCCACCTCTGTCGTCCCCCCCATCTCCCACCCCCTCCCCCATCGCAGCCCCCTTCCCGAAATCCGGGGGGCTGGGGCGGCTGCAGTGACGGATCCGTGAATGGATGAAGGAACGAACGAATGAATGAATGAAAAACAGGTGTGGGGACGAGGCCGTGGAAAAAACAAACGCCCCCATACCCCCATCCCTCGGTTGGGCCGGCCCCCGTCGCCACGGCGTGGGGAGGGATTCCGCTGAGCGCGGTTACCCAGAGCAGAAAATCATAAAATCATTAGTGGGTGTTTATCTCAAGGTGCCTACGAGGCTTGCTGCGGACGGCCTGGAATTGGGGGGGAAACGGGGGGTAGGCGAGGGCCAGGGAGGGGCTACAGAGGACGTGATTCTTTCTCCTTGGGGTCCTGGAAAGGGGGTGGGGGGATGTTTTGCCCAACCGTAGAAGGGGAGGAGCAGGCATGTTTATGCATCTGCCTTGAGGCTGGGCTTGGATGCTGCTGGGGGAAAAATAGTTGAAGGCCTTGGAAGGTAACAGATGGAATCACACACACACACACACAGACACTCACTCTCTCTCTCACTTGGATTTTCCCTATGCCAGGTAAGGGTTTGACATTGTGAGCCCCGGTGGGTGCTTGCATTAGGGTTTTGTTGTTGTTGTTTAAGGACCCTGAGCCGAGGGGAGTGTGAGTGCCAGCTAGCTGCTGTAACTTAAGTCTCATTTGCCCACGATTGTGACTGTTAAAAAGGAATGATAAAGTTGTTACTGGTTGGTTTTTCGCGGTTTGGGGCGGTGGTGGCTCTCCCTCACTGCAAAATGAATGAATACGTTTCGGGTCAAGGTTAGCGTGAAAATGACAGCCCCTGTAGGCTGCCCCCTTTGGCACTGAGCTCAAGGGACACAGGGAAATAATTCCATCCCAGCCTGTTATCTGCCTGTGAAAAGTTCTGGCTTGGAAATCTCACTTTGATGTGTGTGTCTGAGCCGGGTGCTCAGTCCGGCTATTGTTTGCGAGATGGAGCCAGACCTGCCGGTGGCATCTTGTTTACTTTCTTCTCCGGCTGCTCAGTAGGGGATGGAGATTTGAAATAGTCGCCAAGCCTCTGCCACGGAGCCTGTGCTCCCCGTTGATTGCAAAGGGTAATGATTAAACAGGTCATTTGAAAACAAAAGCCAACAGCTCGGATTCTGAACCGCGCCCCCACCCCTCACACAAAGCCCCCTCTGGCTGTTGACACCTTCAGATCCTGCTTCTGCCTGCCCTCTGCCCCCCACTCCCTAGCCGGGCTGGACGTTCCAAGGCTTGGAGGTAACAGAACAGCCTTGTTTTTCCAAGTCTTGGCCCTCAGCCCTGGGCAGCCCCCTGGCTGATTTCTCGGCCACCATTCAAATGAGGATGATGACTCAGGCTGCGGCTGTGCACAGGGCCTGGGTGCTGGAAGGAGGGGGCATTTGGGGGCTTCTTAGAAAGGCAGCAAAGGGCAGGGTCCCTCAGCCCCTTTCCCTTGGTGGAGAGACTGGCCTTCTTCCAGCCCCCAACTCAGGGTCCCCTTTGGGTACTCATGGATAGGCGTGTCTCTGGGGTCAAGCCCCCCTGCTGGCCTCTGGGAACACAAGAAAACCTGTCCCTCAGTGGGTCCCCCTTCCTCCCTCCTGCAGAAAGCAGCCTGTCCTGTCCCAGGCCCAGGTGACCCAGCTGACTAGTCCAGTTTCAAGATGACTCAGAGGCCAAAGGCCATCTCTGTTTCCATGGTCCGGCCTCAGAAGGTGCGGAACATTCGTCAAATGCCTGAGGACCTGCCACCCCAAGCACTCTGAGCCCGGATCGTGGCTTCAGGTCATGTGTGACCAGAGCCCGCTGCCTGCGTGGCTGAGGCAAAGTCTCTCCTCTGGCTCACACTTTGTCCGTCTGTAAAATAGAGATAGCACTACTTGGCCCCCTCATGGACACAGAACTGCTGTGTGGATGGTGTGGGACGATTGTGGGAAATGGCTTTTTAGCAAGTGTTAATGGGTCGCAGCCTGCGAACATAGCATTTAAACTGTTTTCAATAATCAGCCATCCAGGTAGAACCCCTTAGATTCTTCCTGTAATACCTGCCCCCAGGTGGTGACCCATAGCTCTGTCACCTCCCTCTCCAAAACCTACGTTTAGCCCAGACTAGGACAGCATGCCCTGAGGGTCCCTGTGCCACCTGTTTACTTTTCTTTTTTTTTTTTTTGAGATGGAGTTTTGCTCTTGTCCGGGCTGGAGTGCAGTGGTGCCATCTCAGCTCACTGCAGCCTCCATCTCCCAGGTTCAAGCGATTCTCCTACCTCAGCCTGCCGAGTAGCTGGGATTACAGGCATGCACAACCACGCCTGGCTAATTTTGTGTGGAGACGGGGCTTCTCCATGTTGGTCAGGCTGGTCTTGAACTCCCGACCTCAGGTGATCCACTGGCCTCCACCTCCCAAAGTGCTGGGATTCCAGGCGTGAGCCACCACTCCCGGCCCGGTTACAGTTTTGTCAGTCACTCTATAGCATCAAATCGTTGACATGGCATTCGAGGCCCTTTGGGATCTAGATCCTGAATCCTCATCTTTATTTTTTTGTTTTTTATTTTTCTCTTTTAGAGACAGAGTCTTGCTCTGTCGTACAGGCTGGAGTACAGTGGCGCCATCATAGATCAATACAGCCTCCAACTCCTGGGCTCAAGCAGTCCTCCCACCTCGACCTCCCAAAGTCCTGGGATTACTGCTCCTGGCCTTGAATCCTCATCTTTAGCCCTCCCCCAGCAAATACACAATTTCCCTTATTGTTCCCTACATACCTCTGTGCCTTCGTATCTACCTCTCTTCCATCTGCCTGGAATATTCTCCCCCATCCACCCCTAGTAAATTCCTATTCAATCCTCAAGAGCTAATGATAGCACGCTGAAACCTTCCTGAACCTTTCCCTCCGCCCCTTAGCAGACTTAAGTCACTTCTCTCTCGTGCAGTGGAGTTGTGGAAAGGGAATGGCATTAGGAAACATTCACTCTGTGTGGGGGTGTGGCTGGGTCCAAGGGATGCAGAGATACCTTGCCCCTTCCTCTGCCAAGCCCTAGAGCCTGGTGGAAGAGAAAGAAAGAGGCCATCACTCTACAGCAGGGTGGAGTCAGGGAAGGGCTGGTCTAGCAGGGTACCTAGAAGGCTGGGTGCCTACCTGTAGGAGGTGGCACTAGATCTTAGAGCTTTTTGTTTGTTTGTTTTTAAGAGATGGGGTCTCCGTTGCCCAGGCTGAAGTACAGTGGCACCATCATACCTCACTGCAGCCTCGAACTTCTAGGCTCAAGCAATCCTCTCACCTCGGCCTCCCAAGCACCTGGGACTGCGGGTGCGCACCACCACACTCAGCTAATTTTTAAATTTCTTGTAGCGATGGGGGTCTCACTGTGTTGCCCGGGCTGGCCTTGAACTCCTGGCCTCACATGATCCTCCCACCTCAGCCTCTCAGAGGTGCGTGTGGACATAACATTTAAACTGTTACAGGCATGAGCTGTTGGTCAGGCTGGTCTCGAACTCCTGAACTTGTGATCCGCCCATCTGGGCCTCCCAAAGTGCTGGGAGGCGTGAGCCACCATGCCTGGCCAGTGAACACTAACGTCTTAAGAGGCATTTATGAGAGAAAAGCTTAAAATTGCAAAAAGTCCATGCAGAGCCCTCGTCATTCCTCGGAGCACATTGGGCTGAGGCCACTGTCTGATTGCCCTTTAGGGAAAGACAGGCTAGCCCAAGGGAGTTAGAGCCCTGGGACACCTCGGCTGGAATCCCAGCACTGCTCATCCTGGCTGTGTGACCTTGGGCAAGTTGCTTGACTTCTCTGTGCTATGTTTCTTACCTGTAAAACAGGGATGATGATCATGCCTGCAACCTAAGTGGTTGTGAGGGCTTGATGAGATAAACCACGCCAAGCACTCTCAAGAGTATCTGGTCTACTAGAAGCTCCAATAAGCATTTTTTTTTTTTTTTTGAGACAGAGTCTTGCTCTGTTGCCCAGGCTGGAGTGCAGTGGCATGATCTCAGCTCACTGTAACCTCTGTCTCCCAGGTTCAAGCGATTCTCCTGCCTCAGTTTCCCAAGTAGCTGGGATTACAGCTCTCTACCACCATGCCTGGCTAATTTTTGTGTTTTTAGTAAAGACACCTGGAACTCCCAAAGTGCTGGATTACAAGTGTGAGCCACTGTACCCAGCCATTAAGCATTAACTGGGAAGGCCCTGGGGCCACTGGCCAGCACCAGTTTGTGAGGGCAGAGCCAGAAAAGCCCAGGCTTAGAAGACTTTTTACACACACACATAACGCATCCTGATTCTGGAAAGTGGAGATGCTGTCACTGCTCTCACAGAACTAAGCCAAGGACCTCACCTGTCATTTAGGTGTCAGGCCTCTGGCAGGGGCAGCCAAAATGCTCTAGGACCACAGAGCTGCAAGCCAGTAAGGCTTCCTAGAGGAGGCGGCATCATCTGATCCAAGAATGGGGTGATGGGTGGCATGAGAAAATGTCAGGAGGTGCTGGGGATAAAGCAAGATGAGCAAGCAGAGAACAGGAGTGGGTGGGTACAGATGGATCAGGGGAGGGGTATGGGTGAAGAGTGTACAGGGTGAGCCCCAGAGCCGTGCGTGTGCCCACTCAGGACAGCCATAGTCTGCTGCTGCCTAGAGAAAGGGGCTGGCTCAACCCTAGCTCCCAAATCTTTTTCCTATGACTTTTTCCTTTGTCCTTATCTCTTTCCTGAACTATCCAGATATCTTCCTGCCTCCTGCCTCTAGGGCAGCCCAAATGCTCATTGCTGCCCCATCCCTCTGGGCTGAAGGAGCAAACGCCTGGAGGCTGGAAAGAGAAAGGTGTCTGCAGGGAACAAGCCGCTGTCCTGTGGTGGGTGCAAATTGGTATGCTCTGTTCACGCAGAAACCCAGCAGTGTGTACCTGCTGTAGGCAAGGCCTAATAGGAAGCGCGAAAGGAGTTTCTGTCCCATGGGAGGAAAAGACGTGAGTCCTGTGTGTTCTCCAGCAAAGGTAGAGGGTGAGAGGACCAGAGGCCCGCACAGGGGGCATGGCTGGGAGTGCAGGGGCAGGGGGGGAGTCCGGGAGGATGGAGGGACACAACTGGAGTGGGTGCTGGGTCGACTTCATGCATTCCTTCAGAATCCCTGGCCACATCTCTGCCTTGTTGGTTTTGTTTGTTTTTTCAGACAGGGTCTCACTCTGTCACCCAAGCAGGAATGCAATGGCGTGATCTCAGCTCACTGCATGCAATCTCTGCTTCCTGGGTTCAAGTGACTCTTGTGCCTCAGCCTCCCGAGTAGCTGGGATTGCAGGCATGCACCACCATGCCTGGCTAATTTTTTGTATTTTAATAGAGACGGGGTTTTGCCTTGTTGGCCAGGGTGGTCTCAAACTCCTGACCTCAGGTGATCCACCCACCTTGGCCTTCCAAAGTGCTGGGATTACAAGCGTGAGCCACCACTCCCGGCCTGAATTCTTTCTTGATCAGATGTCTTCTGTCTATCCACTCTGGCTCTGTCTACTCCCTTCCCAACACATGCTCTATTTTAGGTAACCATGGTAGTTTTGTTTTGTTTTGCTTTTGCTTTTGTTTTTGGAGATGGAGTTACACTCTGTCTCCCAGGCTGGAGTACAGTGGCACGATCTCGGCTCACTGCAACCTCTGCCTCCTGGGTTGAAGTGATGCTCCTGCCTCAGCCTCCTGAGTAGCTGAGGTTACAGGTACCACCACCATGCCTAGCTAATTTTTTGTATTTTTAATTCAGATGGGTTTTACCAAGTTGGCCAGGCTGGTCTTGAACTCCTGACCTCAAGTGATCTGCCCGCCTTGGCCTCCCAACGTGCTGGGATTACAGGCATGAGCCACTGCACCTGGCCAACTGTGGTAGTTTTTAGATTTTTTTGTACAGAGGGGGTCTCACTCTGTTGTCCACGCCGGTCTCAAACTCCTGACCTTAAGTGATCCTCCCTTCTTGGTTTCCCAAAGTGCTGGGATTACAGGCATGAGCCACTGCTCCCAGCTGCTGGTGGTTTTAAAAGCTAGGATCGGCTGGGCGCCGTGGCTCACGCCTGTAATCCCAGCACTTTGGGAGACCGAGGAGGGCAGATCACAAGGTCAGGAGATCGAGACCATCCTGGCTAACACGGTGAAACCCCGTCTCTACTAAAAATAGAAAAATTAGCTGGGCGTGGTGGCGGGCGCCTGTATTCCCAGCTACTCAGGAGGCTGAGGCAGGAGAATGGCGTGAAGCCGAGATCCCGCCACTGCATTCCAGCCTGGGCAACAGAGCCAGACTCCGTGTCAAAAAAAAAAAAAAAAAGCTAGGATCCCTCCACCCCCCTCTCCTTTAAATGTCTGTCTTGGCTACTTTCTTCTAAGTCACTAGGAGATGGTAAAAGCAATACCGCAAGACTTCCGAGGCTAGGGCACAAAACGATAGCTTCTGCGTGGCGCTCCCTCTCTCCCAGATCCCTTGCTCTGTGGGAAACCAACCCCCAAGGCCTGAGGACACCCAAGCAGCCCCATGGAGAGGCCCATATGGAGAGGAACTGAGGCATCCCACCCTCAACCGGCAGAGCGGGGCTTTGAAAACAGATCCTTTCGCCCCAGGCAAGCCTTCCAATGGATTGCAGCCCCAGCCAATGCCTTGAACTGCCAAGTTCAGCCACACCTAAATTCCTAACCCATAGGAACTGTGAGAGATAATAAAAGTTTGTTGTTGTTTCAAGCCACTAAGATTTGGGGTAATTTGTTATGTAGCAACAGATAAGGAATGAAATGACCCTGCCATTTATCATTGAGACGGGAACAAACATTTTTTAGAATAGCAGGAAGTACTTAAAATAATTACTAGGTTGGCCAAGTGCAGTGGCTCATGCCTGTAATCCCAGTATGCCTGTAATCCCAGCAAGCCTGTAATCCCAGCACTTTAGGCTGATCGCTTGAGCTCAGGAATTGGAGACCAGCGGAGGCAACATGGTGGGACCCCGACTCTGCAAAAAATACAAAAAAATTAGCTAGGTATGATGGCGCCTGCCTGTGATCCCAACTACTTAGGAGGCTGAGGTGGGAGGATTCCTTGAGCCTAGGAGGTAGAGGTTGCAGTGAGCCGAGATTGCACCACTGTACTCCAGCCTGGACAACATAATGAGACTCTGTCTCATCATCATCATCATCATCATCATCATCATCTTAACAATAATAACAACAACCTGCAGACAATAGGGCAAACCTGACTATGTGATCATGCTACCTTTAGTCCAGCCAGAGAACTCTCATGAGTCCTTAAACCTAACACAGACACTTCTTGAGGTCGGCTTCAGCATCCTCTCCTCCAGGAAGCCACCCTGGTGCCTGGTGAGTGGCTTCCTGGGATCACCCATGCCTCAGGGTGCAGGATGAGAGGGCTGGTCCTGATCCCCTTCTGTCCTCACCCCCAGGTCCATGTCCAGGGCTTAGGACCGGTCGTCCCTCGGTGTTGACTTATCTCCCAGGGATCAAAAAAGTCAGTTGTAGCTGGGCGCAGTGGCTCACGCCTGTAATCCTGGCACCTGTGGGAGGGCCAAGCAGGTGCATCACCTGAGGTCAGTAGTTCGAGACCAGCCTGGCTAACAAGGTGAAGCCCCGATTCTACCAAAAATACAAAAATTAGCCGACGTGGTGGCGGGCGCCTGTAATCCCAGCTACTCAGGAGGCTGAGGCAGGAGAATCACTTGAACCCAGAAGGCAGAGGTTGCAGTGAGCCAAAATCATGTCACTACACTCCAGCCTGGGCGACAAGAGTGAAACTCCATCTCAGAAAAAACAAAAACAAAAACAAAAAAACCTTGTAAAAGGTTTAATTGGTCTCTTCTGAGCCTGCACACAGCTGGAAAGGTTTTCTCTTATAACAGATCTGCAGTATGAGAAACCAGCCCAGTTGCATCCGCGCTGGGCCAGTGGGATTCTGGGTGTCCAAGGTCCCTGTGGGCCATCCACGGTGCTAAATTAAAACTTTTTGAAAAACATTCTTTTTTTTTTTTTTTTTGAGACAGAGTCTGGCTCTGTCCCCCAGGCTGGAGTGGAGTGGTGCGATCTTGGCTCACCACAAGCTCTGCCTCCCGGGTTCACACCATTCTCCTGCCTCAGCCTCCCGAGTAGCTGGGACTACAGGCACCTGCCACCACGCCCGGCTAATTTTTTTGTATTTTTAGTAGAGACGGAGTTTCACCATGTGAGCCAGGATGGTCTTGCTCTCCTGACCTCGTGACCCGCCCGCCTCGGCCTCCCCAAAGTGCTGGAATTACAGGCATGAGCCACCGCACCTGGCCTGAAAAAAATTCTTGAGACAGGGTCTCACTGTGTCACCCTAGTTGGAGTGCAGTGATGCAATCCCAGCTCACTCCAGCCTCGATTTCTCAGGCTCCAGCAATCCTCCTGCCTCAGCCCCACTGAGTAGCTGGGACTGCAAGCACTCACCACTACACCCAGATAATTTTTGTTTTTTTTGTAGAGATGGGGTCTTGCTATGTTGCCCAGGCTGGTCTCGAACTCCCGGACCCAAGTGATCCTCCTGCCTCAGCCTTCCAAAGTGCTGGGATTACAGGTGTGAGCTACGGTGCCTGGCCTAAATGGAAAACTGGTGTCTAGGTGCCATATATACTCAGGCTTGCCCTCACCATAACACATTGAACATACTCCAACCTCTGAGCTAGATCTCTGCTCGAAAACCTGAGGTTTTGCTTGCACACCCCAATTTTTTTTTTTTTTTTTTTTTTTGAGACAGGGTCTTGCTGTCACCCAGGCTGGAGTGCAATGGTGCGATCTTGGCTCATTGCAACTTCCATCTCCTGGGTTCAAGCGATTCTGGTCCCTCAGCCTCCCGAGTAGCTGGGATTACAGGTGCACGCCACCACACCTGGCTAATTTTTGCATTTTTAGTAGAGATGGGGTTTCATCATGTTGCCCAGGCTGGTCTTGAACTCCTGACCTCAAGTGATCCACCAGCCTCGGCCTCCCAGAGTGCTGGGATAACAGGTATGAGCCACCGCGCCTGGCCATGCACCCACATTTACAGCAACCTTATTCACTAAGGCCTAAAGGTGGAAGTGACCCAGGTGTCTACTGATGGATGAACAGATCAACAAAATGGGATGTATTCACACAGAGGAATATTATTCAGAGGGGAAAAAGGAAGGAAATTCTGACACATGCTACAACATGAATGAACCTTGAAGACATCATGCTGAGTGAAATAAACTAGTCACAAAAGAACAAATACTGCATGAGATCCCACTTGTATGAAATACCTGGTGTAGCCGGAGTCATAGAGACAGAAAGAATGGTGGTTGCCAAGAGCTGGGGAGTTGGTGTTTAGTGGGTATGGAGTTCCTGTTGGGTAAGATGAAGAGTTCTAGAGATGGATGGTGGCAGTTGCTGTCCGTATTGCAAACGTGCTTAACACGATTGAATTGCACACTTAAAGATAGTTAAGATGGTAGGTTTTGTTGTGTGTATTTTACAACAATTAATAAAATTTGAGGCCAGGCGTGGTGGCTCATGCCTGTAATCCCAGCACTTTGGGAGGCTGAGGCGAGTAGATTGGTTGAGCTCACAAGTTGGAGACCAGCCTGGGCAACATGGTGAAACCTCATCTCTACAAAATATACAAAATGTAGCTGGGCATAGTGGCATGCACCTGTGGTCTTAGCTACTCAGGAGGCTGAGGTGGAAGGATCGCTTGACCCCAGGAGGTGGAGGCTGCAGTGAGCCGAGATTGTGCCACCGTACTCCAGCCAGGCAGTAGAGCCAGACCTTGTCTCAAAAAAATAAAAATTAAAATTAATGTTTAAGATTTTATTTTATTTTAGATTCAAGAGGTACACGTGCATGTTTGTTACATGCATATATGGCATACTGGTAGGGACTGGGCCTCTAGTACGCCCATTACCCAAATAGTGAACATTGTACCCGATAGGTAATTTTTTTAACCTTCCTCCCCTTCCCAACCTCTATTGGAGTCCCCAGTGTCTGATGTTCCCGTATTTTTTTTTTTTTTTTTAGACACGGTCTTACTCTATCGCCCAGGCTGGAGTGCAGTGCAATCTCAGCTCAATACAGCCTCTGCCACCTGGGCTCAAGTGATCCTCCTGCCTCAGCTTCCCGAGTAGCTGGGACTACAGGCATGTGCCACCACACCCAGCTAATTTTTGTATTTTTTAGTAGAGATGGGGTTTCACCATGTAGGCCAGGCTGGTCTCGAACTCCTGACCTCAGGTGATCCACCTGCCTCGGCCTCCCAAAGGGCTGAGATCATAAGCGTGAGCCACTGCTCCCAGCCATGGCAGTTCCTTCTCGAACACCCACTATGCATGAGGCCTCCGCTGGGAGTTCCCATCATTCACCCTCATAGCAGCTCTACAGGAAGGAGCTGTCTGCCCCCAAGTCACACAATGGACAACAGCAGTTTAGGGTTCAGCCTTGGCCCCCCCACTCCGAACTCCTCCCCGCCTATGCCCTCCACTCCTTTCCACTGTTAACCCAAGATGGAAAAGCTTATGCCGAGGGTCATTTCTCAGGATATGCACATAACAGGAAAATGTGTTTTTATCCAAATTCCCACAACCCACCAGCCATGTGATCTTGGGCAACTTAGAACCTCCAAGGAGGGTCTGGCTCTGTTATCTATGCTAGAATGCAGTGGCATGAGCATAGCTCACTGCAGCCTCAACGTTCCAGGCGTAAGCAATCCTCCTGCCTCAGCCTTCCAAGTAGCTGGGACCACAGGTGTGCACCGTCATGCCCAGCTAATTTTTAAAAAAGATTTTTAGTAGCAACAGGGTCTTACTATGTTGCCCAGGCCAGTCTCGAACTCTTGAGCTCTGACAATTCTCCTGCCTTGACCTCCCAAAGTGGTAGAATTATAGGCGTGAGCCACCACACTGTGGCCTGGCTTCATCTTTAAAATAGGAATAAAGTGAGGCATGGTGGCTCACACTTGTAATCCCATCACTTTGGGAGGTCTTGCCTGAGGAAGCGGGAGGATTGCCTGAGCTCAGGAGTTTGAGATCAGCTGGACAACATAGTGAGACCCCATCTCTACCAAAAAATAACTGGAGATAATACTATCAACATCTTGGGTGGTTGTGAGAATTAAATGGGGAATTTTATGTTAGGGACTTAGTGAGGTGTTGATTACATAGTGAACCTATTATTCACAGAAATTCAATGGATGTTTATTGAGGTGCCCTCTACTTGATGCAGGCCTCGGCGAGGTGGCAGTGGTGGCCTCTGTCCCCATGGCACGGATGGTCTGTTCTGCTTTGGAAGCACTGGAAGGGCACATCTGACAATTGCAGGATGGCTGATTTTTATTGGAGGAAGGGAAGCTGTTTATTTGTTTCAGATTGGCTGAGCTGTGGGGATGCGGGAGGCTGGCAGGAGGGGAGGGGTCTATAGTAAGGAGACTGGAGAAACTTTGGGGCCAGGCAGGCAGCCCCCTGGTAAGAGCTGCTTCTTGGAACACAAAGAGCCGTTGCGTCCTCCAGCCGGCCTTGAGGAAGGTGTGACTTCTCTGCTCCCAGCAACGTCTTGGGCACCCTTCTCTGCCCTGCACAGCAGCTCTGCCTGCAGGGTGCCTGGACACTCTGGGTGTCTACTGTGTCCCCATATGGTGCTTGCAAGTCTTCCTCCCAGACTGCCCCCTGCTTCTGTGTCCCCTCCCTGGTGCACAGCGCCACATCCAGCCCTCCTCCCACCCAGCCCACCCAGGTCCTGCCCGTCTGACCCCCAGTCGTTCTCCAGTCGCCCCTCCTCTGCGCGCTGACTGCCATGTCTTGTCCTCTTTTTCTTTTTTTTTTTGAGACAGAGTCTTGCTCTGTCATTCAGCCTGCTGGAGTGCAATGGTGCAATCTTGGCTCATTGCAACCTCCGCCTCCCTTGTTCAAGTGATTCTCCTGCCTCAGTCCTCCCTGGGATTACAGGTGTACACCACCATGCCTGGCTAATTTTTATATTTTCAGTAGAGTCAGGGTTTCACCATGTTGGCCAGGCTGGTCTTGAACTCCGAACCTCAGGTGATCCACCTGCCTTGGCCTCCCAAAGTGCTGGGATTACAGGCGTGAGTCCCCATGCCCAGGCTGTCCGCTTCTATTCTAGCTCCCCCACTCCTGATCCACTGACCCTGAGGCCTCAGAACGAAGGTCTCATCCCCTCCAGGCAGGCCCTCCTTGGCAGGGGAGCTTCAATTTGTATAGGAATCAAATCCATCCTGTTGGGGTTTTACCATGTTCCCCAGGCTGGTCTTGAACTCCTGAGCTCAGACAATTCTCCTACCTTGGCCTTCTAAAGTGCTGGGATTACAAGTATGAGCTACCACGCTGGGCCTATTTTTTTTTTAATAATTTTTTTTTTTTAATGTGGGAGAGTTCAAATGTGAAATCAAGGCCCAGTGCGGTGGCTCACGCCTATAATCCCAGCACTTTGGGAGGTGGAGGCAAGAGGATCGCTTGAGGCCAGGAATTCAAGACCATTTGGGGCAACATAGCCAGACCCCGTCTCTACAAGAAATTTTAAAAACTAGCCAGACGTGGTAGTGCACACCTGTAGCCCCAGCTACTCTGGAGGCTGAGACAGGAGGATCACTTGGGCCCAGGAGTTGGAGGCTGCAGTGAGCTATGCTGACACCATTGCACTCCAGCCTGGTTGACAAAGTGAGACCCAGTCTCAAGAAAAAAAAAAAAAGTGGGAAGAAGCGTACCCCACCACGCTTCTTCTTTGGGGTTAGAATTTTGGGCCTGCACTGGAATGTGGAACGCTGATAGGGGATGGGGACAGGTGGAGGTGTCAGGGGTGCCCTCAGACTCTACCCTCCTTCATTGCCTTCGAGGTGAGGCTGGGGAACGACCCTGGGGTAAGGGGATTGCCCGTGCCCACTCCCCTGCATGCAGGAGCTGGATCTCTGATTCGCTCTTCCCCTTTCCTGATGGGAACTTGCTCCTGCATTTGGCCCCTGGGCCTCCGGGTAACCTGCCCCAGCCACCCAGGGCTTGGCCCCAGGCGAGTGCATCTGTAAGGGCAGATCCCGCGGTGAGTTTCCTGGGTGACTCCTTTGCACACACCCAGGCTGGACTCCCTCCACCCCCTCCCAACTGAGCAATGCTTTTGGGCTGTTTCGTCCACTAGAGCAGCACAGTCAAGAATGAGGGGGTGTGTGGGCTGGGCGTGGTGGTTCACGCCTGTAATCCCAGCACTTTGGGAGGCTGAGACAGGCGGATCACAAAGTCAGGAGTTCGAGACCAGCCTGGCTAATATGGTAAAACCCCGTCTCTACTAAAAATACAAAAATTAGCCGGGTGTGGTGGTGCACGCCTGTAGTCCCAGCTTCTTGGGAGGCTGAAGCAGGAGAATTGCTTGAACCCGGGAAGAGGAGGTTGCAGTAAGCAGAGATCGCACCACTGCACTCCAGCCTGGGCAACAGAGTGAGACTCTGTCTCAAAAAAAAAAAAAACAAAAAAAGAATAAGGGGGTGACACCTCAGAACAAGCTGCAGGCCTGGTGTCACCTGCAGATGACAAGGCTACCGTATCCGTTCCTCAAGCCAGGCCTCTGAGGAGCCCTGGTGGGTAGGGTGCTGGAGGGAGAACTCAAGCTTGCAGGCAGTAAAACGCATTTTTTTTTTTTTTTTTTGGTGGCGGGGACAGAGTCTCACCCTGTCTCCCAGGCTGGAGTGCAGTGGCGCAATCTCAGCTCACTGCAAACTCTGACTCCTGGGTTTGAGCGATTCTCCTGCCTCAGCCTCCCGAGTAGCTGGGATTACAGGTGTGCACCACCACACTCAGCTAATTTTGGCATTTTTAGTAGAGATGGGGTTTCGCCATGTTGGCCAGGCTGGTCTCAAACTCCTGACCTCGGGTGATCGACCCGCCTCAGCCTCCCAAAGTGCTGGGATTACAGGCGTGAGCCACTATGCCCAGCCACATTTCTTTCTTTCTTTTAAATCTGTGCTTTTCTCCACCCTCTTCAGACTTTGTTCTAGTCTACAATTTCCCTCCTGCAGCTTCTCTCTGATGACGTCCCCGCCCCGCCCCGCCCCCCACCCAGCCCGTCAGTCCAAATTAGCCTGGTTTAACTGCCTTTATTTGTCAGTTTCTGTAGAAGAATGAAGAAGGTGATGGCACCCACGTTACAGGGCTGTTCACGGGAGGTTTAAGTGAGATCTTACAGAGAAAGCGCTTAGCAGGTGCCCCAGGTCCAGAGTGTGGGGTTGGCTGGGAGTCGTGTGCATCTCCTGCCCTGACCCCCTCTGCAAACTTGGTTCCTGAGTGCTTGAGTGAGGCACACTTGACCTGCTTATGTGGTTCCCATGGCACCATGATGTGGGGAATGTTTCCCAACAAGGCACCTTATCAAGCGCTCTCTCTCCACTCTGCTGTTCCTACCACATATCCCTGGGCAGGTCACCCTGCCTTTCTTGTTTTCTTTTGAAGACAGGTCTCGCTCGATCACCCAGGCCAGAGTACAGTGGCAAAATCATAGCTCACTGCAGCTCCTGGACTCAAGGGATCCTCCTGCCTCAGCCTCCTGAATAGTTGGGGCCGCACGTGTATGCCACCACACCTGGCTAATTTTTACAATATTTTGTAGAGACAGGGTCTCACTTTGTTGCCTAGGCTGGCCTCAAACTCCTGGCCTCAAACGATCCTCCTGCCCTGGCCTCCAAAAGTGCTGTGATTTCAGACGTGAGCCACCTCGCCTGGCCTGACCCGGCCTTTCTGAGCCTTCAGCCCTCATCTGTGTCTGGAGGCGTTCTAAAAACCAAGGAATAGAATACCAGGGTCAGACTCAGACTTTGCGTTCAGTAGGCCGTCAATACTTGGGTTTTCGCTCAGTTTCTGGGGCATTGAGACTGATAGAAGCAACGGACCCCCTTAGCTCAGGCAGGCAGGCAGGTATTGTCACCAAGAGACCCTGGAGATCAGGGGAGGTTATTTGGGGTTGGGGATCTCCAAGGAGGGGCAGGGAAGTTAGTAGCATCATTGGGCTGGAAATGGGAAGCGTTTGGCTTGATGGAAGTGGTGAGGCTGGGGTGTGGGACCCTCGCCATGTGAACTACATGGGGTGATCTCAGTAGAAATTGGGACCCGCCAACCATGGTTGCCTGGGAGAGTTGAAGTGCTGGGTGATACAGAACAACAGGCCAGCTGCCATCTCCCCACCTTTGGGAGGGCACCCTCTGATGGTGGATCCCTGGAGGAAGGGCCCCAGGGACCCAGGAGCCAACACCTCCCTTCCTGCTCCTCTCACTGCTGTTGATGAAGATGACAGGCTCCCCTTGACTCAGGTTCCTATGGGCCAGGCCCACCGCCATGCCCTTTGGATGCATTATCAACTCAGGTGGGTATGTGACCTCCCCCTTGTCACAGATAAGGAAACCGAGGCCCCAGAGGGTGAGGAACCTCCCTAAAGCCATCTGTATAACTTAGTCGAAGAAGCTAGCTTTGGACTCAGAAGTCTGATTTAAGAGCCACTTGGGCACAGTGGCTCACACCTGTAATCCCAGCACTTTGGGAGGCCGAGGCAGTCGGATCGCCTGAGGTCAGGAGTTCAAGACCAGCCTGGCCCATGGGGTTAGTAGAAACCCCGTCTCTACTAAAAATACAAAAATTAGCTGGGTGTGATGGTGCACACCTGTAATCCCAGCTACTCAGGAGGCTGAGGCATAAGAATTGTTTGAACCCAAGAGGTAGAGATTGCAGTGAGCTGAGATTAAGCCACAGCACTCCATCCTGGGCGACAGAGTGAGACCCTGTCTCAAAAAAAAAAGAAGAACCACTCTAGACTGTGCCACTCCTCTCTCTATGAAGGGTGAGCCAGTGAGACTCTGAAAGATGGGAGGTCTAGCCCCTTCTCAGGGCAGGTCTGGTTCTGGTCCTCGGGGCTCCCACAGAAGCAAAAGTTGAGCCCCTTTCAAGAGTCACTGTCAGGGGGTTGGGGGCAGTGGCTCACACCTGTAATCTCAGCAGTTTGGGAGGCTGAGGTGATGGGATTGCTTGAGCTTAGAAGCTCGAGACCAGCCTGGGCAACATAGCGAGACCCCCATCTCTACAAAAAAATATACAAGAAGTAGCTGGGCATGGTGATTCCTGCCTGTAGTCCCAACTATTCTGGAGGCTTAGGTGGGAGGATCACTTGAGCCCGGGAGGTTGAGGCTGCAGTAAGCCAGGATCATGCCACTGCACTCCAGCCTGGGGGACAGAGATTGAGAAAAAGCCTGTCTCAAAAAAAAAAAAAAAAAGGAATCATTGTCAGGAGATCTCAGTTCTGCCCTGATCCTCTCATCCCAGCTCTGCCCTTGCTAACTGTGACAGTGAACATGTTCCATTACCCCCCAGGTCTCAGTGTCCCGTCTGCAGAGGGGCATGGCAGAACCTTCCTTAGGATGGCCTGAGGGTTAGATGGCATCATGGAGAGACCAAGCCCAGCACCGCATATACCACAGGTGGTTGCTCCAGATGGATACCTGGATAGCTCTTTTTTCGTTAAATCATTTTAGCCAATTTCAGCTTTCCATTGACTCCTTCAGCAGATGCTCACCAAGACACCAATGCCACCTTTATTTATTTATTTATTTGGATTTTTTTGAGACAGAGTGTCACTCTGTCACCCAGGCTGGAGGGCGGTGGTGCAATTTTGGCTCACTGCAACCTCCACTTCCCCAGTTCAAACAATTCTCCTGCCTCAGCCTCCTGAGTAGCTGCGACTACAGGCATGTACCACCACACCTGGCTGATCTTTTTGTATTTTTAGTAGAGATAGGGTTTCACCATGTTGGCCAGGCTGGTCTCGAACTCCTGACCTCAGGTGATCCGCCCGCCTTGGCCTCCCAAAGTGCTGGGATTACAGGTGTGAGCCACTGCATCTGGCCAGCTCTTTTTTTCTTAAATCATTTTAGCCAATTTCAGCTTTCCATTTACTTCTTCAGCAGATGCTCACTGAGACATGGATGCCACCTTTATTTATTTATTTATTTGGATTTTTTTTGATACAGAGTCTCACTCTGTCGCCCAGGCTGGAGGGCAGTGGTGTGATCTCGGCTCACTGCAACCTCCACCTTCCCGGTTCAAGCGATTCTCCTGCCTTAGCCACCCAAGTAGCTGTGACTACAGGCGCGCACCACCACACCCAGCTAATTTTTTTGTATTTTTAGTAGAGATGGGGTTTCGCCATGTTGGCCAGGCTGGTCTTGAACTCCTGACCTCAAGTGATCAGCCCTCCTTGGCCTTCCAAAGTGCTGGGATGACAGGTGTAAGCTGCCGCACCCAGCTGGATACTGTCTTTAGAACATGCCTGCAGGGGTGGATCACAAGGTCAGGAGTTCAAGACCAGCCTGGCCAAGATGGTGAAACCCCGTCTCTACTAAAAATACAAAAAAAGAATTAGCCAGGTGTGGTGGTGGATGCCTGTAATCCCAGCTACTCGGGAGGCTGAGGCAGAGAATTGCTTGAAGCCAGGAGGTGGAGATTATGGTAAGCCGAGATCGCACCACTGCACTCCAGCTTGGGCAACAGAGCGAGACTGTCTCAAAAAAAAAAAAAAAAAAAAAAAAAAAAAAAAAGCATGGCTGCAGGTCTCAGTGTTGCAGAAGGTTCCCATATCTAGAGCCCAAGAGGCCATGCACTGAGCTCAGATACTGCCTGTGGTGCTTCTGATCACCTGCCCCTTATGCCCCCTTCCAAAAATGTGGGTCTGGGAGAAGGTGGTGATTTTAAGACAGCACAGCTCCTACCTGTACTGCAGGCCCTGCCCTGCACACCACGTGTGTTCCTAGAATATCCCATGAAAAACAAATGGTTTGGCCAGGTGCAGTGGCTCACGCCTGTCATCCCAGCACTTTGGGAGACCAAGGAGGGAGGATCACTTGAGGTCAGGAGTTGGAGACCAGCCTGGACAATGTAGTAAGACCCCCATCTCGAAAAAATTTTTTAAATTTTTAAAAATTTAGCCAGGTATGGTGGCATACGCCTGTAGTCCCAGCTACTCTGGAGGGCAAGGTGGGAGAATCTCTCGAGCCCAGGAGTTTGAGGCTGGCAGTGCACTCCAGCGTGGGCGACAGAGCGAGACCTTGACTTTAAATAACAACAAAAAAATTCAACCATTAGGATCTTCCCCAAGTTTATGCTACCAACGAGTGTTAGTTCTCTAAAGCCAGCACCGGCCGGGCGCAGTGGCTCACACCTGTAATCTCAGCACTTTGGGAGGCCAAGGTGGGCAGATCACTTGAGGTCAGGAGTTCAAGACCAGCTTGGCCAACATGGTGAAACCCCATCTCTACTAAAAATACAAAAATTACCTGGGCGTGGTGGCAGGAGCCTGTAATCTCAGCTACTCGGGAGGCTGAGGCAGGAGAATTGCTTCAACCTGGGAGGTGGAGGTTGCAGTGAGCCAAGATCACGCCTCCAGCCTGGGCAACAGAGTGAGACCCTGTCTCAAAAAGAAAAAAAAAAAAAGATGCCAGGACCCCTAAATCCTATAGGAGAAGGAAGGTTCTTAAGTCGCTCAAACACACACATCTGTTGGGAGGGCAGATTCTCCTGCAGTCTGGGCCTTTCTCCCGCAGAGGGCAGGGACAGGTGGCCCAAGGGAGAGCAATTCAGGCAATTTGTGTGATCCAGGAAGGCCATGCCTCTGGTCTCCCGAGAGCCTGTTCATCACCCCCATGGGGAGTCAGGCCCCTTTCACAGTGGCTGGGGAAGACAGAGACTGAGCAGTGAGAAGGTTCTGTCTGGTTTTCTTTTTTTCTTTTAATTTAATTATTTTTTTCCGAGACAGAGTCTTGCTCTGTCACCTAGGCTAGAGTGCAGTGGCGTGATATTGGCTCACTGCAACCTCCACCTCCTAGGTTCAGGCAATTTTCCCACCTCAGCCTCCTGAGTAGCTGGGATTATAGACATGCACCACACAGCTGGCCAATTTTTGTATTTTTAGTAGAGACAGGGTTTTGCCATGTTGGCTAGGCTGGTCTTGATCTCTTGAACTCAAGTGATACACCCGCTTTGGCCTCCCAAAGTGCTGGAATTACAGGCGTGAGTCACTGCGCCTGGCCTTTTTTTTTTTTTTAATAATATTTTACAAAAATTGATATTAAACTGTTCTCACTCTTGGCCTCTGGCTTTCATTGCTCATTGCTCATCTGTTGTTCAGAGATGGCCGAGGTCACGGGCCACTTCTTTTTTTTTTTTCTTTTTTGAGACGGAGTCTCGTTCTGTCACCCAGGCTGGAGTTCAGTGGTGCCATCTCGGATCGCTGCAACCTCTGCCTCCCGGGTTCAAGCAATTCTCCTGCCTCAGCCTCCCAAGTAGCTGGGATTACAAGTGCCCGCCACCACACCCGGCTTTTTTTTTTTTTTTTTTTTTTGAGACGGAGTCTCACTCTGTCACCCAGGCTGGAGTGCAGTGGCACGATCTCGGCTCATTGCAAGCTCCACCTCCTGGGCTCACGCCATTCTCCTGCCTCAGCCTCCTGAGTAGCTGGGACTACAGGAGCCCGCCACCACGCCCAGCTAATTTTTTGTGTTTTTAGTAGAGTTGGGGTTTCACCATGTTAGCCAGGATGGTCTTGATCTCCTGACCTCATGATCTGCCCACCTCGGCCTCCCAGATTGCTGGGATTACAGGCGTGAACCACCGCACCCGGCCCAGGCTCCTTTTTTTAAATGGACCTCAGGCGTGCAGAATTTGATGACTCAGAATTTTTGGTTCGTGACATACTTATTGATCCTGCTTTTACTTTATGTTTGTTTATCATTTGAATAACACTGCCCCCCACACCGACCATGACATTGATGGTAACTGCTCTCTGCCCACATTTATCTTTCCCTTGATTTTTGCAAAGGCTTTCATCCCATTTATATGTATGGAAAAGATACCTGGCAGCCTGCGATCTTCTGAGGCATGCTTTTTTTTTTTTTTTCATTCCACATTGCATTTCAAAATGCAGAAGATATTCTGTGTTTCTATTACTGTAGGATATTAGGGCATTCAGCCATAACACTGGAGGGAATTTTCCTTTTTTTCTTTTTCTTTTTTTTTTTTTTGAGACGGAGTCTTGCTCTGTCACCCAGGCTGGAGTGCAGTGGCGCTATCTCGGCTCACTGCAAGCTCTGCCTCCCAGGTTCATGCCATTCTCCTGCCTCAGCCTCCCGAGTAGCTGAGACTACAGGTGCCCGCCACCACACCCGGGTATTTTTTTTGTATTTTTACTAGAGACGGGGTTTCACCATGTTAGCCAGGGTGGTCTCGATCTCTTGACCTCGTGATTCGCCCATCTCAGCCTCCCAAAGTGCTGGGATTACAGGCGTGAGCCACCATGCCTGGCCTTTTTTTTTTTTTTTTTTTTTTTTTTAATTGAGACAGGGTCTTGCTTTGCCCAGGCTGGAGTGCAGTAGTGCAGTTATAGCTCACTGCAGCCTGGACCTCCTGGGCTCAAGCAGTCCTCCTGCCTCAGCCTCCCAAATAGCTGGGACTACAGGAGCATGCCACCATGCCTGGGTAATTTTTGTTTTGTTTTTGAGATGGAGTCTTGCTCTGTCACCCAGGCTGGAGTGCAGTGGCGCAATCATAGCTCACCGCAGCCTCTACCACCCAGGCTCAGGCAATCCTCCCAACTCAGCCACCTGAGTAGCTGAGACTAACCACTGTGTCCACCTATTTTTTTTTTCTGTAGAGATGGGATCTCACTATGTTGCCCAGGCTGGTCTTGAACTCCTGGCTTCAAGCAATCCTCCCGCCCCAGCCTCCCAAAATGTTGGGTATGGGCATGAACCACTGCACCCAGCCTGGATTAATCTCAAAAATAATATATTGAGCAAAATAAACCAGGCAGAAAATAGGACACAATGTGTGTGTTTCCATGGATTTGAAGCGCAAAACAGACACAGTGAATCCACGGCACTAGAGACTAGAGCAGTGGCTGCCTCCAGTTGTTGGGAAAGGAGCACGGAACACTTTCTGCAATGATGGGAATGTCCAATATACTTATCGGGGTGCTGGTTAAATGGGGGATATACACTTGCCAAAAGTCATCTAATTGCCCACCTGAAAATCTGTACATTTTGTTATAGTAAGTTATGCCGCAATTGTAAAAACCGAGTTTGGGGTTAAAAAAAAATACATATCTATAAGAAACCATGACCCGAGCTCAGATTTTATCTTATTAAAAACATGTTTTGGTGCCAGGCGCGGTGGCTCACGCCTGTAATCCCAGCATTTTGGGAGGCCGAGGCGGGCAGATCACAAGGTCAGGAGATGGAGACCATCCTGGCTAACACAGTGAAACCCCTTCTCTATGGTGGCGGGCGCCTGTAGTCCCAGCTACTCGGGAGGCTGAGGCAGGAGAATGGAGTGAACCCGGGAGGTGGAGCTTGCAGTGAGCCAAGATGGCGCCACTGCACTCCAGCCTGGGCGACAGAGCGAGACTCCATCTTAAAAAAAATTAAATAAATAAATAAATAAATAAACATGTTTTGACTAGGTGCAGTGGCTTATACCTGCAATCCCAGCAATTTGGAAGTCCGAGGCAGGAAGATCTCTTGAGCCAGGAGTTCAAGACCAGCTTGTGCAACATAGTGAGACCCTGTCTCTACAAAAAATAAAAAATTAGGCTGGGTGCGGTGGCTCACACCCATAATCCTAGCACTTTGGGAGGCCAAGGCGGGTGGATTGCTTGAGGTCAGGAGTTTGAGACCAGCCTGGCCAACGTGGTGAAATCCCGTCTCTACTAAAAGTACAAAAATTAGCCAGGCATGGTGGTGAGTGCTTGTAATCCCAGCTACTCGGGAGGCTGAGGCAGGAGAATCACTTGAATGCGGGAGGCAGAGGTTGTGGGGAGCTGAGATCGTGCCACCGTACTCCAGCCTGGGTGACAGAGTGAGACCCAGTCTCAGAAATAAATAATAAAATAAGAAATTAGTTGAGTGTGGTGTCACGCACCTATAGTCCCAGCTACTCGGGCAGGAGGATCACGTAAGCCCAGGAGTTAGAGGCTGCAGTGAACTGTGATTGGTGCCGTTGCATTCCAGCCTGGGTGACAGAGCACGAACCTGTCTGGGAAAAAAAAAAAAAAAGGAAAAGAAAATCCCCATGCACCTAACCACCAGCCACACTATAGTTGGGTGAGCTGGAAGGTGTGAGCATCTGTAGGTCCTCAGCCCATGAAGATGCCCTGCCTGCCTGGTGGTGGGAGACACAGTGGCCTTTATCACATTCTCCATAATTGGATATGAGGGAAGCATGGGACCGTGACCCCTGGAGGGACTGCAGGGATTGCCCACGCCAGTCATCTCACTGTACAGCTGGAGAAACTGAAGCCAGGACAAGGAGTGGGCCAAGGTTCCATAGTGAGCAGGGGATGCTCTGTCTGCCTGGTGCACAACCCTCCTGTCCAGCTCCCAGTGCCCCCACCCACCCCACCCCAGGCCAGGAGCGGCCTCTGGCACCCAAGACAGGTGCAGAGTCAATCAGCAAATACTACAAGCCTCGCCCAGAACTGGGAGCTGGGGTAGCAGTGACAAAGCCTCCTTGGTCTCTGCCCACTCAGCAGCCCAGGCCAGGGTGGAGTTGGTAAACTTCAGCAGTGATCTAATGGCCAGACACCTCCCTAAGTAGGCACTGACGGTTGGAGGGGAGGTGTGGGTAGTGTTGAGGAGGGGACGTAGTGGAGCATGGTTCGTGAAGGTGTCCACCCTGAGACCTGAAGGCTGGGGAGTGGAATGAGGGTCCCGGGGGAGGATACGGCACACTAACGAACGAGGAGGCGCCCAGCAGTGGCCCCATGGGGGCTGGACAGAAACAGCCCAAGTCACGGAGCTGGAAGCCATCCTGGGGCCCTTGGTGTTATCATGGAGACAGTGGGAGCCACGGGAGGTGCTTGACCCAAGGAGCGAGGTCATCACATTTGTGCTTTGAGAAGTGCCTTTGCCTGTACTGTACAGCGTGGATGGACAGGGTCTCAGGAGACCCAGGAAGAGGCTTGTGAGATGACAGCAGGGATGAAAAAGGCTGGATTTGAGGTCCCCAAGGGGTCAGTCAAAGAGGGCTTGGTGAATCGAGTGGCACACAGCAGGTGGACACCAGGAAGAGTCTGGGTGGGGGTCAGGGGGATGGGTCACTGCTGGAGGTGAAAGGTCTTCCCAGTTCTGGTCCTGGCTCGTGCAAGGTGTGACCTCTGGCAGATCCCGTCCCTTCTCTGATCCTGGGTTTTTGTTTAAAGATGATCTATTCCATGCTAAAATTCTTTCCCCTTAAGATGCTAATCAAGGGACTATAGGTCCCTGTATGGTGGCTCAATCCTGTAATCCTAACCCTTCGGGAGGCAAAGGTGGGAGGATGGCTTGAGGCCAGGAATTCAAGACCAGCCTCAGCAACATAGTTAGACCCTGTCTCTACACGAAAAGATTTTTTTTTAAGACAGAGTCTCGCTGTGTCACCCAGGCTGGAGTGCAGTGGCATGATCTCAGCTCACTGCAACCTCTGCCTCCTGGGGTCAAGCGATTCTCCTGCTTCAGTCTCCGGAGTAGCTGAGATTACAGGCACCTGCCACCACGCCCAGCTAATTTTGGTATTTTTAGTAGAGACAGGGTTTCACCATGTTGCCCAGGCTGGTCTCGAACTCCTGGTCTCAAGTGATCCACCCGCCTCTGCCTCCCAAAGTGCTGGGATTGCAGGTGTGAGCCACCATGCCTGGCACCCCCCTTTCTTATTTGCTGGTGAACTGGTGGTAAACTGTGCCACAGATTTAAAAAAAAAAAAAACACTTGTAATTCTCTTTTCTCTGCTACTTTAGCTGGTTCATAAATCAGACATCTCAGAAAAGGTTTTGCCAGGCAAGTTTACCTGGAAGTGTCTCTCCCCTGCTGCACCCTCCTTCCCCCTCTGCCTTGGGGTTTCAGGTCTGTTGCTGGAACAGGGCTCTGGCTGGGCCAGGGCTCCTCGCCCAGGATGCCCAGGGAGAGGCCCCGTGTGAGGGCCTGACTCTGCGGGCTTAGGAATCCCAGAGTAAACAGATCAAGTTACCTGTGTCAGCCGGGCCATCCACAACAGGCAGCAGCAGCAATTGAAGATGGGAGTGTTCTTCTCAGAGATGACTCAGCTACTCAGCTTCTCGGCCCAGATCGGGGACCACCCTGGGCCTCAGCTCTGCCCTGGTGCTTGGCTCCAGGCCAAGGCCGGGGTTGGGTGGTGGGGGGAACAATGGATTTTGAGAGTCAGTGGCTGGTGTGCAATTCTCTTTCACCCCACCAGGCTGAGGGCACATGTCAACAACTCTGGCAGCGTGAGGGGACCAGCTGCGACCTGGGTCATCTGTAAGGTGGTGGCTCAGCCTCTCTAAGCCTCAGTTGCCTCATCTGTCAAATGGGCAGCAACAGCTATGTCAGAGAGTTGATGGGACAAATGAATCAACCGCCCGGGTGTGGTGGTTCATGCCTGTAATCCCAGCATTTTGGGGGGCTGAGGCGGTTGGATCACTTGAGATCAGGAGTTCGAGACCAGCCTGGTTAACATAGTGAAACCCCATCTCTACTAAAAAATACAAAAATTAGCTGGGCATGGTGGCAGGCGCCTGTAATCCCAGCTACTTGGGAGGCGGAGGCAGGAGAATTGCTTGAACCCGGTAGGCAGAGGTTGCGGTGAGCCGAGATTGCGTCACTGCACTCCAGCCTAGGCAACAAAGCAAGACTCCGTCTCCAAGAAAAAAAAAAAAAAGAATCAACCAAGGTGGTTGAAGCCAGGGTGCAGGGAGAGAAGTGCAAGTCTGCAGGGAGAGCCTGGACCATGGTGGTTGGAAGCCCAGGAGTGAGCATCTGGGGAGAGGGTGTAATAGGAGATGAGAGACGACCCCTTGAGAGCTGCCTACGCTGGGGAGGAGAAGAGCAGCCACCACAGGAAGCAGAGGACTGTCAGTGTCCAAGACGTCAGAGGAGACCGTGCGGGAGATTGCAGATTCCAGGGAGGCCTTGGCCAGCCATGTGGGTCCAGGCAACAGGTCATGGGCAGGGAGGCACAAGGGAAGACGTCATCGGGCTGGGCTCAGGGAGGTCACTGATGAACGGAGCGGGATGCCCTGGAGGGCTTGAGGACGTGGCCCAATGGCAGGTGGTCGGGGTAAGGAGGTGGCCTCAGGAGGAGATGGGGATGAAGGAAGACTTTTTTTTTAGGACAGAAGAAACTTGATCCTATTTATTGCTAAGACTAAGAAGCCAAGTATGAAACCGACAGCTCAGGGAGGTGCTTGGGAGAGTCATGAAAGGAGGAAGGAGTTTGCCAGAGTGCTGTTTTCCTGAGGCCAGAGAGAAGGGATCAGATGGGTGGACAGGCCAGACACAGTGGCTGACACAGTGGCTCACATGTAACCCCAGCACTTTGGGAGGCTGAGGCGGGAGGATCACTCGAGGCCAGGAGTTCGAGACCAGTTTGAGCAATATAGTGAGACCCTGTCTTTACAAAAAAATGAAAAAAAAAAAAGGCCGGGCACGGTGGCTCACGCTTGTAATCCCAGCACTTTGGGAGACCGAGGCGGGCGGATCATGAGGTCAGGAGATTGAGACCATCCTGGCTAACACGGTGAAACCCTGTCTCTACTAAAAATACAAAAAAATTAGCCAGGCATGGTGGCAGGCACCTGTAGTCACAGCTACTTGGGAGGCTGAGGCAGGAGAATGGCGTGAACCTGGGAGGCAGAGCTTGCAGTGAGCCGAGATCATGCCACTGCGCTCCAGCCTGGGCAACAGAGCAAGACTGCGTCTCAAAAAAAAAAAAAAATTAGCCAGGCATGGTGGTGTGTACCTGTAGTTGCAGCAACTTGGGAGGCTGAGTTGGGAGGATCACTTGAGCCCAGGAGTCTGAGGCTGCTGCAGTGAGCTATGACTGCATCACTGCACTCCAGCCTGGGCAACAGAGCAAGACTTTATCTCAAAAAAAAAAAAAAGATGGGCGAATGATCAGAGACTTTCTGAGAGGGTGCCCTTCCCAGTTGGTCTGTGTCTTAGGAAATCTGGGGTGTGTGTTGGGGTGCTGAGCAAGGCAGAGGGGCAGGGGTGGAAGAGGTCTGGGGGAGGGAAGGTTAAGCTGACCCAGCAAGGGGTAGATGGGCCCCGGTGGCAGGAAGGGGGATTTCTGAGCTGCATGTCTTTGCTGAGGGTGAGTTTGGGCAGAGGTCATCTAAGGATGGGGCCAGCCGAGGGGCCCCCAGGAACACCCAGCCCCACAGGCCAGCAGTACACGGTAGGGTTGGAGTGGTGGTGGCCGCAGGAGATGAGTGTGACCGGGAACCAGGGCCACTCCCAGAGTTACCATGTGACAGGACAACAACTCCAGCCCATGCCCCAGCGTGTCCCCAAAGTCCTTTAATAGCAAGGCCTCCAGAGAATGTTGCGTCCCAATTCATAGTGTCAGGGCAGGACTGCAGGTTACTTTAGGGTCACATATTTCCATTGTGGTCTTCAGCATGTTGACACAAACTGTCTGCATGCTGGGAAAGGTCAGAGATTGTGTGTCTCGGTGTGCTTTCTCAGCTCTGGTGTAAGGAACACAGAAGGTTGAATGTGCTTCTGGTTATGTCGGGAAAAGACCAGGGAAGTGTCGTGCCATTAACCAAAACCAGAAATGGATGCTGTTTATGAAAGCAGCCACAGCATGCCTGGTGCTTTTTTTTTTTTTGGAGACAGAATCTCGCTCTGTCACCCAGGCTGGAGTGCAGTGGCGCGATCTCGGCTCACTGCAACCTCCGCCTCCCAGATTCAAGCAATTCTCCCACCTCAGCCTCCTGAGTAGCTGGGATTACAGGTGCCTGCCACCACGCCCGGCTAATTTTTTTTTGTATTTTTAGTAGAGACGGGGTTTTACCATGTTGGCCAGGTTGGTCTCAAACTCCTGACCTCAGGTGAACCATCCCCTCGGCCTCCCAAAGTGCTGGGATTACAGGCATGAGCCACCGCGCCCGGCCGCCTGGTGCTTTTTTAATTTTATTTTTTATTTTTTGAGACAAGGTCTTACGCTGTCACCTAGGCCGAAGTGCAGTGGTGCAATCACAGCTCATCACTGCAGCCTCGACCTCCTGGGCTTGAGCAATCCTCCTTCCTCAGCCTCCTGAGTAGCTGGGACTACAGGTGCATGCTACCAGGCCCTGTTAATATTTTTTTTTAGATTTTTTTTTTGGTAGAGGCAGGGTCTCACTGTGTTGCCCAGGCTGGTCACCTGGTGATTTTATCTACAAAGGGACATTGATTCCCCACCCTGGTTCCTGAAGGCAGACAGTATGTACCCCTCTTGGAAGTTTGGGGAACAGGCTCAGGAGCTGTGTAAATATGCCCAAGACCACAGGATCGAACAGCCAACTCCAAAGCATTGCCTTTTTTTTTTTTTGAGACAGAGTCTCACTAGTCCGGAGTGCAGTGGTGTGATCTACACTGCAGCCTCGAACTCCCAGGTTCAAGCGATTCTCGTGCTTCAGTCCCCCAGGTAGCTAGGATTACAGGCATGTGCCACTACGCCAGGCTAATTTTTGTATTTTTAGTAGAGATGGGTTTTCACCATGTTGGCCAGGCTGGCCTCGAACTCCTGACCTCAAGTGATCTGCTTGCCTTGGCCTCCCCAAAGTGCTGGGATTACAGGCATGAACCACTGTGCCTGGCCAGGTGTTTTTGTTTTTTTTTTAAATCATAAGTAGTTGTAACTCTGTAAAAAGTGTACCCTGCCATACACAATGTCTGGGGACTTGTTTTTCAACCCACAGTGCTGTGACATTGCTGATACTTGTTTATCTCTTTGCTTAACACTGTGGATGGTTCATGTTGCCTGCTGGGTAATATTCTGCCATTCTTCATGTCCTCTCCTGCTGATGGGCATCTGGGCTGTGGCCAGGTTTTTGTTACTGAGAACAGGCTGTCACGGATCCTCTTGTCTGTGTCTCCCGTTACGTATCTGTAAAGGGTGCATGTCTCAGAATGGAAACGCTGAGTCATGGGGCGTATGCTACAAGTCCCCCCTGCCTTCAGGAAGTCCCCAACCCGTACAGGCAGCTCAGCCCCGGCTCGGCAGACCCCAGGCAGCTAACTCCTTTAACCCAACTAAGCTTCGGTTTTCCCGTCTGTGAAATGGGAATCATTCTACAGCACATTCATTAAGGTCACACTGATTACAGACCTCGTACCAAGCCCTGTGCTGGGCATGGCGGCCCTGGAGGAGGAGATGCAGCCTTGTCTCTTGCTCGCAAAGACAGAAATGGGGCGGGGCACGGTGGCTCACACCTGTAATCCCAGCACTTTGGGAGGCTGAGGTGGGTGGATCACCTGAGGTCAGGAGTTGGAGACCAGCCTGGCCAACATGGCGAAACCCCATCTCTACTAAAAATGCAAAAATTAGCGGGGCATGGTGGCACACACCTGTAATCCCGGCTACTCGGGGAGCTGAGGCAGGAGAATCACTTGAACATGGGAGGCAGAAGTTGCAGTGAGCCGAGATCGCACCACTGCACTCCAGCCTGGGCAACAGAGTGAGACTCCATCTCAAAAAAAAAAAAAAAAAAAAAAGGCAGACAGACATGGAAGTGATTAATCTCAGTACTATAATGGATATCGCCATGGCTGGGGAGGTGATAGGCTGGTAGGGGTGAAAGGAAGTTGGACTGGGGACCGTGAGAATTGGGGAGATCCAAAATCAGTGATCATTTTGCACCAAGACCTGACAAGCAGAAGGTATACTCTTGTCTACAAGGACTGAGATCTCCTTGGGGGGAGCCTGGGTTCCTGGGGCTTTCCCCAGATCTTTGTGATTTCTTCTGCCCTATCCATCCCCTTTGGTAGCCCTGCCTCTCCATAATCACCCTGGAATTTGCCAAACACCATCACCCACGCTGTCTGATTGGATTCAGCCTGGTCGCCCGTGACACAAGCACATTTTATTTTCTATCTTTTTTTTTCTTTTTTTGAGATGGAGTCTCACTCTGTCGCCCAGGCTGGAGTGCAGTGGCGCGATCTCAGCTCACTGCAAGCTCCACCTCCCGTGCTCACGCCATTCTCCTGCCTCAGCCTCCCGAGTAGCTGGGACTACAGGCACCCGCCACCGCGCCCAGCTAATTTTTTGTATTTTTTTTTTCAGTAGAGACACGGTTTCACCGTGTTAGCCAGGGTGGTCTCGATCTCCTGACCTCGTGATCCACTCACCTCGGCCTCCCCAAGGGCTGGGATTACAAGCATGAGCCACCGCACCCGGCCTTATTTTCTATCTTAAGGCAAAATAACTCCTGTTCAGGATCGCCCTTCCAGTTGCAGAACCAATTAAGGGCTTTTTTCTAAGTAAAACTTGAAAGGGCAGCTTCTAGTTGCTAAAGACAGGAGAAATGAAATGTAAATAACACGAGAGACCCATTGAAAACCCAGGAGAAACAGATGAAAAAGCTGCAGCTGGTTAGCAGAACAAAGCCGGGCATTCACCCTCCCCCCGATTTTCCTCTGGGAAGAAAAGCTCCATGAACTGTGGCCCCGAAACACTTCTATCACTCACTGCCTTTTTTTTTTTTTTTTTTTTTTTGAGATGGAATCTTGCTCTGTCTCCAAGCTGGAGTGCAGTGGCTGGCGTGATCTTGGCTCACTGCAACCCCTGCCTCCCAGATTCAAGTGATTCTCCCGCCCCAGCCTCCTGAGTAGCTGGGCACTCAGCCTCCTGAGTAGCAGGCGCACACCACCATGCCCAGCTAATTTTTGTATTTTTAGTAGAGACGGGGTTTCACCTTGTTGTCCCGGATGGTCTTGATCTCTTGACCTTGTGATCCGCCTGCCTTGGCCTTCCAAAGTGCTGGGATTACAGGCATGAGCCACCGCGCCCGGCCGCTCACTGCGTGTTTTAAAAGGCCCCTGTCAGCCGGGTGCACTGGCTTACACCTGTAATCCCAGTACTTTGGGAGGCCGAGGCTTGGGAGGATCGCTTGAGGTCAGGAATTTGAGACCAGCCTGGGCAACATAGCAAGACCCCGTCTCCACAAACATTTAAAAATTAGCCAGCCATGGTGATGTGCATCTATAGTCCCAGCTACTCAGGAGGCTGAGGTGGGAGGACCACTTGAGCCCAGGAGTTGGAGGCTGCAGTGAACTATGATCATGCCAGTGCACTCCAGCCTGGGTGACAGAGCAAGACACTGTCTCTAAAGGAATGAATGAATGAATGAATGCTACTGTTAGCCACATCAGAAAAACATCAGCAGGGAGGCAGCCAGAAGTTGGCTGGCAGGGGCAGGGGTGGGCAGTCTCCGGAAGCAGGTGAGGCCCTGATCCCTTCATTCCCTCACTTGGATAGGCTGCAGGAGATGTGGCCAAACCTCCCTCATTCCAGACAGAATGGGCCACACTTTGAAAGAAACACCCCTGTCCTTCCAGGCTGGTGCTGTAATCCCAAGTGGGCTGAGAAAGGACCTGCTTTAAGTAAGGCCCGAGAATGTTTTGTAAACAGGGCCTATAACATCCAAGACGCCTGTCTTGGGGCCTGTTTGCAGAGCCTCTCTTTTTTGGGTGGGTGGGTCACTTGAGCAGTGAAGGCTCTGGGCTTGTTTCAAAACCCCGCTGGCCAGGCTCTTTTTTGTTTGTTTTTGAGATGGAGTCTCGCTCTGTTACCCAGTCTGCAGTGCAGTGGCATGATCTCGGCTCACTGCAATCTCCACCTCCCCGGTTCAAGCAATTCTGCGTCAGCCTCCCGAGTAGCTGGGACTACAGGTGCGCGCCACCACGCCTGGCTAATTTTTTGTATTTTTAGTAGAGGTAGAGATGGGGTTTCACCATGTTGGCCAGACTGGTCTCGAACTCCTGACCTCAGGTGAGCCACCTGCCTCTGCCTCCCAAAGTGCTGGGATTACAGGCATGAGCCACTGCACCCAGCAGGCCAGGCTATTAATTCCAAAGGTCCTGGCTTGTTCCCAGGCAAGCTAGCAGGTGACCTTGGCAGAGTCTGGCTGACACAGAGTATGGTGACCCTGCAGGAATCAAGCCTGCATCTTTTATTTTATTTTTTAAGACAGGATCTCACTGTGTCACCCAGGCTGGAGTGCAGTGGTGCAATCATGGCTCACTGCAGCCTCCGCCTCCCAGGCCCAAGTGATCCTCCCACCTCCACCTCCTGAGTAGCTGAGACTACAGGGGCACACCACCATGCTCAGGTAATTTTTAAATTTTTTTGTAGAGATGGAGTCTTACCATGTTGCCCAGGCTGGTCTCAAACTCCTAGGCTCAAGTGATCCCCCTGCCTTGGCCTCCAGAAGTGCTGAGATTACAGATGTGAGCCACCGCGCCCGGCCTCCCGCCTGGAGTTTTTTAACAGCACTTAGCACCCATACTGGGTACTTTCTGGCATTTGCTCCTCTTTCCAGCTCTTTGTAGGCAGAGTACAGAGAGGCCACAAACCCCGGGGGCCTGGCATCTGGGGTGTGCACCTGGCCATGACTCATTAGAAAAGGCGGAGAGAGAATTAGAACTGGAGACCTTAGCTTCTCCAAGAGGAGGGTTAAGTCAAGATGATGCCACATGAGGGCAGACAGGGTTTTTTCTCATTGAGGCTTCTTTGATTTTGAAGGCAAGTGTGTGGCCACAGGCCATCCTTTCGCTCAGCAATCCTTGAGTGTTGATTCCATGTCCAGCCAGTGTCAGATACAAGGTGTGTGTACGGAGGACCCTCTGTCCTTGCTTCTGAGCGCTGTGGTCTACTGAGGGAAGTAGACCCTTAAAGTATGATTTGTAATAGATTGTGGGAAGCACTCGGCACTGTCACATGCAGTTGCATGGGTTGTGCGCTGCACAACTCTAAGGGCATAATTCACATAGACTGTGAGATGAATTGTATCCTAGGGCTGTGATGCACCACCAGCCCAGTTGTCCACAGTGGCCTGAAAGTCATCTCATAGACATAGTGTGGGGCTGTAGGCTGTCAAAGGAGGACAACCTCTATGATGGGAGATGAGGGAAAGGAAGTGGCTGGTGTTGATCAGGCAGGGTTTTTGTTTTTTTTTTTTTAATTTTTAGTAGAGGCAGGGTTTCACCATGTTGGCCAGACTGGTCTTGAACTCCCAACCTCAAGAGATCCATTCACCTCCACCTCCCAAAGTTCTGGGATTACAGGTATGAGCCACCATTTCTGGCCAGGAAAGGTTTTACCCCAGAGGAGATGTTTGAACTGGGTCTTAAAGGATGAACATGAAATCTTCAGCCAACAAAGTTGGGAGGCTATGCTGGGTAGATGAAAGAACATTTAGGCTGGGCGAGGTGGGTCATGCCTGTAATCCCAGCACTTTGGGAGGCTGAGGCGGGTGGATCTTCTGAGGTCAGGAGTTTGAGACCAGCCTGGCCAACATGGTGAAACCCTGTCTCTACTAAAAACTCCAAAAAATTAGCTGGATGTGGTGGCGGGCGCCTGTAATCCCAGCTACCTGGGAGGCTGAGGCTGGAGAATCGCTTGAACCCCAGAGGCAGAGGTTGCAGTGAGCCAAGATGTGGCACCACTGCACTCCAGCCTGGGCAACAAGCGTGAAACTTCATCTCAAATAAAAAAGAAAGAACATTCGTCACTGTTGGAGGCATGAGACTGTGGAGGCAGGTGCGTTGAGGCCAGGAGTGGAAGAGGGAGACAAGACAGAAGGGTAGTCCAGTCTTGAGTTTGCTTTGTGGGGAGTGGTGGAGAGGCAAAAACGGATCTCAGAGTGACCTTCGAGTAAAGAAGACATGGGGCTGTGTGGAGTGGCTCACACCCATAATCCCAGCACTTTGGGAGGTGGAGGTGGGAGGATCACTTGAGGCCAGGAGTTCAAGACCCACCTGGGCAACATAGCAAGATCCCATCTCTATAAAAATTTAAAAAATTAGCTGGGTGTGGTGGTGTGCACCTGTAATCCCGGGTACTTGGGAGGCTAAGGATGGCCCGCAAGGGGGTGCTGTGCTTGGACTGGGGAATGGCCAACTGCCCAGCAATAGGGAGATGACTTCGAGAAGCAAAGATAGGAAGGTTAAGCTTGATAAGACAAGAAATGCAGCAGATGTAATCCAAAGGCAAAGGGGGGACCTGTAGCTTGAATTAAGAAGTGGTGTGGGCTGGGCGCAGTGACTCACTCCTATAATCCCAGCACTTTGGGAGGCCAAGGCAGAAGGATCACTTGAGCTCAGAAGTGCAAGACCAGTCGGGACAACGTAGTGAGACCCTGTCTCTACAAAAAATAAAAAATTAGCCGGCTGGGCATGGGTAATGCACGCCTGTAGTCCAAGCTAGTTGGGAGGCTGAGCTAGGAGGATTGCTTGAGCCCAGGAGGTCAAGGCCACAGTGAGCCAAGATCATGCCACTGCACTCCAGCCTGGGCAACAGAGCAAGAGCCTGTCTCAAAAAAGAAAAAAAAAAAAAAAGGCCGGGTGCGGTGGCTCATGCCTGTAATCCCAGCACTTTGGGAGGCGGAGCCGGGTGGATCATGAGGTCAGGAGTTTATGACCACCCTGGCTAACACGATGAAACCCTGTCTCTACTAAAAATACAAAAAATTAGTCGGGCGTGGTGGTGGGCGCCTGTAGTCTCAGCTACTCTGGAGGCTGAGGCAGGAGAATGGCGTGAACCCAGGAGGCGGAGCTTGCAGTGAGCCGAGATTGCGCCACTGCACTCCAGCCTGGGTGACAGAGCGAGACTCCATCTCAAAAAAAAAAAAAAAAAAAAAAAAACAACAACAAGGAGGTCAAGGAGAGGGAGGAGTCTGGGGGCCGACTCCTGAGGGTAGTGACCAGAGCGACGGCAGCAGGTGCCTCCGGCTGATCTGCCCTCCCCGAAGCCCACCCGTGCCGAGGTGCACATTCTGAGATGTCCCCTAGCTGGCAGAGCCACAGAATTGCTCAGCCCCTGGGGACAGGTCACTTCAACAACATATTTATACTCCGTTTACACACAGGCCGCTGTTGCCTTCTGCTGGTGTTTATGCCTTCCGGAATAATTTGTGCGGTCTATTTCTGGAGTGTCCCTCAGAGCCGAGGGCGCCGGGAGCAAGGGCCGCGTCTGTTTGCCTCCCCGGGGCTCTCGGGCAGCTGGGCAGCCCCACCCCACCCAGGGAGTACCAGCTCATGGCAGTCTGGTGACTGTGGGAGTCCAGGGCTCTTTCTGAGTTCATGGGGGTCCCTAGGAAGGGTCCAGGCCTGACCAGTGATTGCCACTTACTGTGGTGATAATTTGCTGTTGTTCTCAAAGCAATTATAGATTTCACGTATCCAGGCAATACTTGCAAATTGGATATGGGACAGGCAGGGACAGAGACGTAATTAGAAAACTGAAGAGCCGGAGGGAAATTGATGAGCGTGGGTGGTTGTTCCAGCAGAATGCGTTACGCCCCTCCCAGGGGGAGAGAGGCCACCTCATGGATGACCCTAGCACAGGATTTTTTTTTTTTTTTTTCCCCGAGATGGAGTGGCTCTGTTGCCTAGGCTCTAGTGCAGTGGCACGATCTCAGCTCACAGCAACCTCCCAGGTTCAAATAATTCTCCTGCCTCAGCCTTCCAAGTGGCTGGGATTACAGACGCCCACCACCACGCCGGGCTAATTTTTATATTTTTAGTAGAAATGGGGTTTTGCCATGTTGGCCAGGCTGGTCTCAAACTCTTGACCTCGAGTGATCCGCCCACCTCAGCCTCCCAAAATGCTGGGATTACAGGCGTGAGCCACCGCAGCAGACCAAGCATTTTCTTTACATTCAAGTTTATCAAGGTATGATTTACATACAGCGTAATTCACAAATTCACCCCTTTTTAGCAGATAGTTCTTTGGGTTTTGACAAATTTATATGATCTTGTGAGGTTTTTTTGAGATGGAGTCTGAATCTAATCACCCAGGCTGGAGTGTAGTGGCGTGATCTTGGCTAATTGCAACCTCCGCCTCCTGGGTTCAAGCGAGTCTTCTGCCTCTGCCTCCCCAGTAGTTGGGATTACAGGTGCCCACTGCCACGCCTGGCTAATTTTTGCATTTTTTTGTAGAGACAGGGTTTCACCATGTTGGCCAAGTGGTCTCAAACTCCTGACCTCAGGTGATCCTCCCACCTCTGCCTCTCAAAGTGCTGGGATTACAGGCGTGAGTCACCGTGCCCGGCCTAAATTTATGTGAATTTATATGATCTTGTAACCACCGCCACACTCAAGAGGCCCATCCCCCCAGAATTTCCCAGTGCCCCTCTCTAGTCAGTGTCTACCCGTCCCCTGATAACTGCTAATCATTTGTCCCTATAGTTTGGCCTCTTCCAGAATGTTGTATGAATAGAAACATACAGTATAGAATCTTTTGAGCTTGGCTGTTTAACTTAGCAAAATGCACTTTAGATCTACCCGTGTTAATGCATGAATCGGTAGTTTATTCCTTTTAATTGCTGACCCGTATTTCCTCATGTGGATGTGCCTTAGTTTATCCTCTTTCCAGTTGAAGGAAGGACATTTGGGTTGTTTCCAATTTAGAGCAAATACAAACAGGCAATATGTATTCGCATCTAAGTCTTTGTGCGGGCACCTGTTTTCACTTCTCGTGGATGAATACCCAGGAGCAGGATAGCTGAGGCTGGGTGGTCAATGTGTGCTGAACTTTATAAGAAATTGCCAGCTGGGTGCAGTGGCTCACGCCTGTAATCCCAGCACTTTGGAAAGCCAAAGAGGGAGGATCGCTTAAGGACAAGAGTTCAAGACCAGCCTAGACAACATAGCAAGACCTCATCTCTACAAAAACAACTTTAAAAACTAGCTGGACTGTCTGGGCACGGTGGCTCACGCCTATAATCCCAGCACTTTGGGATGCTGAGACGGGTGGATCACCTGAAGTCAGGAGTTCGAGACCAGCCTGGCCAACATGGAGAAACCTTGTCTTCACTAAAAATACAAAAATTAGCCAGATGTGGTGGCGGGCGCCTGTAAGCCCAGCTACTGGGGAAGCTGAGGCAGGAGAATCACTTGAACCTGGGAGGTGGAGGTTGCAGTGAGCTGAGATGCCACTGCACTCTAGCCTGGGTGACAGGGTGAGAGACTCTGTCTCAAAAAAAAAAAAAAAAATTTAGCTGGACATGGTATTGTGTGCCTGTAGTTCCAGCTACTCAGGAGACTGAGGCAGGGGAATTGCTTGAGCCCAGGCATTCAAGGCCTCCATGAGCTGTGATTGCATCACTGCACGCCAGACTGGGTGACAGAGCAAGACCCTATCTCTAAAAAGAAGAAAGAAACTGCCAAATGAATGTTTGAAGGGCTGGGCCATTTTGTACTCCCACCAGCAGCATAAGAGAGTTCCAGTGGCTCCATATCCTTGTGAAAATTTTCAGGAATAAGTTTTAAAAAGGAGCTGGAGAGGTTCTGTAGATGAGGGGGCTGCAGGGCAGGTGGCAGGAGAGGAGGCCAGGGAGGAGGGCGACCCATGGATACACCAGCCACCCCCATCCCCTGCAACACTGTCCACTCAAAGATCCCTTTTCCATTTGCATATTTGAGAGAGTGATACTTGCCCTTTGCCTGGTGATATGGTTTGGCTGTGTGCCCACCCAAATCTCACCTTGAATTGTAATAATCCCCACGTGTCAAGGGTGGGGGCAGGTGGAGATAATTGAATCATGGGGGTGGTCTCCCTCATACTGTTCTCGTGGCAGTGAATAAGTCTCAGGAGATCTGATGGTTTTATAAAGGTAGTTCCCCTGCACATGCTCTCTTGCCTGTTGCCATGTAAGACGTGCCTTGGCTCCTTCTTTGCCTTCTGTCATGATTGTGAGCACCCCCGCCCCCGCAACCCTGCCAACCACCAACCAGCCACGTGGAACTATGAGTCCATTAAACCTTTTCCCTTTATAAATTACCCAGTCTCGGGTATGTGTTTATTAGCAGCATGAGAACAGACAAATACACCTGGGTTACTTGTGGGCTTCTTTCTGTCCTGGCTCCCCTCAATGGGTGGGGATGCAGAGCCCATGCCTGGCTTTGTGCTTGAGAGCCGGAACACCAGATAAGCGGCCAGGGGTCAGTTTCCTGCAAGCCTCTGCCTGTGCACGCTTGGACTTGCCATCTCTGCTTGCAATACTCTCTAGGGTGCAGTGGGGGTGCGGTTCTGGCTAAATGGGGAACAGGGACACGGGGGTTGAGGGGGTGATGACCCCCATCACCCAAGGACCAAAAGCCTTGAAGCCCAGCCTGAGAGCGGCCTGGACACAGACTTGGGCACCAAAACCATGCCCAGGACTGAGGCCAGCAGGGTCACAGTTCTGGTCCCTGTTTTTGGGGAACAGATGGTCTCGTTTTGGGGGTAGATGAGCAACATACCTCCCCGGCTGAGCGGTGCTATCAGAGGTGATGTGAGGTGGGGCAGAGATCCATGTCCCAAAAATGTCACGGATGGCCGCATTCCTCTCTCTTTAGGGATGGAAAGTTAACCAAGGGCTGGGCTGTCAGTCAGCTGGTGGGAATTAGGCATTTTTGTGACTTGGAGCTCCAGAGTTGCTGAGGAGGAGCCCAAGACAATGGGAGGGGAGATGGGAACAGACACCTAGAGGTTACAGTGGCAGGGCCATGGAAAAGACGGCTCCTCTGCCTGACCCACACTGGAGCCACCCTTTGGCCACTTCTTCCCTCCAAGAAAACTTGGGATCTCGGGCCCTCAGGCCTGGACACAATCATAGGGGCTGACTGGCTCAGAGGTCCCCAAAGATTGCGGGGGTACAGTGGGGACAATCAGCATCTCTGTGCCTCTCCTGAGTGAGAACTGAGTAGGGGGACATGAAGGGAGAGATAAACAACTTACCCGCGGTCACCCAGCAGCCTGGGGCTGGAACTCTGGGTAAACTGAGACATCATCCCCGGGGCACGGGTGGGCAGCTGCCCCAGGGGACCTGCCTGGACTAATGAGATATTCTGTGTCTGTCTGTCCATCCATCCAGGTGCAAGTTCTTCAGTCTGACTGAGACACCAGAGGATTACACTATCATTGTCGATGAGGAAGGATTCCTAGGTAAGTGCTTCTCTCCCTAGGGGCTCGGCTGGACCATGCCCCGAAGTCAGGGCTGGCTACCCACCTCCTTATTTCTGTCCCCAACCCACCTCCTTATTTCTGCCCCCACCTACCTTCTTATTTCTGCCCCCATCTGCTGGTCAGCTAGAAAAACAGCAGAGTGTATTTCCTTCTCTCCCTGGGTTCTGGAGGGTCCCCTCCCCTCCTGCTCTTGAGATCGCCCTAGGAAAGACTCCTGAGTAGTAAGTAGGTATGGCACTACTCAGCTGAGAATTAGATCAACCCAGAAGAAAAGGAACATGTTTCACTGAAACCTGCAAAGTGCTTTAGAACATCTTCAGTCGGGCGCAGTGGCTCATGCTTTTAGTCTCAACACTTTGGGAGGCTAAGGTGGGAGGATCACTTGAGCCCAGGAGTTTGAGACCATAGTGAGACCCCGTCTCTACTAAAAAATTACTTTAAATTAACTGGACATGATGGCATGTTCCTGTGGTCCCAGCTACCTGAGAGACCGAGGCAGGAGGATCGTTTGAGCCCAGGAGTTGGAGGCTGCAGTGAGCTGTTATTGAACCACCGCTTTCCAGGCTGGAAGACAGAGCGAGACTCTATCTCTTAAAAATAAAAAAAATAAAAGTGTCTAGCTGGCAAGGGCACAGTTTAAGAGGACTTCCCAGAACTAAAGCAACACTTGAAGTGAACCCAGCTAAGAGTAAAGAGCCAGGCATGGTGGTGTATGCCTCTACTCCCAGCTACTTGGGAGGCTGAGGTGGGAGGATTGCTTAAACCCAGGAGTTTGAGACTGTAGTGTGCAATGATCACGCCTGTGAATAGCCACTGCACTCCAGCCTGGGCAACATAATAAGAACCTGGATTTTTTTTTTTGAGATGGAGTCTCACTCTGTCATCCAGGCTGGAGTGCAGTGATCTTGGCTCACTGCAACCTCCGCCTCCCAGGTTCAAGCCATTCTCCTGCCTCAGCCTCCCAAGTAGCTGGGATTACAGGTGCCCACCACCACACCTGGCTAATTTCTGTATTTTTTAGTAGAGATGGGGATTCACCCTGTTGGCCAGGCTGGTCTAGAACTCCTGACCTCAGGTGATCCACCCACCTCAGCCTCCCAAAGTGCTGGGATTACAGGCGTGAGCCGCCTCGCCTGGCCTGAGAACCTATTTCTTTTTTTTTTTTTTTTTTTTTTTTTGAGACGGAGTCTTGCTCTGTCACCCAGGCTAGAGTGCAGTGGCGCGATCTCAGCTCACTGCAAGCTACACCTCCCAGGTTCACGCTGTTCTCCTGCCTCAGTCTCCCGAGTAGCTGGGACTACAGGCGCCCACCACCATGCCCGGCTAATTTTTTGTATTTTTTAGTAGAGACGGGGTTTTACCGTGTTAACCAGGATGGTCTCAATCTCCTGACCTCGTGATCCACCTGCCTCGGCCTCCCAAAGTGCTGGGATTACAGGCGTGAGCCACTGCGCCCGGCCCTGAGAATCTATTTCTTAAAAAAAAATTAAAATTAAAATTAAGTGCCCCTCCCCACCCCGCCCCCTGCCAGGTGGAAAACATAATGGAGGGGCACTTTCCAGGCAGAGAGAACCCCATGTGTGTACAGCCACAGCTTGTAGTACTGGGGACACACTTGGCATCCCCAGGGAACTAGAGTGTGGGAAGAGAGAGAGGAGGACAGGGCTTGCCTGGAGGAGGAGGGATCAGGAAAGATTCCTCCATGTGGCTGCACACACATGGGCTTCTCTGCCTGGAAAGCACCCCTCCCTTCATGGTTTCTACCTGGCATGCAGGCACTTAAATTTTTTTTTTTTTTTTTTTTTTTTTAAGAAACAGGTTCTTGCTATGTTGCCCAGGCTGGAGTACAGTGGCTAATCACAGGTGTGATCATAGTGCATAGCAGCCTCAGACTCCTGGGTTCAAGCAATCCTCCCACCTCAGCCTCCCGAGTAGCTGAGAGTAGAGGCGTGTACTGCTGTGCCTGGCTCTAGACTTTTTCCTGAACTCCTCTCCTGTACTTTATTTGGGTTAGAAGCAGCATGGGGAGACTTCTGCAGCATGGCTCTTTCTGGGGGCTCAAAAGCAGAAGTTCCTGGTGAGCTCACGTGGTCATGGAGGACTTCCTGGAGGAGGTGATATTTTTGCTGGCCTTGTGGGGAAGGAAGAAAACATGTCAGAGGAGAGCTGAATGAGAAAGTACAGGAGCAGAAGCAAGGGCCAGGTCCAGCACGTAAAAAAGGGGAAGACAGAGGTAGGCAGGGAAAGTTTGGATCATATTCTTCAGGCACTGGGGAGCCACTGAAGGTTGTTCGGCTGGGTTAGGGCTGAGTTGGGGTAGAGTCTCCTGGGGTGTGTGTGTGTGTGTGTGTGTGCAGGAGAGGGAACAAGGAGTGAAGTAGGAAATTCCTGGGGGTGAGTAAGCTCTCTTCATATAGAGGTCCTTGGGCCCAGGCTGAGACCCTCGGCTGGCCCAGGGAAGGAATTGCCCGCAATCCCTCGACTCTGCCATTCCCCAGAGCCTTGTGACTTTTGAAACTGCCTTGCCCTGCCCCTCCCTGAGCCTTTCCCAGCCACAGGCGCAGCACTGAGGAACACAGGGACCACTGGGAAAGCAGGTTTCAATTAGCCCAGCAAGGCCGGAGGCTAGCCAGCCAGCCAGCCTTACCTCTGTGACTTCAGGGTAAGGGCTTCCATTCCAGGGTGCGTTTCCTGGTCAGCAAACTAGGCTGCTTGGAAATCTATTATTGCCCAAGAAAAAAAAAATTGAGTGGATTTGTTTTTTCTCTTTTTTCTTTTCTTTTTTTTTTTTGAGACAGAGTCTCACTCTGTCACCCAGGCTGGAGTGCAGTGGCGTGATCTTGGCTCACTGCAACCTCCACCTCCCAGGTTCAAGCGATTCTCCTGCCTCAGCCTTCTGAGTAGCTGGGATTATAGGCACCCACCACCATGCCCGGCTAATTTTTTTGTATTTTTAGTAGAGGTGGGGTTTGGTTTCACCATGTTGACCAGGCTGGTCTCAAACTCCTGAACTCAAGTGATCCACCTGCCTTGACCTCCCAAAGTGCTGCCAAAATATTAGCATTTTGGCCAGGCACAGTGGTTCACATCTACAATCCCAGCACTTTGTGAGGCTGAGGCAGGCAGATCACCTGAGGTCAGGAGTTCAAGACCATCCTGGTCAACATGGTGAAACCCCATCTCTACCAAAAATACAAAAATTACCTGGGCATGGTGACACATGCCTGTAGCTCCAGCTACTCAGGAGGCTGAGGAAGGAGAATCGCTTGAACCCACGAGGCAGAGGCTGCAATGAGCCAAGATCATGCCACTGCACTCCAGCCTGGGCGATGGAGAAAGACTCCATCTCAAAAAAAAAAAAGTTCGAGGCCGAGCGCGGTGCCTCACACCTGTAATCCCAGCACTTTGGGAGGCGGAGGTGGGTGGATCACAAGGTCAGGAGATTGAGACCATCCTGGCTAACATGGTGAAACCCCATCTCTACTAAAAATACAAAAAAAAATATGCCAGGCGTGGTGGTGGGCGCCTGTGGTCCCAGCTACTCGGGAGGCTGAGGCAGGAGAAAGTCGTGAACCCGGGAGGCGGAGCTTGCAGTGAGCCGGGATCGCGCCACTGCATTCCAGCCTGGGCAACAGAGCAAAACTCTGTCTCAAAAAAAAAAAAAAATGGAGTTCGAGACCAGCCTGACCAACATGGAGGAACACCGTCTCTACTAAAAATAAAAAATTAGCTGGGTGTGGTGGCACATGCCTGCAATCCCAGCTACTCGGGAGGCCGAGGCAGGAGAATCGCTTGAACCCGGGAGGTGGAGGTTGCAGTGAGCCAAGATCGCGCCACTGCACTCCAGCCTGGGGGACAGAGTGAGACTCCGTCTCAAAAGAAAAAAAAAAAAAAAAAAAGAGTAAAGACCCATTTTACAAGCGAGAAAGCAAGCAGACATTAACTTGCCCAGAGTTAGTGAGTGACAACCAAGCCAGGAAGGAAAGTAGGAAATGCTCTCAAGGCGCCTCTAGCCTAAATAAGGAGAAAGTGCTGCCAGAAAGTAATGGGAGAAGACAGTATACCACCATGTGTGGCCTAGGACAGTCTGAGAAGACTCTCAGGGGGCTGTGGCAGGATTTGGGGTGGGCCTAGGGGCTACAGTATGAGACTAGGAGGACAACTGTACCCCTCATCTCCTTGGACGCTCTGCTTCAGAAGGAGAGTTTAGTTTTTGTTTGCTTGCTTTTCTCGAGGTAGTCTCTCTCTGTCCCCAGGCTGGAGTGCAGTGGCGCGATTTTGGCTCACTGCAACCTCCACCTCCCAGGTTCAAGCGATTCTTCTGCCTCAGCCTCGTGAGTAGCTGGGATTACAGGCATGCACCACCACACCCAGCTAATTTTTTTTGTATTTTTAGTAGAGACAGGGTTTCACCATGCTGGCAAGGCTGGTCTTGAGCTCCTGACCTCAGATGATCCTCTTGCCTCGACCTCCCAAAGTGCTGGGATTACAGGCATGAACTACTGCACCTGGCCCACTGGCTAGTTTTGGGGATTTTTTTTTTTGTTGTTGTTTTGTTTTGTTTTGAGATGGAGTCTTGCTCTGTTGTCCAGACTGGAGTATAGTGGCACGATCTCAGCTCACTGCAACCTCCACCTCCTGGGTTCAAGCGATTCTCCTGCCTCAGCCTCCTGAGTAGCTGAGACTACAGGCATGCACCGCTATGCCCAGCTAATTTTTGTATTTTTAGTAGGAACAGGGTTTCACCATGTTGGCCAGGCTGGTCTCGAACTCCTGACCTCAAGTGATCCACCCGCCTCAACCTTCCAAAGTTCCAAAGTGCTGGGATTATAGGCGTGAACCACCGCGCACAGCCCACTGGCTAGTTTTTGTGTTTTTTTGTAGAGGAGTCTCACTATGTTGCCTATGCTGGTCTGGAACTCCTGGCCTCAAGCAGTCCTCCCACCTTCGCCTCCTAAAGTGTTGGGATTACAGGCGTGACCCCGGAAGAAGGATGCTGGCTCTGGCATGGGGAATGAAGGCTGGTGCCCTGTCACCCCCGTTCTGCAAACCTCCAGCGCTGCAAACATTGCTTCCCACCAAAGGGCCTCTTCTGCCACTCTTAAAATGAGCCAGGGTGTGTGTTCACTGGCAGCTTTGATAGTTAGAAGCTAGCAGCTGGCCATGGTTCAGTGGATGCTGGGTCTTTCCTGGGAGGGCAGGGGATGGCTTGTAAATGACATTAGCCAGCAGAGTTCCTTGTTCAATGTGAACGTTGTTAAGAGATTCTTGGTCTGAGCACAGTGGCTCATGCCTGTAATCCCAGCCCTTTGGGAGGCTGAGGCAGGTAGATCGCTTGAGCCCAGGAGTTCAAGCAGGTTGGGCAACATGGCAAAGCCCCGTCTCTACAAACAATACAAAAATTAATCTGGTGTGGTGGCACATGGCTGTGGTCCCAGCTACTCGGTGGGCTGATCATTTGAGCCTGGGAGGTTGAGGCTGCAGTGAGCCATGATTGTACCACTGCACTCCAGCCTGGGTGATAGAGCAACACCCTGTCTCAAAAAAAGAAAAAAAGGTCTTGGCTCAAATGGATGCAGTATGTCTGTGTGGCAGACAGAGGGGTTTGTACATGTGTATATTCTGATTTTTTACGTGTGTGTGTGACCGAGTCTTGTTCTGTCACCCCTGTTGGGAGTGCAGTTACACAATCTCTGCTCACTGCAACCTCCACCTCCTGGGTTCAAGCAATTCTCATGCCTCAGCCTCCTGAGTAGGTGGGATTACAGGCACTCACCACCACGCCCGGCTAATTTTTATATTTTTAGTACAGACAAGGTTTCACCCATGTTGGCCAGGCTGGTCTTGAACTCCTGACCTCAAATCATCTGCCTGCCTTGGCCTCCCAAAGTACTGGGATTACAGGCATGAGCCACCGTACCTGGCCTCTTTTAAGTATTTAATGAGCACTGTGTGCAGTGCTAGGTGTCCTGACAGATTCAGAATAACGTTAGAAGCCTCTGGGTAATGGGTAGAAGCTTAGACTTGGAGTTAGAGGGGCCCAGTGCTTATCTAGGCTCCACATCACCAGCCCTCACCCATCACAGTCCCCTTGTCTGTGAACTGGGAACAGCAGTACATCATTGTGGTCCATGCCACGCGTGGCAAGGCATGGTCAGCAGGCAGTGACTGATCAAAAGGTGGAGAGGTGGCCAGGCAAGGTGGCTGACACCTGTAATCCCAGCACTTTGGGAGGCCGAGGCAGGCAGATCACTTGAGGTCAGGAGTTCAAGACCAGCCTGCCCAACATGGTGAAACCCCTTCTCTACTAAAAATACAAAAAAAAAAGAGCCAGGCATGGTGGTATGCACCTGTAGTCCCAGCTACTCAGGAGGCTGAGACATGAGAATCGCTTGAACCCGGGAGGCAGAGGTTGCAGTGAGCCGAGATCGCGCCACTGCACTCCAGCCTGGGCAACAGAGTAAGACACTCTCCCTCAAAAAAAAAGCAGCAGCAGCTCTGGGTTCTTCCCAGGGTGGAGGCTGTGAGCAGGGCGGGTAGACCAATCCATCAGACAGGCTGCCTGCTCCTGGCCAGCTGCTGATTGACCTGAAATCCTCCAGCCAGCAGCAGCCGCCTCTTCCCCCACAGCCATGTTTCCAGCTGGTCTCAGGCCTGGGCTTCTCCCCAAGACCACTCTGGGTCTCGTCCAAACCTGCCAAGAGACTCCTAGTGGCAGAGTCTTGGTTATGTCAGCACCCCCTCAAGGTGCATATATGCACCCCAGCACTTCACCACCTCGGAGGCTATATCAGCAGCCGCTTCCGCTGGGGAGGACAGAGCCAGGATTGGCCCCTCGGAGTCCGAAGCCTGCGGCTTTGATAAGAGACAGGCCTCCCACTGCTCAAGACTGGGGCCGCCTTTTCCCATTTCTGTGCAGCTGCCTGCCTCTCTAGCCACCCACTGGCTGACCACTGGTCCTTCTCAGCCAGCGGGACCAATGGGCTCCCTGGGCTGTGGTCACCATGGTGACCAGAGCTGGGCAGGTAGGAACAGGCATGGGCCTCACTCAATTTCCCTCCTCTCAGGCCATCTTGCCTGCCAGCAGAGCCCAGCTCGTCTTTCCCCAGGAATCTTCATCATCACAGCTGCCTTAGCTCACCCATCTCTGAGCCCCTGTCTCCCTTTTTATCGATTTATTTTTTGAGATAGGGTCTGGCTGTGTCACCTAGGCTGGAGTGCAGTGGTGCAGTCATAGCTCACTGCAGCCTTGAAATCCCAGACTCAAGCGATCCTCCCACCTCAGCCTCCCAAGCGTCTGGGACCACAGGCATGTGCCACCACGCCTGGCTCATTTATTTTTAATTTTTTTAGAGATGGGGTCTCAGTACGTTCTCCAGGCTGGTCTCCAATTCCTGGTCTCAAGCGATCCTCCCACCTTGGCCTCCCAAAGCAATGAGAGTACAGGCGTGAGCCACTGCCTCCAGCCTCAGCACCTCTCTTTTTAGCCCCCTATTTTCTTAGGGACTTGGTGGTTTTCATTTGGTGCCCAAAATAGAGCCTGGGTTCTTGAGCCAGACCCACACTGGAATCCTGGCTCTGTTATTTCCTAAGTGATCTTCGGCAAATCACTGAGCCTTCCAGGTCCAGAGTTTCTGGACCGTTGAGTGTACAGTGAGCAAAATAACCCTGCCTTGGCCAGGCGCGGTGGCTCACGCTTGTAATCCCAGCCCTTTGGGAGACCAAGGTGGGTGGATCACTTGAGGCCAGGAGTTTGAGACCAGCCAGGCCAACGTGGTGAAACCCCATCTTTACCAAAAATACAAAAATTAGCCAGGCATGGTGGTGGGTGCCTCTAATCCCAGCTACTCGAGAGGCCGAGGCAGGATAATTGCTTGAACCAGGAGGCAGAGGTTGCAGTGAGCCAAGATCATGCCAATGCACTCCAGCCTGGGTGACAGAGTGAGGCTCCATCTCAAAAAAAAAAAAATCCTGCCTCCTTGTGGGATGCAGTGTCAGAGTTCACCTCCCTGTGCCGTGCCCCCTCCCCACTCAGGGCCTGGCACTAGGTGGGTTTATGCAGGTGCCTGGTGATGTATGAAGAGCCCCAAATGCAGCCTGGGCTCGAGTCTGCGGCTGGGTGTGGTCACACATAGTGTGTGCCTGTGTCCCACGTTCAGGGCTACTCAGGGACTCTGTCTGTAGGACAGGGTGGAAGGGATGGCTCCAGCGTTTGGATTCTGGGTTTTCATGAGCTAGGTAAGGAGGCTTAGCAGTTGCTGCTGCTGTGGACTCCCCCGCCTGCCAAAGCCATTGCCAGCCCCTGGGACTTCCAGGCTCTCAGGAGGGACATGGGTGACAGTCACTGCCCCCCATGATGCAGCCTCTTCAGGGGCCCTCCTGGAGTTGCCTGTTCTTCCAGAGAAGCCCAATGTGCAGGGCTGGCTGAAGGGGGAAGAGAAACCCCAAAGCCCCACCCAGCCTTTTCCTGGCCTCCCCTCCACCCAGAGCCTTCCTGGGAGGTCTCCAGGAACCCAGTTTGAAAGCCAGTTGCACGCGAGACAATGGGCGTGATGACAGCATCAGACCCACAAAAGGGTTGTAAGAACTAAAGATAAGGGCATTACCCACTACTGATGCCATCGTTTTACGGCTGAGGAAACTGAGGCTTGGCGCAGATCAACCACTTGCCCACATGGCTCCTACTCTGCTAAGCTGCTGGGGATGTCCTGTGTCATCTGAGGGCCTTCCCTGCCCAGTCCTCCCAGGAAGCAGCCTTTGATTCAAATCCCATTCTGTTGAAGGCCGAGCGCAGTGGCTCACGCCTGTAATCCTAGCGCTTTGGGAGGCCAAGGCAGGAGGACCCCTTGAGATCAGGAGTTCGAGACCAGCCAGACCAACATGGGAAAATGCCATCTCTACTAAAAATACAAAAATTAGCTGGGTGTGATGGTGCATACCTGTAATCTCCACTACTCAAGAATCACTTGAACCCAGGAGGTGGAGGTTGCAATGAGCCGAGATTGCACCACTGCACTCCAGCCTGGGCGACAGAGCAAGACTCTCTCAAAAAACAATCCCATCCAGCCAGGTGCGGTGGCTCACGCCTCTAATCCCAGCACTTTGGGAGGCTGACGCAGGCGGATCACGAGGTCAAGAGATTGAGACCATCCTGGCCAACATGGTGAAACCCCGTCTCTATTAAAAATACAAAAATTAGCCAGGCATGGTGGCACGTGCCTGTAATCCCAGCTACTTGGGAGGCCGAGGCAGGAGAATCACTTGAACCAGGAAGTCAGAGGTTGCAGTGAGCCGAGATCGCACCACTCCAGGCACTCCAGCCTGGTGACAGAGCAAGACTGTCTCAAAAAAAAAAAAAAAAAAAAAATCCTGTTGGAAAGTGAGGCAAGGCACAGGGTAGAGCTGGCCCCAGAGCCTCACTCTCCACCTCTCTGGCCTACCTTGCCCTGCCCTTGGGACAGCTGGAACCTCAGCAGTCACAGGGCTGCCTTCTGTGTCTCCCTCCAGAGCTGCCCTCCTCGGAGCACCTGAGTGTGGCGGATGCCACCTGGCTGGCCCTGAACGTGGTGTCCGGCGGTGGCAGCTTCTCCAGCTCCCAGCCTATTGGCATGACCAAGATCGCCAAGTCAGTCATCGCCCCACTGGCTGACCAGAACATATCCGTGTTCATGCTGTCCACGTATCAGACAGACTTCATCCTGGTGAGCTGACCATCACAGACACGCCTTGCACACTTGGGCCCGCCTCTGACACACTCACTCCCATCTCCCACCCCTTGCAGCCTTGCCCTTCCACGCTATTCCAGGGTGGGGGCAGAGTCTCAGGGTGAGAGGTTGGTGCCCCAGGGCCACCAGGCACACACAGCCTCAACTTCTTGCCCCTAGGTGCTCAAGCGGGACCTGCCCTTTGTCACCCACACGTTGTCATCAGAGTTCACCATCCTGTGGTCAGTGGCTAGACTGTAGCAGCCGAGAACCTCGGCATCACCAGTGGCTTCGTGAAGCCCAAGCTGGGTGAGCTGGGGGCGGGGGTTTGTGCGGGGAAACCTCACGAAGTTACCAGGCCAAGCCGTAGACCAGCCTTGCTCTCAGCACGGGCTTCTGCCCACTGAGCATGAATGGAGTGCCAGGCAGAACGGGATGCAAAGGGCAAGGTGTGGTGGCTCATGCTTGTAAACCCAGCACTTTGGGAGGCCGAGGCAGGCAATTCACCTGAGGTCAGGAGTTTGAGACAAGCCTGACCAACATGGAGAAACCTGGTCTCTACTAAAAATACAAAATTAGCTGGGTGTGGTGGTGCATATTTGTAATTCCAGCTACTGAGGAGGCTGAGGCAGGAGAATCACTTGAACCCAGGAGGCGGAGGTTGCGGTGAGCCGAGATTGTGCCATTGCACTCCAGTCTGGGCAACAAGAACAAAACTCCATCTCAAAAAAAAAAAAATGTGATGGAAAGGTCCTGGGCAGGCCCTGCTGCCATGTCTAGCAAGGGTGGTGGACGTGCATGCATACAGCAATGGCCAGAGGCCACTCCTGCTGCAATCCCAGGTGTCAGGGTGGGTTTCCCTGGGCAGGGACTGTGGTGCTGAAGCCTGGAACACAGGTAGGAACGGGGCCAGGTGGTGCCAGTTGGGAAGGGCATCCCAGGCAGCCAGCACAGCATGTGCAAAGGCCCAGGGGCCTGAGAGTGAGATGGAGAATCAGGACGGTGGTAATTGGTGGTAGAGGCTGGAGAAGCAGCAGTGAATGAGTCTCTCAGGGCCTGCGGCTGAGCCCTCCCCAGCCCTCTTCCCAGGCCCTGCACTCACCAGAGCTGCTGCTTTCAGTCCCAGCCTCAGTGCCTGACATCTTTGTGCTCTTACAGTCCAGATGCCGGTCATCCACCCACTGTCCAGCCCGAGCAACAGGTTCTGTGTCACCAGCCTGGACCCCGACACGCTGCCTGCTGTTGCCACACTCCTCATGGATGTCATGTCCTACTTCAATGGGTAGGGCTGCCTTGGGCATGAGGGGTCGCCGGCTGGACCAGGGGGAGGCACGGCTCTGCCTAGGAGTCTTAGTCTGACGGGGGAGGCTTTGCCAGGAGCTCATCTGAGGGAAGAGACACAGACCTTCCCTGGAGCTAGTCTGAGCGGGGAGACATGGACCCACCCCGGAACTAATCTGAGTGGGAAGGCAAGGACCCGTTCCAGAGCTAGTCTGAGCGGGGAGACAAAGACCCGCCCCAGAACTAGTCTGAGGTGGGAGACATGGACCTGCCCTGGAGCTAGTCTGAGGTGGGAGACACAGACCCGCCCCGGAGCTAGTCTGATGGGGGAGACACGGACCCGCCCCAGAGCTAGTTTAAATGGGGAGACACAGACCTGCCCTGGAGCTAGTCTGAGGTGGGAGACATGGACCTGCCCCAGAGATAGTCTGAAGGGGGAGACACGGACCAGCCCCAAAGCTGGTCTGAGGTGGGAGACAGGGACCCACCCTGGAACTAGTTTGGGGTGGGAGACACGGACCCGCCCTGGAACTAGGCTGAGGGGGAGACACAGCTCTACCAAGCAGAAAGGTTGGCTCTGGATGGAACATTTTGTGGGGAGTCCCCCATGTCTGTGAAGGCCTCTGCCTTCCCCGAGAGGAGGCGGGGGAAGTGATTGAGGGAAGATTTCAGGTGAGTCCCCCTACTCTCCACACCCTGCCTAACGCCAGCTGTGGAAGGAGGGCATCAGGACCCCAGCCCAGGCCACAGCAGGGAGCCCAGCAGAGGGAAGCCAGGTCAAACCACAGGGACTTCTCTCAGGCCAAAGCCCCAGGAACCCTTGCTGTTGTCCTAGAACATGGTGGGATTGGAGCAGAGACCATCCCACTGGGATCCCCCAGCCCTATCTAGGCAGCCACAGGTGTCCCTCAGGAAGCTCCCCCAACACCCCTGCCACTCTGAGAAGCCAGGACAGATCTCTAAGATTGGGACACTGCCCTCTCCCTGGGCCAACCCCAGCCCTGCAATGAGGCCCCAACCCACTCTGGTTCTCACCTGGCTTCTGCCTCCCAGGGGTGGAGACTGCCTCCCCACTCTCTTCACCCCCAAAGAAGAAGCACAGCCGAGGCCGACATCAGAGAAACTGTGTTGCTGACTTAGTTGCAGCAGGAAATGACTGAAATGGGGTAACTGTCACTCACACACTCACACCTGTGCCCACACACGCACACACAGAGACCACATCCGCAGCAGGTGGGCCTGGCCAGACACCTATGGGACACTTATTGGAGGCCCAAGAATTAAAGTAAGGGGGTGACACCCAGGAGGCCTGGGAGGGGGAAAGCCCAGTGGCCTCATGGTCTCTCTCATCGAACTCCTAAGGGTCCTTCCATGGCCCTGGGCCCCCGAGGGTCAGGGAAAAGAGTGAGGCCGGGACCAGTGTGAGGAGGCCTCTCCCCTGCCTGAGCGTAGAGTCCATTCTCAACAGAGACAAAGCTGCCACGTGCAGGGATGGGTGTGGAGGCCCAGGCGGCAGGGCCCTGGGGCCGGTGTGCAGCGTGGGTGGGGAGTGACGCCCACCAGGACGGCCCCCCATGGGGGTGAGCTGTGTCCAAAGTAGCTGGGCGGCAGCTGGTGTTGATAGTGGCATAAGGGACGTGAAGAGCAGCCTGGGAGGCCTGGCTTGGTGCCTGCGCGGGGGAAGGAGGGTCAAGTGAGTCTGCACAGCTTGGGCCCAGCCCTGGCCCCCCTGCCCCTGCCCCTGTCACCTCATCCCCAAAGCAGGTCCCCTCCTCACCCATGCTCGTGCTCTCGGTGCCTGGGGGCTGGTGCGGGACGGCTGGAGCCTAGGGGCAGGGCTGGGAGAGAGCAAGGATGGTCAGAGCTCTGCAGGGCATGTGGCCATCCCAGTGTCAGGGGGACGTGGACAGGGACCAGGTCTCACCGGTGCTTATGTCGGCGCAGCAGATGAAGGAGGTAGACACAGCCAAAGAGGAGGACTCCTGAGACCCCCAAGATCCCGGCCAGGTCTGCCCGCAGAATGGGGGCAGGAGTCGGCGGGGCAGAGAGCCCTGGGCACGGAGACAAGAATCAGATGGGTGGCCAGTTCCCGAGCCCCTCCCTGCCCTCCTGGACCCCTCGCCCCGGCCCCACCTGGGTCTGAGCTGGGCGGGAGGCTCCCACAGGCCTCCCAGGAGCCCTCAGGGAAGGACGCAAACTTGCAGCAGAAGGTGGTGTTGGCGCAGGGGCTGCTGGCCCCAGAGCCTTCCAGGATGAGAGAGATGCTGCTCTGGGTTTCCCAGCGGGCCTGGCGAGCAGGGGCCCATTGCCGGATGCCACGTTCTGGGTGCAACACAGCCAGCGTGGTCCCCCCAGCACCGTTGGGGCCCCCCCAGCTCACAGTCACCAGGGAGATGGAGCCAGACCCCAGGAACCCACAACGGATGGTGAAGGACGAGAGCTCGGTGGCCTCCATCCGAACTTGAACCCACACCTCCGGGGTCCCTGTGGAACAGCAGCAAGGTCGGTGGGCTGTTGTCCTACATCACCCTCCCTGCAGCCCCTGCCCCTCTCTGGTGCCGGCACTCACCCGCAGTGACACACAAGGTCAGCAGCACCCAGGGCAGGACCAGGGTCCGGTGCCCCATGGCCCCCTCCAGTCCAGGTTCTGGGGGCTGCAGGGCCGGCACCTGTGCCTCTGTTCTCATCGCAGGAAGTCTTCATGTTGTCAGCAGCCAAACAGCCACTTCCTTCTCTCCTCTCACACCTTCCCCAGAGGTGGTGAGCACAAAGTGGCTGATTCCCTTCTTAAAGTGACAGTGAGGGCCTGCTCAGTCCCCAAGGCTGTGCTTCCAGGTAACAAGGCAGGGCGGCACAGGTGGGTGAGAACCCAGCCCTGGCTAGGCCTGGGGAGGCCAGGGGAGGGGCAGAGAAGCTGTCAGGGGCTAGAAGGACTCCCCTTCCCTGGACAGCAAGGGGTGCCGGGCTTCCCTAAGAAAGGGCTCTGTCCCGCCCCTCACCCAGCTAAGGAATCGGAGGAGAAAGCCCCTGGGAGTGGGAAGCCAGCAGGGAGGACCTGAGAGCCAGCCCAGCATGCATGACCCACTACCAATCTGATGTGGGTCCCACGCTTACACCTGCAATGCAGGCCTCCCCCACAACCCCCAGCCTGGCTCGCCCACTACCCACTCATACCTCCTGATCTACCCTGAACGCACCCCATACTGGGCTCTGCCCCAGGCGCTGTCTCCTCGTCATAGGTGATGGCAACTGGCTTCTGGCTGCTCGGGCCCAAAGCACAGCCACCAGTGCCTCTTCCCTTTCACTTCCAACGCACCAAGATTGTGTCAGCAAACAGCAGTCCTCTGCCCTAGCAGTGCAGAAGCCAGGAGTTGAACCCATGTCTCTCACCAGGTTAAGCTGCCTCGCTAAGTTTGGATGTGACCTCAGAAACAGAGGCTACTCCAGCAATACAAGATACTTTATTTTTCGGCTTCTACCTATGCCACCCAATCCCTTCACTGGGCCTAACTTAGTGAATCAAATTAAGTATATTTCCCTCCAAGTTGCCCCAGGATTCTGGGCTCCTTTGCACACTACAGGTTTTCTCTAAACGCCCTGGGTTTATCTATCCTTTGGTGAATTTTCAACTCTTCTTATTTCTCTGCCCTGTCCTGACCAAAAATCTTCAGTGCCTGTTTCTCTCTGCCATCCAAATCCCACACACATCTAGGGGTGAATCGGTGAATCTGCGCTGATGAGTGACACGTTTTGTGAATCCTTTCTAGGATCTCAGTATTTCATCCTATCCCGAGGGAAGGCTCTAAAGAGCTCAAGGAAGACCTCACGATGTCTATGTGTGAGAAGAAACCTTTCACCCCTTCACTATCACACCCCATCATCCAAGCACACACTCCTCTTTCATCCCATAAACCCCAGTCAGTGTCACCTGGAGTTATAAGGATGCGGTGACTTACCTAGTAACGGAAGACTCTCAGTAATCTGAAAAAGAAAAATCCCTTCACTTTATAACTGAGGAGATAACACCAACAAGTCACTTCCAGCAGAGCTCATGGCCACAGTGCAAGTTAAAAAAGGTAAAGCCTTATTGAAAATAATCTTAAAACAATTATTCAATATTAACAGACAATGCCCAGCAGTGCCATGTGGGAGGCAAGCCACCCAGCTGCCAAGGCAAGAGACCGAGGGCACAAGCTGTTCCAGTATAATAAAGAAAATACATAGAATAAGAATAGTTATACTAGAAATAGATTATAGCTATGATTATATATATTACTAATCATTAGTTTATAGCATAACTCTTTATTCCAATATTATAATAATCTTTGTTCTACAATTATAACCTAGGAAAAACCAGGCCATACAGAGATAGGAGCTGAAGGGACATGCTGAGAAGTGACCAGAAGGCAGGAGTGTGAACCCTCTGTCATGCCCGGACAGGGCCACTAGAGGGCTCCCTGGTCTAGTGGTAATGCCAGTGCCTGGGAAGGCACCCGTTACTTAGCAGACCTTGGTCTAGCAGTGGTGCCAGTGCCTGGGAAGATAACTGTTACTTAGCAGACCGGGAAAGGGAGACTCCCTTTCCCTGGGGGAGTTAGAGAAGACGCTGCTCCACCACCTCTTGTGGAAGGCCTGACATCAGTCAGGCCCGCCCACAGCCATCCGGAGGCCTAACCGTCTCCCTGTGATGCTGTGCTTCAGCAGTCACCCTCCTGTTTCACTTTCATGTTCCGCTCTGTACACCTGGCTCCACCTTCTAGATGGCAGTAGCAGAATTAGTGAAAGTATTAGTCTTTGATCTTTCTGAGAAGAGCATAGAAGAAGTAATGATGTAAGCTGTCCTCTCTCTCTCCGCCTCGGCTACCTAAAAGGTAAAGACCCCTGTCTGGTGGACACGTGACTCATGTGACCTTATCTATCGATAGAGATGACTCGCACTCCTTACCCTGCCCCCTTTGCCTTGAATACCATAAATAGCAGCGCGGTCAGGCATTCAGGGCCACTACTGGTCTCCGCGTCTAGGTGGTAGTGGTCCCCCGGGCCCAGCTGTCTTTTCTTCTATCTCTTTGTCTTGTGTCTTCATTTCTACCATCTCTCATCTCCGCACAGGAGGAGAAAAACCCACAGACCTAGTAGGGCTGGACATCTACAGTGCCACCCCTGAAAAGCACTGCTCTGCATCACTTACCAGGCTGGGCAAAGGCCTCCATGCCTGCTACCTAAGCTGGCCTCAGCTCGTCCAGCCTGGCCTGGGCCTGGCCAGTGGGAGGTGCTGCTGAGAAGCCAGAGCCCTGGGCTGTCCTGGACGGCCAGCAGGGGGCTTGCTGGCATGAACCCTTCACAGCTGAGCCTGTCAGGGTGAGGGCGTGCACAAAAAAGTATCCACAGATGTTGTGCAGTAGAAATAAAGAAACATTCTAACCTTTTAAGACAAAAAGACAGTATCGCTTCTTGGCCTTTTGGCCAAGATCAAGTGTAGATAAAAACATTGTAAGTCATGATTCCCTTGGAATACGATCAGTATTGTGAGGGAAGAGAGGCAAACCCCCAGCCCATCACCACACACTGCAGCTCACACACTTCAGGTTTTGTGCTCCCAGACAATGCCTGTCCTCATGAGAGCACTGTTGTCTGTGCCGGGAAATCATCCTCTGACCTGTTCACAAGTCTTCTAGATGAAGATTTTCAGCGGGTTTGGATCTATTTAAAAAGCGGTAACTGCAAAGAGGCACCTAATCCACTTGATTTGCCTGTTTTTGAGAGGTACTCCTGGCAGTTATGAAGGTCATTAAAAGTATCAGAATAAATTGAACTTTTTTTTTTTTTTGAAACGGAGTCTTGCTGGGTCGGCTCACTGCAACCTCCATCTCCCAAATTCAAGCGATTCTCCTGTCTCAGCCTCCCGAGTAGCTGGGACTACAGGCTCATGCCACCACACCCAGCTAATTTTGTTGTATTTTTAGTAGAGACGGGGTTTCACCATGTTGGCCAGGATGGTCTCAATCTCTTGACCTCGTGATCTGCCCGCCTTGGCCTCCCAAAGTGCTGGGATTACAGGCCTGAGCCACCGCACCCAGCCCTAAACTGAACTTTCAACTGAACTTCAGAAAATGTTGAACCATGATTTTAAAAAATGTTTCTCACTTTGCTCTAAGCCCTTTTTTAAGAGCAAAAAGGCATTTTGCAGTGTTAACCAATGAAATATTTTAAAACACTTATTTCGTCAACTCATGTTACATTTTAAATGTGTATAATATAGAAGAATTAGTATATGTTTATATAACTTACAATTTTTTAAAAAACTGATACAAATGTCCAAAAGTTGGGAGTCTTATGACTCTTAAGGCCCTGTTCCGGTTGCTATGGCTACATAACAAACCCCTCCAGACTGAGTGCTTTACATCTTACTATGCTCATGGGCTCCACGATCAGGAATTTGGAAAGTGCACAGAAAAGATGGGCTGTCTCTGCTCCCTGATCCCTGGACCTCAGCTGGGAAAACTGAAAAACAGGGAAGGTTGGAATCATCTGACTCCCATCTGGACTGAATCTGGCAGCCAACATGGATGTTGGCTGGGACCTCGGTGAGGACTGCTGGCAGGAACACCTACACGTGGCCTTTTCCTTTGGCTGCTGGCCTTGCTCACAGAATGGTGACCGGGTTCCAAGTGTGAACCCAGGTACAGGAAGAGACAGGAAACGGAAACTGCCAGTTTCCTTAAAATCTGGGCCCACTAACTAGCATGGCATCATTTCTATCATCTTCTATTAGTCAAGCATCACAAAGCCCATATTCAAGAGGAGACAACCTAGACCCAGCCTCTCAATAAACAGTGTCAAAGGCTTTAGAGAGCATGGTGTCAAGCTCCCAGATTCTAAGGCTGTGACTCAACCCAGTGCACTGGGCTGCCTGGCTGTACACAGGTGTCCATATTGATGCAAAGCCCCCAAGCTGCTCTTATCCTCTTGTGAAGCACCCTTAGCTTGGTTAGTATTTAAATAATTCAGGAATCTTTCCCCTCCTGGATTTTGAGAGACCTCCACATCTTCTCCTCAGTTCTCCCACTCTGTTCCCTCATCCCACAAAACAGGCTCCTTTCCCCAGAACTATTCTACCTGAATACAGGCGAAAGATCGCTCAATGAGTTAGCCTTCCCCCACACCCCAGCTCTGACTCCCCGAGGGCTACCTTTCCAAAAGGAGACTCAACCCAATTTCTTATAGCTTTCATCTGGGAGGGGCAGGTGGGGGCGGGGAGGGAGAATGAAAGGGGCGAGGTGGTCTTGGATGAGTGACCTGATTGCAGGGAGTCACGGCTTTTTCTGCACACATCACTAGCTGGATGGCTGTGTCTGACCTAGGAGACCACAGTGAGAACCTGTCACTAAAGCAGGTGCCCATGATGGGAAGAACTGGAAATTTTATCTAAAGAGAGAGGCTGAAGCATTCCTTAAACCACAGAAGAAAACAGTGAAAGTACAAAATGACAACAGCCGTCTTCAAATACTGCTTGTCAGAGGGACAAGAGAGAACAGAGGTGCTGTGCTGCTCCACAAGGCAAAACAAGAGCAAACAAGTCTGTCTGAGTTTCAAGAGGCTGGCCCTGAGGCTGCACTGTGGCAGTCTAGGTGAGAGACGATGGTGACAATGTGTGGAGGACATAGGCCAGAGAATTTTCTTCACCAAGTCTTGACAGAATTTGGTGAAGAACTAGCTGGAGAAGGCAAGAGTGAAGGTGACATTGTCACTTGGATTTTAGGGTTGGACATTTAGAGTAACTCCTTAGTTTCCTTTTAACTCTCAGATACTGTGATTTGATCAAATTCCAAATTATGACAGGTATCTTTGGGATGAGGATAAAATTTCCTTTGGAAAGAACCCGTGGGTGAAGGCTGCCAGGACACATGGCCTGGCCTGGCTCACATGGGTGAGACAGGTAGCTTCACAAGGTCCTGCTCCACTCTGCCACCTGTCAGCACAACTTTTACTACTGCAGAGGCTGTGGCCACTAGATAAACTACTCACAGGCAGTCAAACTCTCCCCATCTCTACTGCCTCACCCCACCTCTCAGTTACTAAGCAATACTTCCTGGAGAGCCTGTAGACAAAGCACCTGCAGGGTGTGGGGACATCTATATGCTGGGCCATGGGACAAGGCGGACCAAGAACCTGACCTCCATCAGTTTAACGATCTCAAGCCACACCTTGGGAACGTGTGGATTCAAACATGTTTATTGAGCGAATCATTAGGACACAAAATAGGCTGAGAAAGATGTTCCAAAAATCCAGGAGACTATGGGCTATTTCCATTAAACACAGAGGTGCTGCCCTTCTCCACTCCAAACAGAACAGGAAAAAGGCAAGGGGACTGGGCCACAGTGCATTAGGGAGGACAGGGTCTCTCGGCTTCTCTACCCCAGAGGGAAAGGTTAGGTTAGAAAAACAATGCCCAACTCTTTCCCCTCAGAGCCCAGGGCTGAAGCCTGGGGGAATGCTTCATTTTGCTCCTTTTCTCTTTGCCTTTTCCAAATGGTCACATTCTTGAGGTAGGGAGTGGAGCTGGGGAGGGGCCCAGAGTCCTGTCAGAAATCCTATAATGAGAAAGATGAAAGGAATACACAGGACACAGCAACGGGCCAATGGGCAGACCATCCTCCCCTGGGTTACCCTCAAAGCCCCAGAGACAGCCCAGAGGGCCACCCCCAGGCTATGGCCTGTCAATTTGATGAGTGCACGGGTTGCCTGCCAGCATTTCCGAAGGATACATAACTCCTGCTCTGGGGACACTCACCTCAATATCCAGCTCTGTAGAATCTAAGAGGTCCAGCCCGCGCTCACTGGTGGAAGAGTAGCTACTTGCTTGCTAGAGAGAATGAGGTTAAAAGTCAAAAAGGCCTTTACACACTCCTGTCACTTCGCAAATAAAAAAACCAGTTCCTTTCCCAGCCTCATAAGAACAAATATGGGCACAGCAGGCCCCTATGGCACCTCCTGGGAGGGAAGTCAGTGTGGGCACCAGGATCAGGCCTGACTGCAGAGCGCTTCTTGGCCTGCTGACTGAGCCCCTTAAATGACTTTGTTTTGGAAACCAGAAAACGGATTTTTTCTGAGATGTTAGGAAATAATATTTTAACAGAGGCCTTGCTCTCTAGTCTCTGGTTTGAAGGTATCATTGTTTGGTTTCTCCTTCTGAGCACAAGACTCCCCTGTTCTGTTCTATTCTGTTCTTTTTCCTTCCCTGCAGAGAAGAGAACAGAAGAATAACAGCAGAAGATACGCAGCCTGTAATGGACTGAATATCTGTGTCCCCCTAAACCCACATATTGAAATCCTTCCCCCAGTGTGATGCTGTTTGGAAGTGGGGCCTTTGGGAGGTGATTGGGTCATAGGGGTGCAGCCCTCATGGATGGATGAATGCCCTTCTAAGCCCAGGCCAGAGGGCTAGCTTGCTGTTTCTCCTCCAGGTGAGGATACAACTAGAAGCCAGCAGTCTACAGGCTGGAAGAAGGCCCTCACCAGAACCCAACCCTTGGACTTCAGCCTCCAGAACTGTGAGAAATACATACCTGCTGTTTGTAAGACACCAGTCTATGGAATTCTGTTACAGTAGCCTGAACTCAGACATAGCCCTTTTCCATTTATAAGGTGGTTTTACCTTATATTTTATGTAAAAGGTCCATTTTATTTATTTTTGAATTGTTGATTTTTTTTTAAGAGACACGTGTTTACTATGTTACCCAGGCTGGACTCCAACTCCTGGACTATTGATCCTCCTGTCTCCACCTCCCGAGTTGCTGGAACTACAGGCTAACAGCTCTGTTTTAAAGATGAGAAAATGGGCCCCACGCAGTGGCTCACACCTGTAATCCCAGCACTTAGGGAGGCTGAGCCAGGTGGAGCCACTTGAGGTCAGGTGTTCGAGATTAGCCTGGCCAACATGGCAAAACCCCGTCTCTACTAAAAATACAAAAAAAATTAGCCGGGCATGATGGCGCGTGCCTGTAATCCCAGCTACTTGGGAGTCTGAGGCAGGAGAATTGCTTGAGCCCAGGAGGCAGAGGTTGCAGTGAGCCGAGACTATGCCACTGCACTCCAGCCTAGGTGACAAAGAGAGACTCTACCTCAAAAAATAAAAATAATTAAAAAATAAAGATGAGAAAATGGAGGCTGAGGAGGGGTAAAAGCGCTAACTTGACATGGAGTTGAGGACTAGCACTCATGTCACCTCACTCCAAATGCCAGGCTTTTCCCACTACACCAGCAGCAGTTCCTCCTGGGGAAACAGGCTAGGTTAGAAAGGGAGTGAGGGAAGGGACAGGGAGGGGAAGCCCTCTAGTAGGGAGATGGAGGATAGGGGGTCATGTTTTGTGGGGAGAGACACTGAAGGGGCTGCCACTTGGACTGAATGACCTCCCACCTCCAGCATTAGGACTCCTTCCAATTCCTAGGGGGTTCGGAGGCAACAATATTTATTTAGGGATTGGGAGCGAGAGTGCTATTCCAACCTTCTTTGGTATTTGTAATTTCTTTTCCTTATTCTTTAATAAAAGTAGAGTCCAAGCAAAGTCCAAACCAACATATAACCTGTCCTCCTTTACTCTAGATTCATTCAGCTTTTCCAGACCAGGCATCACCGAGCGGAGAGAGGGGAAACACCCTGGCTTCTCTTTGGCACATCAGCCCCTAGTTCTTGAGAGAGAAGGGCAGGGTGGTCTACTCACCATGTCTGTATCCTGCCGTTCTTCATTTGACTCATCCTGGATTTCTAACTCTTCTTCCTCGTCCTCTTCCATAAGGCTGAGTCTGATGTAGGGGCAAAGAGACTGGCTTTTCAAACTGTTCTTTGAGGACCCCTGAGAGTTTCTCAGACACCCGGGGTGGGGGAAGTGGGGAGCAGTAAGTACAGCATAGTAGTTTCCCGATTGTGCTGACAGGAAGTGCTCTGTGGCTAAAACAAGTCCAAAAAGCACCCACAGAGAGGCAATGGGTGAGACAGGAATCCCCTCACAGTGGGCGACAGATCTGAAGTGAAGACAGGAGATGATGAGAAAAGCTCACCGCATCAGCTGGTTGCCCAGGCCAGGACCTGAAGGGTTGTGTGGAGTCTGGAAATATTGTGGACCCAAGAACCTTGACCTCTCGGTGCCTGCGACGGGCTGACTGCTGGGAATGAAGCAGGATCAATGATGGGATAAAAATCAAGGGTAAGAAGAGGATGTAAGGCAGCTGGTGTTAATGGGGAGAAAAGCTCAGAGAGATGCATTTTAAAGCTAAACAATGGAGAAGGGTTTGAGAAGAACCCAACAATGTGGGAGTGCTACAGCAGGGAACCATGAAACAGAAACAGCAAGATGGAGGCAGCCAGACACCAAACTGGGAACTCAGACACCCAGATTCCCTCCATGGCCTCACCCCTGGGCAAAATCCAACTCTGAGCCATCTTCTTCCTCCATCTCTTTCAACCCCCACAGGGGCTGCCTGCTCTTCACAGCTGTGGAGGTGAGGGTGGGCGTGGGCGGGATGCTGTTCAGCTGCAGACTTTCTTCCTGGGACGAGGAGACGTCCTCTCTGTTAGGCTTGGCAGGCCCTGCCAAGCAGATGCATACATTAACCACAGCCCAGGGCCTGCGACAGGTGTGCTCTCTTTCCAAGACCTGCCCAGGATTTAGTAAGGGAAAGTCAATCAGGAAGAGAATGGAAAACTTATACAGCTTCATTCTGTTGCCCTCAAATGGGCATAGCCCTATGTACTAAATACATAGCCCTATGTACCAAAAAGTAAGGCTTAGAGAATTGTAGCTAGGCCTTGTCCAAGAAGAACTTGCTACACAGCCTAGAAAACAAGATGGAAAGATATATAAATATACATTTCACAGATAAACTGTAACAGGTGAACAGGTGAACACAAACATGAGGGAGGGTTGGAGTCTCTAAGATTGAGAGGTCTGAGTTAGCCAATGAAGACATCTGAGATCCTATCCAAGATTTCTGTGGTCAGAAAAAGCTGTAAATGGCAATAGAGTTTTGGTACCAGAGGCTAGAGTGGACAAATGAGGGCCAGGGAGGAACCGGAAAATGGGAGACAGGATTTTCTAAAAGCTAGAAAAAAATGAAGTGATTGCAATGCCAGTATAACTGATATGATATGAAGGGGGACTTATCTCCTGCAGAGATTGGAGAAGGTAGAGGAGGAGAAAGAATCCAAAGATTCTCACTGCCTGAGAAAACCCAGGCAATACTATTTTAAAGCATCAGTCAAATTGACATTAACATCTGTTAACTGTAAACAGTCACACTCCCATTACCCCCCTTCTCCACTAAAAACAATAATCCCAAAGTGAGCGCTCAGCCTATGGGTTTAAGCAGAGGGCTACAGAAAACAGGGAAGAGACATACCCCTGGGCTTGGATTCCCAGAGAGGAAACCTTGGGGCCCCAGATGTGTCCTCCTGATCTCCCTGAGCTATTAATGGTGTGATGCCCGAGGGCTGGGCCCTTGAGTCTCTCCTCTTCTCCATCTTCACTGGCTTCCCCAGCCACTCACGTTCATGTCCTTAAATATCACCTATACTCTGCCACATCCCAAAGGGATCTCAAGCCTTCAGCTCTCCCCTGAACTCCATCTTAACAGCCCCCATGGTTTGTTCAACATCTCCACCTGTAATCCTGTGGCCAACACCAATGCCCCAACCTTCCCCCACAGCTATCTTCACTCTCTGCCTTCCCCATCTCAGATACTGTCAACTCCATCCTTCTGTCAGGCCAAAATCCTTGGAGCCATCCTCAACTGCTCTTTTTGTCTTACATCCCACATCCAGTTTGTCAGAAAAGCCTATTAGAGATACCTTGAAAATGCACCCAGAATCTGGCCGTTTCTCGGCACCTCCACCATTGCCCCCGGCCTAAGAAGCTCTCTTATCTTGCATCTTGGGCTGGACTCCTACAACAGCCACAACCTCCCTGCTGGTCTCCCAGCTTCTAGCCTTCCCCCATCTCCTGTCGTTTTCGACACAGCAGCCAGAAGGATCCTTTAAAAACAGAGGTTGATCCTGTCGTTCCTCAAAATCCTCCAATGGTTTTCCTACTGCACTCAGAGTAAAAGCCAGTCTCTGCCTTAGATGCTCTGGGATCCTGTACCCTCTTTGGTCTCATGTCCTACAATCTGCATTCTGGCCATAATGGTCTTCTCTGCTGTTCCTTGAACATTCCAGGAACATTCCCCCCATCCCCTCGTGGCCTCAGGACTGGCTGCTTCCTTTGGTATGCTATTCTGATACACACTAAGCACCCTCCCTCACCTGTTATAAAAAATTCGCTGGGAGGCCAATAGGCTGAAATGGCTCCTGCACTTTGGGTTCCTAAGTCAGCAAACTGAAACTCAACTCAGAGTGAAAGTGTTGTGTGTAACCTAGGAGCAGGAAACTTCAGCTTAACCAGTCAGAAACTACCGACTAACCTCTAACAAGAGATTTATGGTCAGTTAACCTCTAAATATGAACTTTCCACTCTAACCAATCAAATAGTTTCTTTGTCTTGCTCCCAGAGACACCTTGTAAGTGTCCCCTCTGGTTTCCTCGGTGGTGGCGCCCTGAACTGCTGGCGGTCTGCCACTGCCTGATTGATAAAATTGCTGAATGCTCAAATAAACCTGTTAAAATTGTAATGTGCCTAAGTGTATCTTTTAACTTATTTTTTAGGCTTTTTGCCCAACATTTGTGTTGAGTCTTCCCTTGATCAGTCTTTGTAAGACTGCAATCCCCACCCCGCCAGCATTCCTCACAATCCTCCCTGCTTTTTTGCCATAGTATTTACTACTATCTGACACTCTCTAAAGAAAGAGATGTTTAGCTTTTTTGTTCACTGCTGTATTCCCAGCACACGGTGCTCAGTATCTATTGAATGAATAAAAACAAACTCTTCAGTTTTATCTTGCCTTCACAAACCCTACGCTTTAGGCAGAGCGATCTATGTACCTCCATGCTTCGCCCAGCACACAGCCTTCTATGCTTTGCTTGTGCTATTCTGCCAGCCCATGATGCTCCTCCTTCCTCTGTTCAGCTTATAAAAATCTTACTTATTTTTTAAGCTCCAGCAATTCCATCTTCTTGGTAAAGCTCTCATCATTCTCTGAATTCTACAGCATTCACTTGTACAAGCCCTCAGGCAGTTATTGGCAATTGTTCATAATTCGAGTTTTCCATAATTAAAATTTCTCCCTTTCCTATTAGATAATAAGCTGCTGGATTCTTCATGGCCCCTAAAACACTGAACATAGTATCTTTCATATAGTAGGTCCCTAACAACTATGTATTAGTTAATTAATTAAAGCAGAGTTTCCTGGTGGTATAAGACATAATTTTAGGTGGTACACAGAAGACAACAAAAGGAAATCACACCTCATCTCACACTATATACAAAAATTAACTCAAACTGGATCACAAATCTAAATTAAGAGCTAAAACTATAACTTTTTTTTTTTTTCTGAGACAGTATCTCGCTCTTTCGCCCAGGTTGGAGTGCAGTGGAACAATCTCGGCTCACTGCAAGCTCCGCCTCCCGGGTTCACGCCATTCTCCTGCCTCAGCCTCCCGAGTGGCTGGGACTACAGGCGCCCACCATCATGCCTGGCTAATTTTTTGTATTTTTAGTAGAGACGGGGTTTCACCGTGTTAGCCAGGATGGTCTCAATCTCCTGACCTCGTGATCCGCCCGCCTCGGCCTCCCAAAGTGCTGGGATTACAGGCGTGAGCCACCATGCCCGGCTAAAACTATAACTCTTAGAAGAAAACACAGGAGTAAATCTTTGTGACCTCATGAATTAGCCAACAATTTCTCAAGATATGGCACCAAAAGCACAAGCAACAAAAGGAAAAAGTTAGATTTCACCAAATTCAAGAACTTTTGTGTTTCAAAGGACACCACCAATAACACGAAAAGACAACCCAAAAAATGGGAGAAAATGTTTGCATATCATAAGGAATCTCATGTCTAGAATATATAAAGAATACTTACAACTCAACAATAAAAAGACAACCCTATTTTAAAATAGCTAAAGGATCAGAACAGGCATTTCTCCAAAGAAGATAAACAAATTGTCAATAAGCACATGAAAAGATGCTCAATACCATTTGTCATTAGGGAAATGCAAATTTAAACCACAATGAGATACCACACCTCACAGCTACTAGGAGATGGATAAAATAAAAAAAGACATTAATAAGTACCGGTGACAACATGGAGAAACCAGAGTCCCCATACATTGCTGGTAGGATTGTAAACTGGTGTAGGTACTTTGGAAAACAGTGTGGTAGTTCCTCAAAAACTTAAACATAGAATTGCCATACGAACCAGCAATTCCACTCCCAGGTATATCTCAAGATAACTGAAAAGATGCATCCACCCAAAAATGTGTACATGCATGTTTAGCAGCATTATGCATAAAAGAGCCCAAATGTCAATCAACTGACAAGTGGATAAGTAGAATGTGGCATATCCACACGATGGCATATTGTTTCGGCCATAAAAAGGTATGAGATACTGATATATGTCAAAGTATGGATGAACGTTGAAAACACTGTACTAAGTGAAAGAAGCTGGACATAAAAGGCCACATATTATATGATTCCATTTATATGAAAGGTCCAGAGTAGGCAAATCAAGAGATAGGAATTATATTAGTGATACTACCTAAGGCTGGGAAGATGGGCAGAGACTGCGAATGGGTATGTGGTTTCTTTTGGAAAGATGAAAATGTTCTAAAATTAGATAGTTGTGATGGTTGTACAATTCAGTGAATATGCTAAGTGTACACTTTAAAAGGGTGATTTTTGGCTGGGCACGGGGGCTCACCAGCACTTTGGGAGCACTTTGGGAGGCTGAGGTGGGCAGATCACAAGGTCAGGAGTTTGAGACCAGCCTGGCCAACATGGTGAAACCCTGTCTCTACTAGAAATACAAAAATTGGCTGGGGGTGGTGGTGGACGCCTGTAATCCCAACTACTCAGGAGGCTGAGGGAGGAGAACCACTTGAACGTGGGAGGCGGAGGTTGCAGTGAGTCGAGATCACGCCACTGGACTCCAGCCTGGGTGACAGAGCGAGATTCCGTCTCAAAAAAAAAAAAATGATTTTTATGATATGTAAGTTGTATCTCAATAAAGCTGTCACATAAAGTCCCATTTAAAAATGTACACTAGAAAACACATACTTGCATATGAAATAATGATTGCTACAATGTTGCTTAATATGAAGCTGTTTTTTAAAAAGCAAAGAAAAAACCTTAGGCAGCCAGGCACAGTGGCTCACACCTGTAATCCCAGCACTTTGGGAGGCTGAGGCAGGCAGATCATGAGGTCAGGAGATCAAGACCATCCTGGCTAACATGCTGAAAACCCATCTCTACCAAAAATTCAAAAAAAATTAGCCAGGCGTGGTGGCGGGTGCCTGTAGTCCCAGCTACTCGGGAGGCTGAGGCAGGAGAATGGCGTGAACCTGGGAGGCAGAGCTTGCAGTGAGCCGAGATGGCGCCACTGCACTCCAGCCTGGGCAACAGAGCAAGACTCCATCTCAAAAAATAAACAAAAACAAAAACAAAACCTTAGGCAACTTATAAGACAACAGGTGATCTGAAGGTAAAAAACAATGAAGGTTGTGTAAAAGTGTCCAAGGTTTCGAAAATAATGGAATACAAGATGTTGAGGAGGGTACTCTGAATGTATAGATTTCTTAGTTCAATATTTGGTTTTATCATCAGTTTCTTTTTTTTTTTTTTGAGACAGAGTCTCGCTCTGTCACCCAGGCTGGGGTGCAGTCGCGCAATCTCAGCTCACGGCAACCTCCGCCTCCCGGGTTCAAGTGATTCTCCTGCCTCAGCCTCCTGAGTAGTTGGGATTACAGATGCGCGCCACCATGCCCAGCTAATTTTTGTATTTTTAGTAGAGACGGGGTTTCACCATCTTGGCCAGGCTGGTCTCGAACACCTGACCTCGTGAGCCGCCTGCCTCGGCCTCCCAAAGTGCTGGGATTGCAGGCATGAGCCACCACACCTGGCCCTCTATTTGATTTTTAATACAGGTTTTCAGTTGACTAGATAAACCTTGAAAGAAATTAATACCCTGAATGACAGTAGATGCTCAATGAAATACTTGACAAAATAAGTTTGCAGGCAGCCAACGACCACCTGCTGGGCACCCCCATACCCACACACAGCACCCTACCTTCAACGCGCCTCCTCTTGGAGCTGGGGAGGACCTGAGGGCTGGTCTCTGCTGTGTTCTCCACAGGGCTGAGGGAGTGGCAGTAGGTGGTGACTGGGCCCCAGGGATGGCCAGGTGCCTGGGAGACATGCTGCAGGCACTTTTCTAGATAGGACAGTCTATGAAAGAGGTAGAACCAAAAGCCTGAAGGGGCTACTGGGCCCTCAGCAGGCCCTTCCCTAATCCACATCTCTATCCACCCACCAACTTACAAAAGCTGCTTGTCCTGATGGAAGAGTCGGGGGGAAAACTCTGAAAGGAGCTCCAGGAATGCCAGATTTGGAGGCTGATTGGAGGAGCCAGCTGGAGGAAGCTCAGACAAGGAGAACTGGATGCCTTCCCTTGGTTGGGCAGAATTATTTTAGGAAGAAAGTCTCTTCCCACTTCCCTCCCAGGCCTGAGCTATCCTGTCCAAATGCACCCTCCCCCCGTCCCCAGCTTGTCTCCAAAGGCATACCCACCCCTAACCTGACTGCTATGCCTTGACACACATACCCTCCCTCCGAGACCTCCCTCCAAGACCTCGTTCCCAGCCCTCCCTGGACACAACCTGCAACCAATACTTCCTACTTGTGTAGCATGACCACGAGGTCACGGTTCTGCAGCTGCTGGGGTCCAAAACTCAAGGCAAACCTCCGGGCCAGGTCCCTCATCTCGATGAAGGCAGGAAGCTCATTCAGGCCCTGGGGCCCATGCTCCTGCAGCAGTTCTGTGTACAGCTGTGTCCAGGAGACATGGTGCATGTGGGAAAGGGAGGAACACGGCGGAAACAGAGAAGTCCAGCATTCTCTTCTCTACTCAGAAATTCCAAAGGCCTTGGGACACCATCTACTACTTTTACTCTTTCCTTCCTTCTAGGGAACTCCCGATACCCCTGCAGCAAACAAAGCCAATCACCTCTACTCCATAACATTAAATAAAAACGTCTATAGTAACTGAAGGAGGCTGAGAGAGAACAGACTGAAAAATAATTAGGAACTCCCTATCACTTCCTTGTTGGCGTTCCAATGTCCTGATAAGTTACTTTTGATGGGGTTGCCCAGTCAGTTAAAAAAAAAATACTTCCCAAGGGTCTACTAAGAATGAAGGAACCTATCACGTAAAGTTAAGAGTCAAAACAAGAAAAGTTACTGCTCTGAAGGATCTTACATTCTGAGTGGCTGAGGGTAGACAGAGACTTGGGGACAACAGGGCTGGCATGTCCTCAAGGCAGAAGGGCGCACCTGCTTGAGGCTCAGCAGCAGGATTCGGGAACAATGACTTCGGTCAATCTGCCTTGCTCTAGTTAATGTTTCCTTGATAATGTCACCATAGTCATTGTAGAACTGAGGGGAAAGAGTGGGGAAGGTAATGTCTGACTGGTGGAAAAGACCATTTGGTTTCTTCCTTCACATCCCTAATCATGTCTCCCTCCCAAACTCCCTTAGGTAGGAAACATGAACTGAAGCATAAAATAATTCAGACTAGACTTCATCTCTAATCAACAGGTGCAAAGCCCAAAATAAATCAGAGTTTCGGTAAACAAATAATAAGGCCGGGTGCAGTGGCTCACACCTGTAATCCCAGCACTTTGGGAGGCCAAGACGGGTGGATCACGAGGTCAGGAGATCGAGACCATCCTGGCTAATACGGTGAAACCCCGTCTCTACTAAAAATACAAAAAATTAGCCGGGCGTGGTGGTGGGTGCCTGTAGTCCCAGCTACTCGGGAGGCTGAGGCAGGAGAATGGCGTGAACCCAGGAGCCGGACCTTGTAGTGAGCCGAGATCACGCCACTGCACTCCAGCCTGGGCGACAGAGCGAGATTCCGTCTCAAAAAATAAATAAATAAATAAATAAATAAAATAAAAAACAAATAATGAAACAGGCCAGGCATGGTGGCTCACGCCTATAATCCCAGCAGTTTGGGAGGCCAAGTTGGGCGGATCACAAGGTCAGGAGATCAAGACCATCCTGGCGATGGTGAAACCCTGTCTTTACTAAAACTATAAAAATTAGCTGGGCGTGGCAGCGCATGCCTGTAATCCCAGCTACTTGGGAGGCTGAGGCAGGAGAACTGCTTGAACCCCGGGAGGCAGAGGTTGCAGTGAGCCGAGATAGTGCCATTGCATTCTAGCCTGGCGACAGAGCTAGAATCTGTCTCAGGAAAAAAAAAAAAAAAGAAAAGAAAAGAAATAAACACTGCCCCAAGCCCAATTCTTGGAGAAGAGAAGTAAGCCTGACAGTGCCCTCTCACACAGCACTGACACCTTCACTATTTGTCTCTCCCCAACTACAATGGAAGCTCCACCAAATAGGAACTTGTGTGTTTTGTTCACTGCTGTGGCCTTAGCTCCTGGAATGGTGCTTGGCACACAGCAGGTGCTCAATAAGCATAAATCAATACTGGTGGGTTGAGGAAACTGGGGCACCTATCTAGGTATCCTGTGAGGACTGATCCCTCTTTTATTCTTTTTTCCTTCTTATGTTACCCCATTCCATAGACTGGGGTCAGAGAAAAATAAATATTTCTGGACAGGAAGAATAAGCTATTTCCCCTCCAGTGAATTTCTTCACAGCTTTTTCTCCATAATTATTTACTATTAAGTCTCTTTTCTTTGTCCCCTTATTCTGAACTCCCAGTGCCTTTCCCTCCTACTTCTCCTTTAAGCTTGAAACCATTGGATATCCCCCACCTGTAGTGCTATTATGTTTCCAAGTCATGGCTGTGCTCAACTTGCTCCCTTCTCTTTTATTTCTGTAGGGCCTTGGTGTACCTTGTTGTAGTGTTTGAAAACATCTGAGGCTGCATCCATCTCCAGCACCCCATAAAGCAACAGCTTGCAGAACCCGGCTAGGAGGCGGCGCCGCTGGTGTAGCCGCTCTATCTGTAAATGATCCTCCTGGGAATCACCTGGCTCACATGGAAGGCAAAAGGGAATCACAGACTTAAGCTTCCTGCCCTATATTTCTGAGCTACACCCAAGCCCCAGCCCTTACTGAGCCCCAGGTATAGAGTCACTGCACCACTGCCCAGGTCTCCCGGCTGGATGAAGACGTGGTCCATGAGGAAGCTGGCTAGCTCAGACTGGAGAGTAGCTTCAGGAAAAAAGACAAGTGGCCTAAGGAAATCACGGCCCCCAACAATCATCTGAGGGCTAAAGATGAGAAGTAGATCACTTAATAAGACAAAAGCCTGTAGGGGGAAAAGAAAGGATGTTTAAAAGGACAGAATGTTTCCCAAGGTAGAAATGACACTGTCAATTTCTCCTTGGAATGGGGGCAGGGATACTCGCCTTGTTGCTCCCACTTGAGTCAGTACTCACCTGCTCCTGGATCTCAGTATCCACATCTGAGAGGCAACTCTGGCAGAGTTCACAGAAGGCCACCATTCTGTCCCTCAAACTCGACAGCTGCTTCTGTGGGCACAGTGGCTTGAAGGGGAAGAATGAAGACACAGACTCCTCTGTTCCCATTATCCCATCTAAGACCCACACTCACCTGGGAAGCATCTGATTTAGAAATGTGGGTTAGTGTCCAGAGAATGGAAAAATAGACAAGAGTCAAGGCTGGCAGGATAACCTGTAACAACAAAGGGTTTGAAAAATGAGGTTTGGGTTAGGAGAGGGAGAGACAGATAGCCAGAAACACACCAGTGAAGAGGAGAGAAAATGAGTAAAGGGAGAGCTAATTCCTTTTCCAGTGGAAAATGAGTGATATTCTGGACATTCTTCAGAGGCATCTACACGAAGTAGAAATGTCACCGCTCCCTAATTTACTCTACGTCTTCTAGAATCCCTCAATATTATCCTTGGCTTCCAGGAAATCCAAGAAGACCCTGGAAGTAGAGTCCACCTTCTAAGAGAGGAATGTAAGAGGTGACCCCCACCCACCTGATCTTCCTCGCTTTGTCCACTCCACGCACTGAGACTTGACACACCTAGTGGCCACCTAGAACGTAGGTCCTTAAAATCTAGCCCCCCAGCCCCCAACCCATCTCTAGCCTGTCCACTCACCTGGTGAGGAACCTCTCCTGTGTCCACAGCCTTCTGCAGGAGTTGGCAACATGGCTCATAGAGCTCCCAGCGAGTCAGGTCATGAGTGCTTTGGGGGAGAAAGGGGAATGTTATACTGGAAAAGAACAGAGGGAACCAACTCCACAGACACCAGTAAAAACGGGATGGGGAAGAGGAGGAAAGCCACTCACTTGTAGAAGGCAGAGAGGCGTTTCAGAGTGGCTGCCAGATTATATACCTCATCCTCATCTAGGAAGGACGACTGAGAAGGAAAGAAGATCCACAATAGCATTTCCCCCAGAACTCATCAGTCCACATCCCCCGTCTTGCAGCCCCTCCCACCCTTGTTTGGGGTGTCCCATTGTCCAGCCCCAGCTCCTACCTGTAACAGCTCTTCAAGCTCCTGCTGGAAGCGGTCAGTCAGCAAATCTACTAGCTGGCTGCGGGCAAAGTCCGCCCGGCTGAAGAAAGTGAATTCGGGATTACAGAGCAGGTAGAGGGCATGCGCCCCAGCCTCAAGCACCGCTGGCTCTGCATGCTTCACCACCACCTCCTGGAGTTGCTGCAGGAACAGCTCCAGGTGCTGAGAAGAAAAGGCAGAAGATGGTGTGCTGTGGGGATGGGAGGAGGACACTCTTCTGGCGGGAAGTGGAACGGGGTTAAAAGCATTAAACTTCAAGGATAAGATGCCTAAGAAAAGGCTTGCTGATTTTTCTGGAACCCAAGTTCTTAGGAAAAAAAGATACTGGCAATAGAACCCTTTGGCCCTGGCAGGCAAGCAGCAAGGTATAGGAAATCTATCTCCCTACCTTCTCCAAGCGCCCAGTGCAGTAGATGTGGAGGTCAAAGCAGCTGAGAAGCTGGAGCAGGGGAGTGACCTTCTCTGCATCAGCTGAGAACTGTGATGATTGACAGGGAGGCCTCCTTACAAGCTGACACATTGCTAATTCCTACTCCCACCCCCACAGAGGCCATTTCCTTTCACTTCTCTTGGTGTGATGCAGAGTGGAGGGGCAGCGGTACCTTGGCCAGGAGCTGGGGCAGCAGGGGGATGAGGTGCTCAGTCAACTTCACCCTGTCATCGGCTTGGGTCTTGCGCTCCTTAGAGGTTAAGCCCTGGAATGAGAGTCACTTGGGGGTGGGGGAGGTGTAAAGAAACACTGGTGCAGGGGGTGTGTGCAGTCCTCCTCCCCATGACCTTATCTGCCTAGAAGGAAAAGAGAACTCAGTAGCTCCCACGAGATTTCTTTTTTCTGGAAATGAAACTCCTTTTTTTTTTTTTTTTTGAGACGGAGTCTCGCTCTGTCACCCAGGCTGGAGTGCAGTGGCGTGATCTTGGCTCACTGCAAGCTCCACCTCCCAGGTTCACGCCATTCTCCTGCCTCAGCCTCCCAAGTAGCTGGGACTACAGGTGCCCGCTACCACGCCCAGCTAATTTTTTTTTTTTTTTTTGTATTTTTAGTAGAGACAGGGTTTCACTGTGTCAGCCAGGATGGTCTCGATCTCCTGACCTCGTGATCTGCCTGCCTCAGCCTCCCAAAGTGCTGGGATTATAGGCGTAAGCCACTGCGCCTGGCCCTTTTTTCTGGAAATGAAATTCTTTAAAGGGTAGAAGGAGCACCCTAACCCCAGCCTGGGGGATAAGGATGCACATTGCCTGTCAAGACTGAGTATTGCTGACCTACCCACTCTACCCTCACACCATACCTTCCTCCCAGTGACCCGGCCCACAGGCGGGTGCCCCTCTGAAGCTTGCCGGGCACTGGACACAAGGATTTCTATCAGTGTGCTCTCCTGCACATCACCCAGGTCTGGAGTGCCAGGAGGATCAAAAACATAGAATCAAAGATTAGCCACCTTCCAACTCCAAGCTCCCCCCACCCGATGCCACCGTTGCTGCCTTGTACAAGTGAAGCAAGCAATCCCTCCCAGTTTCACCCTAGGGGGTGGAAGGTCCCTGTCCCTGGCTCCGTGTGACACGTACTCTGGTCCTTCTCCAGCAGCAGGCTTGTCAGACCCTCCCAGTCCTTCAGCCGAGCCCCTGCACAGTCCCACAGACTGTCTACTAAGTAAGCAGCGTGGTCATGGAGCTAGGGGAGAACGTGCATGGGGAGTTAATGATAGCATGTTAAAAATACCCTACGAAGTGGTTACTGATTAAATATCGCTCTCCTTCCTACAGTGTCCACTCCCATCCTTCTCCATTTGTCTTTTTTTTTTTTTCGATAGAGACAGGGTCTCACTGTGTTGCCCAGGCTGGTCTCAAACTCCTGGGCTCAAAGGATCCTCCCACCTCAGCCTCCCAAAGTGCTGGGCTTACAGGCGTGAGCCACCAACCCCAGCCCACTTGTAGGTCCTATGCACAACAGCCAGACTTCTCTCTGTGTATGTCACCTCGCTCTCCACAAAGAAGGACAGCAGAAGCTGGAAGAAAGTCCTCTGGGCGCCTGGGCTCTGGCGTTGCTCTCTTCCACCCATCATTCTTATCTCGCACTCAGGGTAGAAGAGTCTGGTGGAATGGACACGAGGAAAGGGCTCAGCACAACAGGAAACAAGGAGGTGTAACGACCACAGAGGGAGGAGATGGCCCAAGGAGATGATAAAGGAAAAGGAGGTGAGAGCTAAGGAAAGCCCCAAGGAGCTGCGAGAAGAAAGGAGACACCAGGGAGACTTTCACAGAGATGGGGAAGCCTTAGGTAGGGCAGCAGCAGATGGAGGAGAGAAACCGAGAGCGTGGTGTTAAAGAAACATAAAAGGAGCCCCACTCACTTCCAGTACAGAAATTCGCCTGCGGCAGAGGCCAGGCCTCGATGAGAGGCATACACAACTGGGTAGACGCTCTCACAATCCGCGTCCGTCAGCACCCCTTCCATGTTCCTGCCCACAGAAAAGCAGAAAGAGTATGTGAATAGGGACATTGTCTTCTGGCACAACCAAGGCTAGAAACAAAAAGAGGCAAAAGCAACAAGGACATAACTCACAAAAAACTTCTAAATGAAGAGCGGAAGACAAAGGAGTATGGGGAGTTAGAGAAGACAGAAATATTACCCCCTCAACATACTGCAACTCAGGAATGACCTCAGTCAACCTGCACAGATGGAAGAGTCAGCTATGACAGGTGGAGGGAGATGACCCTGGAAGGGCAAAGGTCTGAGACACTGGCCTCCCCTCTTCCCAGGACTCACTTAAGGATAAGTATCAGTAATCTGACAGCCTCCACTGCCACATCATACTCTCTGTCCATGACCATGGAAACCATCCGGTCCTGCAGAAAGGAGAAAGTCACTCAATATCTCATTACACCCATTCCAAACATTCTGTTCTCTTAGAATCAGAGACTCCTAAAGAGAGTGCCTACGTAGAGGCAGATGCTGGGATAGCCAAGACATCTTAGAGCATGAGGGGTAGAAAGATACAAGGTGGGGAAATAGGAACCACGACAAAGAGCCAAGCCATGGAGCACCACCCATTTTACCTTGAAGCGGCTGGTGAAGAGCTCCAGGCGTGTGGTCAGGTCCCGGTTACCGTACAGCCCTTTCAGGGCCTTCACACACTTCAGGCGGACTTCTCGGTGCTGGTGAGGAGGGAAAACCAGGAGAATGGAAATAAGACTAACCACACTCTACTCGCCCCTACTAAGCCTCCAGACTCCCCTCTCCGATCCCTCATTCTAGCTTGGGTGTCCCCTCTACTGAGGACTCTTAAGATGTCAGAAACAATGAACAGCTGTCTTCTTACTTAAAAAACAAAAGGATCACAGCAGTACTCATGATGAGAAGGATCCTTTGGCTGCCCCTTAGCACCTGCATTACCATCCATCAATAACTCTCTTCCATGGGAAAGTCTCTCTCCCCGTACCTCAGGTTTTGAGTCATTTCATCTCCTGGGTATGTCTCTCTCTACCTTATCCTACTCTCCCCAGTGCTAGGGGAATTTCAAGGTTCAGCGCCTTGATGGGTTCATCATTGGTCACTAGGTAAAATATCTCAGTGGCAGGCCCAGGAAAAGGTGAAATGTCCTAGGACAGGAAAAAGATGAAGGAAACGGAAAGGGAAACTGACTCGAATCCCACCTTATCATGCAGAGTCCAACCAATATATTTTAAATAGCTGTCGGTGAGGAAAGACGTGCTGTAGCTTTGCATCCAACACCCAATTTCCTCAATGCAGATAGCACGGATCTCAGGAAGGACATCCCTAGACACAGACAGATAAGTTGACTCTTAGAGCCACCCTCTCTCCAAACTCACTTTCCATCCTACCAGATAACTCCCTCTCATGGAAGAATTTATTTTCTTGAAATGCCATGTACCCCATGCCTTTCATTTCTTCCTCCCGATGTAAATACTATATATATAGTAAAATACATGTAAATATTTTTTTTAAGGGATAGGATCTCTTGCTATGTTGCCCAAGCTGGCCTTGAACTCCTGGGTTCAAGTCATCTTCCCACTTTGGCCTCTCAAGTAGCTAGGACTACAAAAATGTGCCATACCCAGTTAGTAAATATTTTCTTTCTGTTACCAAACCATAAAATAGTTAAACACCAGCCTTGTACAGCCTAATTCTCCACTCCACCTGTTGCCCAGGCTGGAGTGCAGCGGCACAATCTCAGCTCACTGCAACCTCTACCTCTCGGGTTCAAGTGATTCTCCTGCCTCAGCCTCCCGAGTAGCTGGGATTACAGGTGCACCACCACGCCCAGCTTCCTTTTTGTATTTTTAGTAGAGACGGGGTTTTGCCATGTTGGCCAGGCTGGTCTCGAACTCCTGACCTCAAGTGATCTGCCTGTCTTGGCCTCCCAAAGTGCTGGGGTTACAGGTGTGAGCCACTGCACCCGGTCTCCATACCTCTTTTAAAAACCAATTTTGAAAGTTCATTCAGGCTGGGCATGGTGGCCAAAAATTAGCCAAGCATGGTGGTGGGCGCCTGTAGTCCCAGCTACTTGGGAGGCTGAGGCAGAAGAATCGCCTAAACCCGGGGGGTGGGGCTTGCCGTGAGCCGAGATCGCACCACTGCACTCCAGCCTGGGCAACACAGTGAGACTCCGTCCCTGCCAAAAAAAAAAAAGTTAATTCAACTGTTGGCCAAAGTGTGTGAGTGTGTTTTAATTCCACATTAAGAAAAGGTTACATCAGCTGAAAGGCTCTGGAGAGGCAGAAGTGAAACCTAGGTAAGAGTGAGAAACATCTACAATTTTTTTTTTCTTTTTTTTCTTTTTTTGAGATGGAGTTTCACTCTTGTTGCCTAGGCTGGAGTGCAATGGCGTCATCTCAGCTCACCGCAACCTCCACCTCCTGGGTTCAAGCGATTCTCCTGCCTCAGCCTCCTGAGCAGCTGGGATTACAGGGATGCGCCACCACACCCGGCTAATTTTGTATTTTCAGTAGAGATGGAGTTTCTCCATGTTGGTCAGGCTGGTTGTGAACTCCTGACCTCAGGTGATCTGCCTGCCTTGGCCTCCCAAAGTGCTGGGATTACAGGCGTGAGCCACCACGCCCGGCCTACATATATTCTTTTTAACTTAATTTGATCAGGTCATTAAACAGTATAAAACTCCCCTGCCCTTCGCACAGTGAGACAGCAGGCTGGGCCAGGAGAAGGCTCACCAGGCAGCAGGCATCCCTCAGAAAAGCCCCGCCTTTCTATTCTCTGCTCTTATCCTCAAGTCTCCAACCCCAGAAAGATGAGGAGTTGGGGCAGATCTGGGGCAAAGCCAGAGCAGGAAAATACTCAGCAATGCTTTATTCTCTTATTTTCTCCCAGAAGCACTTACAAGATCCTTTGTAGGTGGTGATAAACTAAACCTCACCAATTTGAAACATTTGTTGTCAAGAATTTTTGCTCCAGCTGCATTAATTCTGGGACTAACCAAATAACTAAGGGTTGGAGGGGGGAAAACCTTATTCACTTCCTCAGATTCCATAACCAAAGGCCAGCTGCTTCAATGAGAGAGGCCCATTAGCTCACCTGTACCGATGAACAAAGACACCCCTGAAGAGGGCATTCATCATCCCCTCAATCTCCTCTTGATGCTCTTGGAGCTGGAGGACAGGGAGAAACGGGTTAATCTTTCTTGTACCCTAACAAGCATAAGGCCCTGAAGATACAGAAAAACTACAACTTCCACCTACTTCCTGTTTATTATAGGATAGTGTGAACCCCCGTAATCCTATGCTCTCTTTTAAACCTTCTAATTCTGGAAGAAGCTGTATAGTCAACTAATGCCTCAGAGGTTTGTGTTTAGTAAAAATAATAACCCCTCTGCATGTGGTTATTCGGACTATTCAGAAGCCCTAGCTGGCATTATACAGGTGTATCTCGCTTTATTGCACTTTATTGATTTGCAGACATTGTGGATTTTTTTTAAACAAACTAAAGGTGTGTGACAACCCTGCATTGAGCATACCTATCAGTGCCATTTTTCTAATAGTATATCCTCACTTTGTGTCCCTGTGGCACATTTTGGTAATTCTCACAATATTTCAAACCTTTTCATTATGGTATCTGTTATGGTTATCTGTGATCAGTAATCTTTAATGTTACATATTTTTTTATGAGACAGGGTCTCACTCTGGCACCCAGGCTGGAGTACAGTGGTGTGACCATGGCTCACGGCAGCCTCCACCTCCTGGACTCGAGCAATCCTCCTGCCTCAGCCTCCCAACTAGCTGGGAGTCCAGATGCATGCTGCCACACCCAGCTAGTTAAAAAAAATTTTTTTTTTTGTAGAGACGGGCTCTCCCTATGTTTGCCCAGGCTGGTCTTGAACTCCTGGGCTCAAGCGATCCTTCCACCTCACTCTCCCAAAGTGCTGGGATTACAGGCATGGGCCATCACACCCAGCCTAATGTTACTACTGTAACTGTTTTGGGGTACCACAAACCGTGCCCATATAAGATGGCAAACTTAACAATGTCTGTGTTCTGACTACTCTACCAACAAGAGTTTCTCTGTCTCTCTCTCTCTCCTCAGGCCTCCCTATTCATTCCTTGAGACACAAAAATATTGTAATTAGGTCAATTAATAACCCTTTTAAGTGTCCAAATGAAAGGAAGAGTCACATGTTTCTCACTTTAAATCAAAAGCTAGAAATGATTAAGCTTAGAGGCCAGGTGCAGTGGCTCACACCTATAATCCCAGCACTTTGGGTGGCCAAGGTGGGCAAATCACTTGAGGTCAGTTCGAGACCAGCCTGACCAACATGGCGAAACCCCGTCTCTACTAAAAACAGAAAATTAGCTGGGTGCGGTGGCGGGCACCTATAACCCCACCTACTCAGGAGGCTGAGGCAGGAGAATCACTTGAACCCAGGAGATGGAGGTTGTGGTGAGCCAAGATCACGCCATCGCACTCTAGCCTGGGCAACAAAGTGAGACTCCGTCTGAAAAAGAAAAAAAAAAAAAAAAAAAAGAAATGATTAAGCTTAGTTGAAAACCAAGACAGGCCAATCGATAGCTAGGCCTCTTGTGCCAAACAGCCAAGTTATGAATGCAAAAGAAAAATTCTTGAAAGAAATTAAAAATGCTACTCCAGTGAACACACAAAGGGTAAGAAAGTTAAACAGTCTTATTGCTGATACAGAGACAGTTTTAGTAGTCCGAACAGAAGATCAAACCAGCCACAACATTCCCTTTGGCCAAAGCCCAATCCAGATCAATGTCCTAGCTGTTTTCCATTCTATGAAGGCTGAGCAAAGTAAGGAAGCCACAGAAGAAAAGTTTGAAGCTAGAAGTTAGTTCGTGAGGTTTAAGGAAAGAAGCCCTCTCCATAACATAAAAGTACACGGTGAAGCAGCAAATACTGATAGAGAAGCAACAAGTTATCAAGAAAATCTAGCTAAGATCACTGATGAAGGTGGCTACACTAAACAATGAATTTTCAATGTGGACTAAACTGCCTTATAATTGGAAAACGCCTTATATTGGAAAATCTAGGATTTTCGCAGCTATTGAGGAGAAGTCAATGCCTGGCTTCAAAGCTTCAACGGACAGCCTGACTCCTCGTTAGGGGCTAATGCAGTTGCTGACTTTAAGTTGAAGCCAATACTCATTTACCATTTTAAAAATCCTAAGGCCCTTAAGAATTATGCTAAATCTACTCTTCCTATGCTCTATAAATGAAACAACAAAGCCTAACTGATATCACATCTGTTCACAGTATGGTTTCCTGAATATTTTAAGCACATGGGTGAGGCCTACTGCTCAGAAAAAAAGATTCCTTTCAAAATATTACCGCTCAATGACAATGCACCTGGTCACCCAAGAGCTCTGGTGAAGATGTACAAGGAGATCCATGTTGCTTTTTTCATGCCCACTAACACAACATCCATTTTGCAGCCCATGAAACAAGGAGTAATTTCAACTTCAAGTCTTATTATTTCAGAAATACATTTCATAAGGCTATAGCTGCCACAGTGATTCCTCTGATGATTTGGGCAAAGTCCATTTAAAACCTCCTGGGGTTAGGCATGGTGGCTCATGCCTACTATCCCAACTTTTTGGGAGGCTGAGGTGGGAGGACTGATTAAGCCCAGGAGTTCAAGACTAGCCTGGGCAACACAGTGAGACCCTGTCTCTACAGAAACAAAACAAAAACTAGCCAGATGTGGTATGCAATCTGTAGTACCAGATACTTGGAAGGATAAGGCAGGAACATCACTTGAGCACAGGAGGTTGGGGCTGCAGTGAGCCATGACTGCACCAGTACATTCCGGTCTAGGCAACAGAGCGAGACCCTGTCTTCAAAACAAAAAACAAAACCAGAAAAACTCAACCCCCCGTCCGGGAAGGATTCACCATTTTATCTTATTTTATTTTATTTATTTTTGAGATGGAGTCTTGCTCCATAGCACAGGCTAGAGTGTGGTGGCGCAATCTTGGCTCACTGCAACCTCTGCCTCCTGGGTTCAAGCAATTCTCCTGCTTCAGCCTCCCAAGTAGCTGGGATTACAAGCAGCACCACCACACCTAGCTAATTTTTGTATTTTTAGTAGAGATGGGTTTTTGCCATGTTGGCCAGGCTGGTTTCAAACTCCTCACCTCACGTAGTCCACCTGCCTCAGCCTCCCAAAGTGCTGGGATTACAGGTGTGAGCCACTGTGCCTGGCCGGGATTCACCATTTTAAATGCCATAAAGAACATTTGTGGTTCATGGGAAGAGGTCAAAATATCAACATTAACAAGAGTTAAGTTGATTCTAACCCTCACGGATGACTTTGAGAGGTTTAAGACTTCAGTAGAGGAAGTAAACTACACGTGCAGTGGAAATAGCAAGAGAACTAGAAGTAGAGACTGAAGATGTGGCTGAATTGCTGCAATTTCATGACCTTGAACAAATAAGGAATTGCTTCTTATGAATGAGCAAGGAAAGTGGTTTCCTGAAATGGAATCTATTCCTGGTGAAGAGGTTGTGAATACTGTTGAAATGACAACAAATGATTCAGACTATTACCTAAATTTAGCTGATAAAGCAGCACCAGGGCTTGAGAGAATTGACTCTTGTTTTGAAAGAATTTCTACTGTGGGTAAAATGTCATCAAACAGCATTTCATGTTACAGAGAAATTTTTTGTAAAAGGAAGAGTCAGTAGATGCAGCAAACTTCACTGTTGTCTTATTTCAAGAAATTGCTACAGCCACCCTAACCTTCAGCAACCACTACCCTGATCAGTCAGCAGCCATCAACATGGAGGCAAGACCCTCCACCAACAAAAAGATTTAACTCGCTAAAGGTTCAGATTGTCATTAGCATTTTTTAGCAATAAAATATTTCTAAATTAAGGTACATACACTGCTTTTTAGACAATAGTCTTGCACACTTAACAGACTACAGTGTAAACACAACTTTCATATGCACTGAGAATTAAAAATTTTGATTTTTTGATTGTGTGACTCACTGTACTTCAATATTCACTTTATTATGGTGGTCTGGAATTGAATCTGCAATATCTTTGAGGTATGATGCCCGTATATGTTTCTAACAATTTGGAAAACAAATTTTTAGTAAGTTGCAGTTTAATAGAAGTGGAACTAGCAAAAATGAGAAGAAAGGAATTAGATCAGTGGTTCTCAACTGAGGCTAATTTTGTTCCCCAGGGGAGATTTAGCAGTGTCTAAAGATTTTTTTGGCTGCCACAACTTGCTGGGGGAGCAGGGTACTACTGGTATCTATCTAGTAGATAAAGGCCAGAGATCTGCTAAACATCCTACCATGGCAGGACAGCCCCGCAACGTCCATAGTGCCATTATTGAAAAATCCTGGATCACATGAACAATAGACACCAAGGAAACAGAATTATAAGGAGAAAGGGAACATCCTTTAAGACAACAGGCCCCACCTCTTCAATTATGTAAGAACAACATATCATTTTCGACAGGACATACTTAAGTCTTTAGGGCTGAAGTACCTATATGTCCATATTTTACACTAAAATAGCAAAAATAGGTAAAGCAAATATGTAAAATATTTGGGAAAGGGAGACTGAGAAAAGGCTACTGGCTTTAGGAATTAGGAAGTCATTGGTTTAGAAAGAACAGTTTCAAAGAAAATGGGGAAATAAGCTAGGTAGCAAAAAGGATTCAGTTAGTTGGACATTAAGGAAGTAAGGAAATACTATCCTAAAAGGAAGGATGGAAAAAAGAGTAACTCACAAAGGAGCAGAGTGAAATAAAGATTCAAGAGCCTATATACATTTATAAGTGGAGAGAAGAAAATAGTGGGGAGGAAGAAATTTAGGATAAAATGGGGGAATTATAATGATAATTGATTAAGCAAGAGCCCAGAGAAGCCAAAAAAGAAAAAGAAAAGAAAAGATTCGCACTAGTGTACATAATTTAAAATCCGGGATAGATTAATATTCAAGCTTTTAAGATCAACCTGACAATGCAAAATAACAAAAGAGAATAAGGGAAGTGGAAAGTTTCCTTCTCTAGTGATTTAGAATGGAAGAGATCTTTTGTGAGGGCTAGAGAAACAGCCAAATGATATGGTCAGACATGGTGAGTCCTGCCAACCTCATAGGAGGGGTCTTAGACACTAACAGAGAGTGAGGAGAAAACACCAGTAGTGTTACTCTTATGACAGACCCAGCTGATTAAAGATTTCATCAGCGTAAAAGATTTTGCTATGGCTTATGCCCCCCAGTGGTCATCTTTAAGTTTAAAAGGAAACAAAACAAGTATCTACTATGAGCCAAGCGAGGCAATTTACTCATCTCATTTATTCTTCACAAAAAGGTGAGATTATTCCTTTTTTTAAAGAAAAGAAAACTGAAGAGAGGTTACATAAGGCTATGGAGCTAGTGACTAAATTCAACAGAATTTAAAGCGAGTTCACTGGGAGGCCTGTTTTCTTTCCATTCCTTGAAAATTTGGCCTCCCTTGTCAATGGTTGGCTTTTAGTACTCCTGCACTCACTTGCACACTGCACACTTGACAAGTAGGTCAAAACTTAATTCCCTGCATGACAGGCAGGTACAGCACTTAAACACTCCTAACAATGAGTGCTGACAAAAAAAAAAAAACTGAGCAAAAGTGGAATTAGAGAGAACTCTAAATTACACATTATTTGTTGAGCCCACAACCCAGAAACAAGATGAGCATGTAATGACCCCTTACAGGATGGGTCTATGAAACTATTGCCAGACTCCATTATTCATGATCTTGAAAGACTGCCCAGGGCCTGATAAGGGGGTCTGTGGCAGAAGTGGGTGCAAGTTGGGAAAAAGGGAAGGAAGAAGCAGGGAACACTCCTCACCTCTTTGCGTTTCTCCAACAGGCTCTCCAGCCGCTCAGGTGCCCTCTGCCCTGGCCCCTTGTTTCTTTCAGCCTCATACTGACGCTGATTGTTATCTTGGTGCACACTCAGTTGGAGGGCAACTTTTACCAGGGAGGTCATCAGTTTCATAGCTTTGAGAAAGGAAAAAGAGATAAAGAAATCATTACTGAGGTCAGAGGAGAGAGGATGAGTAGAAGGAAAAAATAGAAGGAAAGAAGGGCAATGAAAATGAGACGTCAGAGCAGGATGACCCTAAAATCCTAAGACGGCCTGTCCTGGAGTGGACTGTTTCCCTCGAACCCTTGTGGTCTTCTTTTAACCATCAGCATACCCCTAGTGGTGAGCTCTGACAAAAATATTAAACCTGGAAATTGTTGCTGTGATCTACCCCTTCTCAAAACTCCACTAGTGAGAAACTGGATTGAAGTTTAGGATAAAAGAGGCATGGCCTTGAAGTGAAGAGCCAAGATGCAGGTAGGAAAGAAGATCCTGAATCAGAGAACAGAGGAAAGTCCTATAAATCCCCAGGAGAATGTCCAGAGTAAAAATGAATGCTCACCAGCCAGGGTGCTAGTGTGACGGAAGGCGCGGACTTGTGAGTCTGAGAGGCCAGTGAGCAGGGAGATGAGGTCGTCCATAGGGAAGCCATCATAGAGGAGGCTGTACTGGCACTGACAGACCAATGTCCTCACAAATTCACAGAAGCTGCCCTGGAACTTCTTCCAGGATGGACCTGGAGCTATGAGAGGGTAGTCCCCCGAGTCCTACAAAAGGATGTATGAAAAGGATGGGAAAGTTATTACCAGGTCCATGAAGTCATAGGGGCTTGGATGTCAAAACTCAACAGTCCAGTAAAAATATCTGTTATACCTCATTTCCTGGTATTCTCCCCAATTTGAGAGGCATATTCAGATCTCTTTTACCCCCAAGAGACTGAATTCCTCCTTCTAAAAGCTACCCTATTTCACAGAATCAAAAAGAAGGGGATAATAGGCATTGTGTTTTGAAATAAGAGGGGTAAGAGGATCCTGGTCATCTTCTTCCACCTCATTAAACTGCTCTGTTAGGTGCTGGATGATCTCTGAGTTGGACATCTTCTTGAACATCTCAGGGGTCACAATGCCTAAAGAATGAAGGATATGAGGTGCTTACAAGGAAAATAACAGGATGCTTTGATCATTTACAGATATACCTGAAGATGAGCAAGGAAACATTCTGCAAAGAGCTTAGGTGGGGAATGAGAAGACCCCCTGGTCAACAGTCTGCCAACATCCAACCATGTATCTGCTATAAGGCAATCTCTCTAAAAACCCAAAGGAAGGGAGCCACAGGTTATGGTGTAGACATGGCCAAATCCAAGAACCACACCTCACACAACCAGGCTGAAAACTGCACAGAAATGGCATCAAGAAACCCCAATCACAAAGATACAAATCTCTTAAGCGGATGGACCCAAATTCCTGAGGAATATGTGCTTTGCCAAGAAGCACAACAAGAACGGCCTAAAGAAGATGCAGGCCAGCCGGGTGCAGTCGGTCATGCCTGTAATCCCAGCACTTTGGGAGGCCAAGGTGGGTGAATCACAAGGTCAGGAATTCGAGACCAGCCTGGCCAACATGGTGAAACCCCGTCTCTACTAAAAATGCAAAAAATGAGCTGGGCATAGTGGCGGGTGCCTGTAATCCCAGCTACTCGGGAGGCTGAGGCAGGAGAATCGCTTGAACCTGGGAGGCGGAGGTTGCAGTAAGCTGAGATCGCACTACTGCACTCCAGCCTGGGCAACAAGTGAGACTGTCTCAAAAAAAAAAAAAAAAAAGATGATGCAGGGCAACAATGCCAGGGCCATAGGGCCATGAGTGCACATGCTGAGGCTATCAAGTCCCTCATAAAGCCCAAGGAGGTTAAGCCGACTTGCCTACACTGCCCACCCCAAGCTTGAGAAGCATGCTTGTGCCCACAATGCCAAGGGGCTCAGGCTGTGCCAGCCAAAGGCCAAGGATCAAATGAAGGGCCAGGCTGCACCTCCACCTTCAGTTCCAGCTCAGGCTCCCAAAAGTACCCAGGCCTGTACAAAGGCTTCAGAGTAGAGATCTCTCTCTGCCAGCATGAGGTCAGGACTGGTGTCCCCTTGCACTATTTGTACAAATAAACCTGAGGCAGGATTTGTTTCAAAAAAAAAAAAAGGAATCAAGCAGTGAAAAACTGCCAAAAAACAACAACAACAACGACAAAAAAAAAACAAACCAAAAAACAGGCCAGGCGCGATGGCTCATGCCTGTAATACCAACACTTTGGGAGGTCGAGGCAGGGGGATCGCCTGAGGTCAGGAGTTCAAGATCAGCCTGGTGAAACCCCATCTCTACTAAAAATACAAAAATTAGCCACGTATGGTGGCACTCGCCTGTAATCCCAGCCACCTGGGAGGCTGAGGCACGAGAATCGCTTAAATCCAGGATGTAGAGGTTGCAGTGAGCCGAGATCATGCCACTGCACTCTAGCCTGGGCAACAGAGTGAGACTCTGTCTCAAAAAAAAACAAAAAAAAACAAAACAAAGACAGCAATAAAACTAAGCCAGATGCTGATTTCTTATATAATACAACCTGACTGAGACCATCTGTCCCAATAAACGAAGCCATGGCAATAAGAGTTCTGGGGGTACCACAGCTACAGAGGAGAAATATGGGCAAAGTAGCTGGGAAACAAAGAGTAACATTATTGCATCCAGAAAGACCAAAGGGTGTCTTCAAATTTGTGCCATAACATAAGCGTGATTACTTCTTTTTCCCTAAAGTGTCTTGCCTCTAAACCAACATGGTTCCCTACTGGATCACTTCCCATATTTATCAATAAAAAATTTAGTTAAAGAAGTGAAACTTTTCTCTCTTTTTTTTTGAAGACAGTCTGGCTCTGTCGCCCAGGCTGGAGTGCAGTGGCGCTATCCTGGCTCACTATAACCTCCACCTCCTGGGTTCAAGCAATTCTACAGGCATGAGCCACCATACCCAGATAATTTTTTGTATTTTAGTAGGGGTTTCGCCATGTTTCCCAAGCTGGTTTTAAACTCCTGACCTCAAGTGATCCACCTGCCTCAGCTTCCCAAAGTGCTGGGATTACAGGTGTGAGTCACAGTGCCCGGCCTAAATAAGTAAAATTTTTCTAATGCTTTACCATCTTCCTTTATTTAGGAAATGTCTAATCCTACTTATCTAAATGGAGAAAGAATTTCATAACATAGGAACAAAAGGCTGGGAATTAGAAAGGGGGAGCAGTTTCCTCACCTTTACATCCGCAAGATTGGATGAAAAAGTTAACAAGCTCCAGAAATCCTGCATCCTGGTCTTGCTTGTAGCTATCCAGCCACTCATCTACCAAAGACTAGGGAAAAAAAATGTAGATGACTTCTGTTTCTGGCAATATGACAGAATAGAAATCCTATATGATCTTCCCAGTTGAACCATCTAAACTTCTGTAAAACATTTAAAACATCTTTCACAATGTACTGGTGAACTAGAATGAAAGGTAAAATTTCATATAGGCCAAAAATGAGGTGTAAGTAGCAACCCTGGGAGGTAAACAAACTGACTTTTGCCCTAAAGGTTTCATTAATCCCTGGGGATTTATGACTTTGTATCCAGATGGCTGCATGGAATGCAGAGCACAGGAGGTAGAGCCTAAGCTTTTTCCAAGACGAGTAGTCCAAGAGGAGGCACCTAAATAAAGCTGGGTCCTGCAAAGAGTCAGATCCTCAAGGAAGTCAGATTGAACACTAAACCTACCGGGCAGATAGAGACAGCAAGAAAACTAGCTTGTTATGACCTGAGGGTACAGTGGAGGGAAAAAAAATAATTCTTTCTTGAGAATTCATAACCATAGTGAGCCCTCAGATCTGGATTTGCAATCAAGATTCACACCACATACATGATCAGAATAATCAGAATAATCTTTTTTTTTCTTTTCCTTTTTTTTTTTTTTTGAGATGGAGTCTCACTCTGTAGCCCAAGCTGGAGTGCAATGGTGTGATCTCGGCTCACTACAACCTCCACCTCCCACGTTCAAGCAATTCTCCTGCTTCAGCCTCACAAGTAGCTGGGATTACAGGTGTGCGCCACCACGCCTGGCTAATGGCTAATTTTTGTATTTTTAGTAGAGACAGGGTTTCACCATATTGGCCAGGCTGATCTCGAACTCCTGACCTCAAGTGAGATCCACCTTAGCCTCCCAAAGTGCTGGGATTACAGGCATGAGCCACCACACCCAGCCCAGAATAATCATTCAGATAATTAAAAGCGATTCAGGCTGGGAGCAGTAACCCAAGTAAAGTGAAACTCATGTTGCCCAGGCTGGTCTACCAAAAACAGAATAATTAGTCAGGCATGGTGGCACATGCCTATAGTCCCAGCTATGAGAGGGGCTGAGGTGGGAAGATCACCACCTCGCCACTGAGGGAGGTCAAACCAGCAGGGAGCCGTGATAGCACCACTGCACTCCAGCCTAGAAAGAATGAGACCCTGTCTTAAAAAAAAAAAAGTGATTCTGGAGTGTCCCCAGACAACTGTCAAAGCAAAAGCAGGTTCCTTTCTTAAAAACCCAGCTTTGGCCTAGGCCCCAAAGAATTCCAACACATAAGAACTCCAGGGAAAATGAGTGGCTCACAATAAAACCTAGTAAAACATATAAAGAAACAAGGCACTGACAGAATTATACTCACAAAGACTTTAGATAATAATTTATCATAGATTATAAAATGACTATGTTTAATAAAATTTTAAAAATAAAAGGGGGAGAATGGGCTAAAAAAAAGAAATAAAAGGCCAGGCATGGTGGCTCACACCTGTAATCCCAGCACTTTGGAAGGCCGAGGCCGGCGGATCACGAGGTCAAAAGATCGAGACCATCCCGGCCAACACGGTGAAACCCCATCTCTGCTAAAAATACAAAAATTAGTTGGGCGTGGTGGCATGCATCTGTAATCCCAGCTACTCGGGAGGCTGAGGCAGGAGAATCATGTGAACCCGGGAGGTGGAGGTTGCAGTGAGCCAAGATCACGTCACTGCACTCCAGCCTGGCGACAGAACAAGACTCCGTCTCAAAAAAAAAAAAAAAAAAAAAAACTAACACGCTGTACAACTGCATATAAGGTGGAAAAGACATTTGGAATTAAAATGTGCTCAGGTCCTTGCAGAAGATAAGAAATCCAAAGGAAGGCAAGCAAAGGTGGAAAAAGAAACAGAAAAGATAAAACGAATGTACCAACTCAATACTAGGCCATAAGGCTAAGTCTCCATAAATTTCTTTCTTTTTTTTTTTTTGAGACAGAGTCTCACTCTGTCATCCAGGCTGGAGTGCCGTGGCACAATCTCAGCTCACTGCAACCTCCGCCTCCCGAGTTCAAGTAATTCTCATGCCTCAGCCTCCAAAGTGGCTGGGATTACAGACAAACGCCACCACATGCAGCTAATTTTTGTATTTTTAGTAGAGATGGGGTTTCACCATGTTGGCCAGGCTGGTCTCAAACTCCTGGCCTCGAGTGATCTGCCCGCCTCAGCCTCCCCAAGTGCTGGGATCACAGGTGTGAGCCACTGTGCCCGGCCCCTACATAAATTTCAAACACCACATTCCCTGACTACAACACAATGAAGTTAGAAATCAAATAACGAAAATATAACTAGCAAAATTCTATATGTTTGAAAATTTTAAATATTTTCCCAGAAACTATAAAATTACACATTAATGTGGGTAAATCTCAAACAATGTTAACTCAAATAATTAAATCATAGAAGCCTGAATAATGGATTCATTTACATAATTAAAGAACATATTCATAGTGGTAACACTATAATGAGAGATGAGAAAGATTAACACAAAATTCACTCTAGTGTTTACCTGTGGGTAATAAGGAGACTGTGAAATGGAGTAGAAAGAAGGTACACAAAGGATCTCTACAGCACTATTAATGTTTCATTTCTTGAGCTGGGGCTAGAGATCTGAGTAATCATTTCATTTTTATTTTTTAAACTACATATAAGCTTTGTACACTTTCGGGTATTAGAACTTCAATAAAATTATAAAAAAAGAAACAAGGAAAAAATAATTAAGTATAATTGTCAAGATGGAGCTAAAAAATAACATGGGTGAACAAGGTGCCACCCACATCCAAGCTTCCTTCCTGTGTCATGCAATGCCTCTCCTCATCTGCTCCATCAATCAATAAAGGCATAATCACTCCTGTGATACCTTTAAGAAAAGAACATGCTCTCTCAAAGCCAGGTGCAGTGACTCACGCCTGTAATCCCAGCACTTTGGGAGGCCAAGGTGGGCGGATCACCTGAGGTCAGAAGTTGGAGACCAGCCTGGCCAACATGGCGAAACCCCATCTCTACTAAAAATACAAAAAGTAGCTGGGCGTGGTGGCACACGCCTGTAATCCCAGCTACTTGGGAGGCTGAGGCACAAGAATCGCTTGAACCCAGGAGGCAGAGGCTGCAGTGAGCCAAGACTGTGCCACTGCACTCCAGCCTGGGCGACAGAAAGAGACTCTGTCTAAAAAAAAAAAAAGAACATGCTCTCTCATTCAAGGTTACCCTTCTATCACTCCAAGGATTCACCCCATAACCTTATCTTTCTTGACATGTTACACTCACTAAAATGTTCACGTCAAATCAAGTTTGTAGACACTTGTCCTTACCACCTTACAAAAAGTGAGATGGTATCAACAGAGGTGAGACACTGCTTTACCTGCATGTCACTTTTGGCGGCTTTCACAGCATTGAAAAGATCATTGGCTGGTGGCTCTGACTGTTTCCGGCTATGACGATGTACCACTCGGGACCCTTTCTTTGGATGTTTTGCCACCTAATATGTATAAAAAGATCAGAAATATGAAAAAAAAACAAAAAAGGTAACAGTGACATTAACGCTTGGTTTCATCATTATCACACAAGTAGGCTTAAGCTGCCAATTCCACAGCAGAGTCTGAGTTAGACTCAGTCCTGAAATAATTGATTTTTATATTGTTATGAAGTTTATTTTTTTCCCTTAAAAAAAAAGTCCTTGAGTCCCCTTCCTGTATCTCTACATCCTAACGTCCTTTTCTCTTCTTTTCTCTTCAAAATTTCTCTTCTTCCTATTTCCATCCCTTAATACTTTGTAAATCTTGTCCTTTTATGAACCGTATCACCTGAACCTCTTTTAGGTTTTCTTTTCTTTTTTTTTTTTTGAGACGGAGTCTCGCTCTGTCGCCCAGGCTAGAGTGCAGGGGCGCAATCTCGGCTCACTGCAAGCTCTGCCCCCTGGGTTCACGCCATTCTCCTGCCTCAGCCTCCCAAGTAGCTGGGCTGCTTCCCCCACAAGATTCAAAAACAAAAGAAAACTGGCTGACTCACCGGTGTTGTTTTCGGTGGTCGTTTTGCTGCTCTCTTCTTCACATTGCGATTCAAGCTGTCTTCAAAGTCAGTGTCTTCATCAGCTAACAAAGAGTCGCCATTCCTGTGAGAAAGTATGGTTCTCTTTAAATATAACCACCCTATTCCCTCCATATAAAAGGCTAATTAATTATGGTTTCTCTGTCTCTCACCGCACCCCATCTCCATGAGAAAAACATATCCAGATTTTAAGAAAAAATGAGCTTATTGTTAGTAGGAAGTTGGGACAAAGTCTTTTTTTTTTTTTTTTTTGAGACGGAGTTTCACCCTTGTCACCCAGGCTGGAGTGCAATCGCATGATCTCAGCTCACTGCAACCTCCGCCTCCCAGGTTCAAGCGATTCTCCTACCTCAGCCTCCCGAGTAGCTGGGATTACAGGTGTTTCACCGTGTTGGCCAAGGTGGTCTCAAACTCCTGACTTCAGGTGATCCACCCGCCTCGGCCTCCCAAAGTGTTGGGATTATAGGCATGAGCCACCACACCCGGCCGGGACAAAGCCTTAAAGGAAAACTTTCACATGAAAGCAATGGAGATGAAGAATGAGGAAATGAGGCAGGAGAAGGACAACTCTTCCTAGTATTCTCTCCGAAGAAGAGAATCAAATGATACTCACTTAGCAGGTAGCGAGATCACTGCTCTTTGTAGAGAAAGATAATCATGGCTCAGGAAGTCATCTATCATTCATCCATAAATGGGAGAGTAATATGTATCTAGAGTTAAATTTCACCCCCTTGAAACATAAACCACATGTCTTATCAATTCAAGTTTATAACTTTGATATAATCTGGTCCCCCACAGCAGCACTGACAGAAACAGAAATGATTCAGAGAAAGCCAATTAAAACAGCCAGGGGATAAAGCAGATCTGTATGAAATTCGCTTTTTTCCTTCTGGAAAGGTAAAAAACCAAGATATATTATTATAACCTACACAGAATAAACTCATATATGGTAATAAATAAGGATACACAGACCTATTTACAAAATCCCCAAGTAGAAGAAATAGGGGACACTAGCCAAAAAGTATATACAATTTACCAGGCAACAAATAAAGAACTCTTTACTCCCCCATCTGCCAGCTCTCAGCCCCCACCAGGGTTGGTACATGCTGAACATAGAAATGTGTTTAAGAGAGGTTTAGACAAGATGGATGATGGATTAAAAACAGGATGTGCTTGAACCCAGGAGGCGGAGGTTGCAGTAAGCCGAGATCGCGCCACTGCACTCCAGCCTGGGCGACAGGGCGAGACTCCGTCTCAAAAAAAAAAAAAAAAACAGGATGTACTACTATTTTGATGTCTACAACATCTAGGACCGCCAAAAAAAACACCTGGAGCTGGAGGGAGGGTGTCACTGTGCTGAACGAGTATAGCACTTCTGGTGTTTTCACACAGTCCCACGCATATTATCATCAATGTGGGAAAACGAGGGGGAAGGCTGCCAGGGACACAGGAAGTGGCCACACAATGCAACATCTACTTACCCCTCTGAGGTATGGTTTGAGTCCCTGTCATCAAAGGGTAGACTGGCAGAGGAACTAGAAGATGCAGACAAGGCCCTCTTGGTATCTCCCACAGCTCTTTGCAACGGGGAAGACATGCTTGGAGAGGAGGAGCTATGAGGCCAGGAAGATGAGGACCACAGGGTAGGTATGGCGATCCAGCTGGGGAAGAAAGAGAAGAAAGGGCTCCTACCACAGCACTTCTCCATCCCCAGCCCTGACCAGTCCCTTTCTTTCCAAGGGAATGGTTCTAGAACTCTGGGGTCAGGTGAGGGGGACCAAAAACTAAGACAAAGGCTGGGCACCGTGGCTCATGCCTATAATCCCAGCACTTTGGGAGGCCAAGGCAGGAGGATGGCTTGAGCCCAGGAGTTCAAGACCAGCCTGGGCAATACAGCAAGACCCCATTTCTAAAAAAAAAATAATAATAATCATTAGTCAGGTGTGGTAGAGCATGCCTGTATTCAGCTATTCAGGAGGCTGAGGTGGGAGGATTGCTTGAGTCCAGGAGTTCAAGGCTGCAGTGAGCTACGATCGCACCACTGTACTCCATCCAGCTTGGGTGACAGAAGAAGACCCTGTCCCCCCTCAAAAAAATAGTAATGATAAATAAGACAAATGGCTGGGCACAGTGACTCATGCCTGTAATCCCAGCACTTTGGGAGGTCGAGGCAGGCAGATCACCTGAGGTCAGGGGTTCGAGACCAGCCTGACCAACATGGAGAAACCCCATTTCTACTAAAAATACAAAATTATCCGGGTGTGGTGGCATATGCCTGTAATTCCAGCTACTTGGGAGGCTGAGGCAGGAGAATCGCTTGAACCTAGAAGGCGGAGGTTGTGGTGAGCTGAGATCGTGCCACTGCACTCCAGCCTGGGCAACAAGAGTGAAACTCCATCTCAAAATAAATAAATAAATAAGACAAAGAGCTGACCTAAGGCATCAAGGGATTAAGCACAACAACACCCCAGAAACTGGCCAGCAGGTTTGGAGTTGCTCTCCAAAAGCTGAGGAAGTCACACACCAGGGTAGCTTCAGACACATCTCTCTCTAGAGGCTGTGGAAGTGCAAACTGCCTACTGCAAGGAAATTTAACTCATAGGTATTTTCTTTAAAAAAAAAAATTGCACACTGGGTGTGGTAGATCATACTTGTAATCCCAGAACTTTAGGCGGCTGAGGCGGGAGGACTGCTTGAGCCCAGTAGTTCAAGACCAATCTGGGCAACATAGCAAGACCCCATCTCTACAAAAAATAAGCAAAAACTAGCTAGGTGTTGTTGCGCACACCTGTGGTCCCAGCTACTCAGGAGGCTGAGACAGGAGGACTGCTTGAGCCCAGCAGTTTGAGACCAGCCTTGGCAACATGAGACACACCCAAAAAAAAAAAAACAAAACCCAAGCAAGGTACACACCAGGGCAGCTTCAGACACAGCCCTCTCTAGAGGCTTCAGAAGTGTAAACTGCCTGCTGCAAGGGAATTTAACTCATAATTAAAAAAAAAAAAAAAAAGGCAAGGTGCCCAGGGTGGCTCAAACCTGGAATCCCAGCACTTTGAGCAGCTGAAGCAGGAGGACTGCCTAACCCTACGAGTTCAAAATCAGTCTGGGCAATATAGCAAGATCCTGTCTCTACGAAAAAACCAAACCAAAACCAAAAAAACTAGCCAGGTGTGGTGGTGCACCTGTAGTCCCAGCTACTCGGCAGAATGAAGCGGGACGATCGCCTGAGCCCAGGAGGTCGAGGCTGCAGCGAGCTATGACTGCACCACTGCACTCCAGCCTGGGAAACAGAGCGAGACTCTGTCTCAAAAAAAAAAAAAAGTAATGACAAATAAATAAAATAAGGCAAAGAGTGGACCTAAAGCACCAAGGGATTACAGACACCAGAAACTGGGCAGTGGGTTTGGAATTGCTCTCCAAAAGCCGAGGCGTGGTGCACAGTGCTCCCGCCTATAATCCCAGTACTTTGGGAGGGCGAAGCGGGAGCATCGCTTGGGTCCAGGAATTCAAGATCAGCCTGGGCCACATAGCAACGCCCTGTCTCTAAAAAAAAAAAATTAAATGGAAAAAAAAAAAAAAGCCAAGCAAGGCAGACAGCAGGGCAGCTTCAGACGCACCCCTCTCTGGAGGCTTCGGAAGTATAAACCGCCCTCTGCAAGGGAACTTACAGGTTTTTTAAAATGAAATAAAAAAAATAAAGAAAGAAATAAGAAAAAAAATACAAGAAGACCCCAGGCTTTCGTTTCCAGAGGACTAGCACCTGATTCCACCTGGAATGGAACAGGAGGCTCTTAAGGATTTGGGGGTGGAGGCGCCATGAGAATAGGGCTGGAAACGCAAAAGGAGGAAAGGCAGGTGCGCGTTTCCTATTTTTCCAGAAGGTAAAAATATCTACGACTGCCCCTGGGGTAAGCGGCTCCAGGATAAAGAGCCTTCCAAGCGCTTAAGAGAATGGACTCTCAGTCTATGGAGGCCTGGGGAGAGGATTCTCCAGCTCTGTGGCGGAGGCCATTGGGGCACGGCCCGGGAAGGCTCCTAGTGTCAGGGCCGGGAGGGTCGCGAGAGGGCCTATTCTTGGGTCAAGGAGAAACCTGTCAGAGCCTGGAAGAGTGACTTCTGGCCGAGCAGGGTTCAGGGAAGGTCCCCACCTCAGGTCCCTCGGGTGTCTCTGGCCACCCCACCTTCCACACAGGCGCCCGCCGCTGCCCTTCCGGGGGCGAAAGATTCCAGAAAAGCGCGGGAACGTACAAGACACGCTGTGCGCAAGCGCAATCCCAACGGCTCGCCCAGGGCCAGTAGCTATCGCGAGGTTTGGAAGTGTGCGAGCTGATGCGCGCCACGTTTGAGTCACGCCGCTCCACAGCCTCGTGTGGCCTCAAGCTCTCAGGCGTCCTGCCCTCTCACGTGGGCTTGGGCACGCGGGCGGCCCGCTTTAGCCCCGCCCCCACCCAGGTCCCACCCCCGCTACCCTCAATCTCCTACTCCATTGGGCGGGTTTTGGACCAGACTGCTAGTAACCCCTTTAATCTGGCTTCTCAATTGCCATAGGCTAGGTTCCACCCAGGCCCCGCCTTTTGAGCCGGATCGCCACGCCCCCGAGGGAGACCACGCCCCTATTTCACCAACCTCCTGAGTGCCAGCCGGGTCCCGCCCCCCTGCCGAGCTTCCGCGCTACATTGGCTTAATTTCTTCCTTGCCCCCGCCCCTGAAGCCGGCTCCGAGCCATTATTGGCGGGGCCCCGCCTCGGGCCCCGCCCCCTGTCCGGCTCCCCGCTCCCATTGTCTCGGCAGATGCCGCCTGGTCCAGCTATCGTGCTCGGTATTCAGTTTTCCGGAGCAGCGCTCTTTCTCTGGCCCGCGGAGCGGTCCCGCGGCCGAGTACCGGATTCCCGAGTTTGGGAGGCTCTGCTTTCCTCCTTAGGACCCACTTTGCCGTCCTGGGGTGGCTGCAGTTATGTCCGCGCTGCGACCTCTCCTGCTTCTGCTGCTGCCTCTGTGTCCCGGTCCTGGTCCCGGACCCGGGAGCGAGGCAAAGGTCACCCGGAGTTGTGCAGAGACCCGGCAGGTGCTGGGGGCCCGGGGATATAGCTTAAACCTAATCCCTCCCGCCCTGATCTCAGGTGAGGAGAAAGAGGAAGACTAGAGAATTGGGGGTGGGGGGCGGGGGCGGGGCCTCCTCATCTCACAATAACTCTCTTCCTTTTCAGAGTGACCGTTATACTAATCTTTTCATCCCACAGTAATGTCTGTTCTCCTCCTGTAACTTCCTTACCGGGATCACAATAACCCTCCTATGCAAAGAATAGCGCTCTTACTCCATCCCCACCCCAGGAATCCCCTCCTCCTAATTAACACCCCCTATGTGTTTCTTTCTTCACAGCCATGTTCTCCTCGCTGTTTCTATTAGCCCCTTCTATGAGAATACTTTATTGCTCACCAAGTAACCCCACCCTTCCAAGCCCCATTCTTCATCCCCTAGAAGCTGTTCTCCAAGTCCCTCGAGGTCTGGGGTGTGGACATTGGGGAGGGTCACCTGAGGACACTCTGACCACTGACTTGGCCCTCAGGGCAGCTGTTAAATAGATGATCCCGTGGCTAATGGGAGTGAACTTGGGATGGGTCAGGAGACAATAAGGTAGGGGATAGGTTCAGGTAGGGAAGAGGGTGCAGACAATAGAAAAGAGACCAGGCAGGTAGAAGAGAAGGCATAGTCCCCAGAGATAGGCGGGAAATGGAAGGGATTTTAGGATATCACTTCCCACCATTCCTTCACGTCTCCTCTGTCCAGGTGAGCACCTCCGGGTCTGTCCCCAGGAGTACACCTGCTGTTCCAGTGAGACAGAGCAGAGGCTGATCAGGGAGACTGAGGCCACCTTCCGAGGCCTGGTGGAGGACAGCGGCTCCTTTCTGGTTCACACACTGGCTGCCAGGCACAGAAAATTTGATGGTGAGGACCTGGGGTCCCCAAACTCAGCTTCACAGCTCCTCTCGGTGCTTAGGACCCCAGCAAGGCTCCTGTCCCCACTCCTTACTCCATCTGTGAAGACTCCATCCCCTCCCAGCCCGCCCACCCCCCAGACTCTGTCTCCAGGGCCCTGCCCTCCCCCATTCCCTGTCTGCCCCATCTCTGAGAGTTACTCAGTTTCTGATTCACTTGTCTTTTCTCTTCTCTCCCATCTCCTCCTGCCTCTGCCTGTTCACTTTTCTCCCCATTCTTTGGCCTGACCTGCCTTCCACCTGTTCCCTGCATTTGCTGCAGAGTTTTTTCTGGAGATGCTCTCAGTAGCCCAGCACTCTCTGACCCAGCTCTTCTCCCACTCCTACGGCCGCCTGTATGCCCAGCACGCCCTCATATTCAATGGCCTGTTCTCTCGGCTGCGAGACTTCTATGGGGAATCTGGTGAGGGGTTGGATGACACCCTGGCGGATTTCTGGGCACAGCTCCTGGAGAGAGTGTTCCCGCTGCTGCACCCACAGTACAGCTTCCCCCCTGACTACCTGCTCTGCCTCTCACGCTTGGCCTCATCTACCGATGGCTCTCTGCAGCCCTTTGGGGACTCACCCCGCCGCCTCCGCCTGCAGGTGAGGGATCCTGAGGCCTGAGCTTCAACCACTTCTGACCTAGTGACCCCTGAACTGTGCACCACTCACCTCCAAACTGGCGTGCTCCAGTCACCTCTGACCTGGTGATCCCCCATCCTGCATTGAAGCCATTTCTGACCTGGTGATCCCTATCCTGAGCTTTACTCACCACTGCCCGACCCAGTGCCCCTTGGTCTTCTTGAAGCAGATGCCCCCACCCCTGCCACCTCCCATTCTGAGCCCTAGTTTCACACAAACACTCACCTGCCCTTAGCCTCCAGCCACCTTTGTGCCAACCCCTTCCTAATCGTAACACCTTGACTTCCTCTGGTTCAACTAAACAGGAATTGTGCATTCAATACGCAAAAGGCATTTTCTTTTATAGTATCACATTTAGTTGTCATCATAACCCTGTGAGGTAGACAGTCATGCCCTTATTTTACAGATGAGAAAACTGAGGCTCCCAGAGATTAAGCTTTTCAGCCAGTAAGTGGCAGAGCCGTGGCTCACACCCAGGTCTTCTGGCTTCAAGTTCAGTGTTAGTTCCGATACACAATTTCTCTCTCTCTAAGCCCTGTACAACATAATCCCTCCATCTCTTCCCAAGCCTTCCTTTGTTTTTCTTTAAGACTATAATTCCTGTGGGGGCTCTTGAACCTGCCTCTCTGTACCACCCAACACTCGACCCACTCTGAGAGAACCCCACACACCCAACCCTCACTGCTCTTGATGCAGTCTCTTGGCTCCAGTCTTGACTGACCCATAACAACCTTGTGGTTTTTCTCACCTTCTTTGCCTTCTCCCAGATAACCCGGACCCTGGTGGCTGCCCGAGCCTTTGTGCAGGGCCTGGAGACTGGAAGAAATGTGGTCAGCGAAGCGCTTAAGGTTGGAGGGTGCCTGAGTATGGGCAGGGCCCAGGGAGGGAGAGGTGGAAGTGAGAGAGACCCCACAAGGAAGAAACAGCCACCAGCCAGCAGGACAGGCCTTGGGCTCTGTCTGCCTCCAGGCCCTGGTGTCCTAGGATGAATTAGGAAGGAGGGGGCTGGAGTGAAACCTCCAATGGTCCACGATCCATGATCTCTGACCCCCTCCTCCCCTCTGTGGACCCATACCCTCCTCAGTCCCCAAGGGCCTGCTCATCTCCATAGCAGTAGGAGATTGGATACTGCCCCCGCCCAACCCCCCAGGATCCCTCAATGACTCCACTTCCCTGCTGCTGAAGGCCAGATGCCTGGCTTGGCCTCTCTCACTGCCCATCCTCTACCTGACCTCCCAGCCTCACCTTCTGCCTCCTGACCGCCTCCTCCCTCCCCAGCTGTGATGGGCTCACTCTTGTCCTTGAATGTTCCCTCCACCCCTAACTGCCTCTCTATTTCCACCCCTCCCACGAATCAGAGTCAGCAACCTGGAACCTCCCTCCTCAGATCTGTGACAATCTCACCTGCTGCCACGTGGGGTCACCAACCCTAGGTGTAGGGTGGGGTATGTGATTTCTGTCTGTGCCCAGCACCAAGCCAGGCTGAGAGCAGCCACAGCGTTTGTGGAGGACACAGCCCCACTCTCTGCCCCCAGGTGCCGGTGTCTGAAGGCTGCAGCCAGGCTCTGATGCGTCTCATCGGCTGTCCCCTGTGCCGGGGGGTCCCCTCACTTATGCCCTGCCAGGGCTTCTGCCTCAACGTGGTTCGTGGCTGTCTCAGCAGCAGGGGACTGGAGCCTGACTGGGGCAACTATCTGGGTGAGGGGATTCAAGAAAGCCTGGAGCCAGGCATGGTGGCTCACACCTGTAATCACAGCACTTTGAGAGGCTGAGGCAGGAGGATCACTTGAGGCCAGGAGTTGGAGCCCAGCTGGGGCAACATAGCTAGACGTCATCTCAAGAAAGAAAGAGAGAGAGAGAAAGAAAGAGAGAGAGAGAGACAGAGAAAGAAAGAAGGAAAGAAGGAAGGAAAGAAAGAAAAAGAAAGAAAGAAAGAAAGAAAAGAAAGAAATCAGCCAGGCATGGTAGCGCCCGCGCCTGTAGTCCCAGTTACTCCTGAGGCTGAGGCAGGAGGATCACTTGAGGCCAGGAGTTGGAGGCCAGCCTGGGCAACGTAGCTAGACCGCATCTCTACCAAAAAAAAAAAAAAGAAAGAAATTATCAGGCATGGTGGCACACATGCCTGTTGTCCCAGTTACTCCAGAGGCTGAGGCAGGAGGCTCCCTTGATCCCAGGAGTTAGAGGCTGCAGTAAGCTATGATGATGCCACTATACTCCAACCTGGGCGAGAGAGTAAGACCCTGTCTAAAAAAATCCTAAAATTGGCCAGGCACGGTGGCTCACGCTTGTAATCCTAGCACTTTGGGAGGCGGAGGCAGGCGGATCACAAGGACAGGTCAGGAGTTCAAGACCAGCTTGGCCGGCTGGGCATGATGGCTCATGCCTGTAATCCCAGCACTTTGGGAGGCCGAGGTGGGTGGATCAAGAGGTCAGGAGTTCGAGACCAGCCTGGCTAACATGGTGAAACCCCATCTCTACTAAAAATACAAAAATTAGCCAGGCGTGGTGGCATGCACCTGTAGTCCCAGCTACTTGGGACGCTGAGGCAGAAGAATCACTTGAACCCGGGAGGCAGAGATTGCAGTGAGCCAAGATCATGCCATTGCACTCCAGCCTGGGTGACAGATGAGACTCTTTTTTTTTTGAGACAAAGACCAGCTTGGCCAATATGGTGAAACCCCTTCTCTACCGGAAAAAAATATATATATATACACGTATATATATACACACATATATATACGTATATATATACACACACATATATATATACACACATATATATACACACATATATATACACATATATATACGTGTATATATACATATATATACACGTATATATATATACACACACACACACATATATATATATACACACACACATATATATATATACAAAAATTAGCCGGCATGGTGGCAGGCGCCTGTAGTCTCAGCTACTCCGGAGGCTGAGGCAGAAGAATCGCTTGAACCCAGGAGGCAGAGGTTGCAGTGACCCGAGATCGCGCCACTGCACTCCATCCAGCCTGGGCGACAGAGTGAGACTATGTCTCAAAAAAAAAAAAAATCCTAAAATCCTAAAATTTAAATTTAAATTTTAAAAAAGTCTGGGATGGAGGAGGGTCCTGAGTAAGGCTGGGGGTGAAATGGAGAGGGGCTTTAAAGCCAAATTGGGGGGATACATGAGAGGGAGCTCATGTGAGTTTCCCCCAAACACTTTGCTGCTTCTCTAAGGCCCGAGTGAGGATTTTCAGGAACATCCTAGTTCAGTATCACCACTCATCCCATCCTTTCTCTTTCTCTCCCTCCCTTAAGATGGTCTCCTGATCCTGGCTGATAAGCTCCAGGGCCCCTTTTCCTTTGAGCTGACGGCCGAGTCCATTGGGGTGAAGATCTCGGAGGGTTTGATGTACCTGCAGGAAAACAGTGCGAAGGTGTCCGCCCAGGTACAGGGGAGAGAAGGGTGGAGGTGAGGCCCGGGGCGGGGACGGTGTGGGTGTCAGAGAGGCAGTATAGGGGATCTGGGAAGAGACTCTGGGGTCAGAGTGGGGACGCAGTGTGGTTTCCCCCCAGGGTGACTGTGTGAGGTCTCTTCCCGGTGCCGCAGGTGTTTCAGGAGTGCGGCCCCCCCGACCCGGTGCCTGCCCGCAACCGTCGAGCCCCGCCGCCCCGGGAAGAGGCGGGCCGGCTGTGGTCGATGGTGACCGAGGAGGAGCGGCCCACGACGGCCGCAGGCACCAACCTGCACCGGCTGGTGCGTGGGATGACCAAGAGTTGGGGGCGGGGGGGCCCGGGGCCGGGGATGGTTGTGGGGGTCGCGCTCCAGCTCGCCCCGCCCCCTCTCGCCCGCCCAGGTGTGGGAGCTCCGCGAGCGTCTGGCCCGGATGCGGGGCTTCTGGGCCCGGCTGTCCCTGACGGTGTGCGGAGACTCTCGCATGGCAGCGGACGCCTCGCTGGAGGCGGCGCCCTGCTGGACCGGAGCCGGGCGGGGCCGGTGAGCCTCGGGGGCGTCGGGGGGCAGCAGGGGGCGGGACCGCGGCCGGGAGGGGCGGGGCCGCGCGCGCTAGCTGGCGCTTCGGGGCTGCTCTGCTCGCAGGTACTTGCCGCCAGTGGTCGGGGGCTCCCCGGCCGAGCAGGTCAACAACCCCGAGCTCAAGGTGGACGCCTCGGGCCCCGATGTCCCGACACGGCGGCGTCGGCTACAGCTCCGGGCGGCCACGGCCAGAATGAAAACGGCCGCACTGGGACACGACCTGGACGGGCAGGACGCGGGTGAGACCCCTGCATCCCTGAGCCTGAGCCCCGCCCACTGCCCTGAAGCCTCTCCCCTCTCCTGGTAGTTCCCGCCCGTGCCTCTGCTCTTAGCGTTCATTGATTAATTCACTAATTCATTCAACGAGCATTTATTGAGCGTTGCCCTGAAAGACTGGGGGTAACAGATCAATGAGGGGGTCTGTATCCTTTCAGGCCAGTAGGGGAGACACGAAAACATTCTTAAAGAACAGTGGGAAGCCCCTTATAATGGGCAAAGGGCAGTGGGAAAATGGGGGAGGGGGCAATTTGGGGGAGGCTGGGAAGCCAGGGTGGTGGGTGACATTGAGCTGGCTCCGCAGGGTGGAGTTTGCCAAACAGAGAAGCAAGGCACAGACACTCATTGTTTTCTTCTCTCCTTCTATCTGTCTGTCTCTGTCTCTCTTTGTCACTCTTCCCGCACCCCTCTTCCTGGCTGCTTTCTGCTTCTGTGTACTTCTGATTTTTCTGTTTTTTCCTGTTATCCTCTCTCCCCATCTGCCTGTTTTGTTTTTTTTTCTCTCTGTCTCACTGTCTCCCATCATGATCTCTCCCCCCATGTCTGCTGTCGGATCTCTCTCCTTCCTTCTCTCCCTGCCTTCCTGTCACTCATGGTCTTTCTCCCTTCCCCAACCCGGCATCCACCTGTGTCTCCCTCCCTTTCCTCTCTCTTTCTGTTTTTATCTCAATTTCTTTTCCTCCCTCTGTCTCCCTCTGCTTCTCCCTCCCATCCTGCTCTGTCCCTCTTCTTCCTTGCAGATGAGGATGCCAGCGGCTCTGGAGGGGGACAGCAGTATGCAGATGACTGGATGGCTGGGGCTGTGGCTCCCCCAGCCCGGCCTCCTCGGCCTCCATACCCTCCTAGAAGGGATGGTTCTGGGGGCAAAGGAGGAGGTGGCAGTGCCCGCTACAACCAGGGCCGGAGCAGGAGTGGGGGGGCATCTATTGGTTTTCACACCCAAACCATCCTCATTCTCTCCCTCTCAGCCCTGGCCCTGCTTGGACCTCGATAACGGGGGAGGGGTGCCCTAGCATCAGAAGGGTTCATGGCCCTTTCCCCTCCTCCCCCCTCAGCTGGGCCTGGGGAGGAGTCGAAGGGGGCTGCAGAGAGGGTAGAGAAGGGACTTTGCAGGTGAATGGCTGGGGCCCCAAATCCAGGAGATTTTCATCAGAGGTGGGTGGGTGTTCACAATATTTATTTTTTCATTTGGTAATGGGAGGGGGGCCTGGGGGTATTTATTTAGGAGGGAGTGTGGTTTCCTTAGAAGGTATAGTCTCTAGCCCTCTAAGGCTGGGGCTGGTGATCAGCCCCAACAGAGAAAATGAGGAGTTTAGAGTTGCAGCTGGGGAAGGGGTTTGAAGGAAGTTGGAAGTGGGGAGGGGTGGGGGCATCTGGTCTCAGAAATGGACCAGCTGGATGCAGGGCAGGGGACTGAGGGTGCTTGAGTAGGATGTGAGACTTCATGGGCCTGGGTTCTGTTGAGTTTTTTCAGTATCAATTTCTTAAACCAAATTTTAAAAAAAACAAGGTGGGGGGGTGCTCATCTCGTGACCTCTGCCACCCACATCCTTCACAAACTCCATGTTTCAGTGTTTGAGTCCATGTTTATTCTGCAAATAAATGGTAATGTATTGGACCCCATGTGTGGCTTCTGTGCTGTCACCATCAGTGCCTGAGCCCTGGCTCCTAGCAGAGGTCTCAGAGCCTCTGTGACTGGCTCATTTTCTGCCGGCTTTTCACTTCCCTTGGCACCTGTCCCCCAGGAGGCGGGCCTAGACAATAACCTCTGATCTCCAAATTGCCCACCCTCTGGGCCTCTGAGCATCTTCGTTTGTACAACAGGGAGAATTGTGGGGACCAAATAGAATCTGTGTGAAAAAGCACCTTGTCACCTGCAAAATGCTCTTTGAACATGAGGCTTTTTTTTTTTTTTTTTTGAGATAGAGTCTCGCTGTTGTCGCGAGGCTGGAGTGCAATGGCGCGATCTCAGTTCACTGCAACCTCCGCCTCCCCAGTTCAAATGATTCTCCTGCCTCAGCCTCCTGAGTAGCTGGGATTACAGGCGCCTGCCACCACAGTCAGCTAATTTTTGTATTTTTAGTAGAGACGGGGTTTCACCATGTTGGCCAGGCTGATCGCAAACTCCTGACCTCAAGCGATCCACCAGCCTTAGCCTCCCAAAGTGCTGGGATTACAGGCGTGAGCCACCGCACCCGGCCACGAAGCATTATTAAGGTGACCACACCACTGCCCCCTGCCTTCAGGATGGGAGGCCTTGTTCTCTGAGTGTCAGTCTCTGGCTACCTTGCCACGTCCTTGACAATGTCTGCTTTCAAATATCACTTTCTCCTTCCTTCCTTCTTTCTTTCCACCGCCTGAATGAATCTTTTGTTCTGCGGCAAGCCAAGAGAAAATGGTAGGATTGATTCCCAAGTGTGAAAGCGGGGGCGGAAGTGGTGTCTTCCAAGAGGAGTCTGGGTGCCCTGCCGAAGAGGGGAAGATGCAGCGAGGGAGAGACCTAGAACCGCGATCAAAGCTGCAGCAGCTGCTGGGGCTGGCGGCACAAAGGGAGGAGGGAGGAGCCTGGGCGCTGAGAAAGTTCTTGGGGAAAGTTGAGCTGAGCCAAGAGTCGGGCGGTGGCTGGGATGGGCGGGAGGGCCCGGCCCGATTTCCCTTGCTGCTCCCCTTGTGGCCTGGTGAGTGGGAAGTGAAACCAAGGATAGGACCAGTGGAGGGACCCTCTAATTTATGGGAGGAGACATGAGGGGTTCATGGAACCCCAGCGGGGGCAACTGGGCAGTCACCAAAGCTGGAGGGGACAGAGGGCTGGGATCTCCAATCATGGGAAGGGAGAGATGGATGGAAGGAAATGAAGAACTCTGGATAGGGGAGACGCGGCTAGACCCCAGGGGCTGTGATCAGGGAGGGAATTGGGGAGTGATGCCAGAGAGGGCAGGTCTCCGGGAGTAAAAGTGTGGCTTCTCTCTGCTTGGGGTTACCCCTGGCTCATCGGAGCAGGGAGCTGTCGGGGCTTGTTGGAGGGGCCGTGGTCCCTGATCGCGAGTTGTAATCTGAAGGGGCGGGGCTGGACTCCCGGTTGATTAGGAAGCTCGGGCTTCAGAAGGAACTCTGCAGTTAGTGTTTGCGCCTTTCTCCTTATCTTTGTGTCATAGTCTCTCTGTCCCTCTGTCTCTCTCTCTCTGTTTCTCTGTGTGTGTGTGTGTGTGTGTGTGTGTCTCTCTCTCTTTCTGTCTCCCTCTCCAGCCCCACCCTTTCAGTCTCCTCCGGGTGCACTGATAAGGTTGGAAAGTGGAATGGTGGGTAAGTCCAGGGATCTGGGCTTTATAAGTAGCCACACGTCTCCCCCAGCCCCTGTCATACATGGGGGTCTGCCCCGTGCTGAGACAGAGAAAAAAGAGGCGCGGGAATTTATAACCCAATGGCTCTTACCCATTGCAATGCCACTCCTGGAAGTCCAACCTCCCTTCCTCCTGCCTGGGTTCATACACCTGTGTCCTGTCTGATCCTCATTCCCACTGTATGGCTTCCCTTCCTGGTCCTGGGATAGGGCTCTTTATCCCCATCTGTGACAGCCAGAGGGGCTCTGGAGGAAACCAGGTTCCCGACCATGGTCTGACCTGACTGTGTTAATGAGCTGATTGATCTGATCTCTCTCTCTCTTGCTGGCTGTTTCATTCACGAGCTGGGGCTTTTTCTCTCCTTCCCTTATAAATCCCCAAGGCTCAGGGACAACTGTAGGTGGGGAGCGGGAGGAACTGGAGATAAGAAAGTGATAGAGCAGAGACAGTAGTTGTGGGGCCACCTAGGAGAGTCTGGGTATAGACAACATCCCCAGCCACTCCCCTTCCCTGAAGGAGGTCTCAGCTGCAGCAGGAGAGAAGGCTGCCTCTGCCTCTCTCCTTAGACTTCCCTTCTTCCCCCCTCATTTCCCTTCTAGACGCTGACAGAGGCAAAAATCTGCTAACTCAGGGGGCAGACTCAACCAAGACTGTGAGCAGGCCTGGGGAATGACCCCCCGATCTCCAACCAGTGCCTTCCGCAGCTGCACGGCTGTCTCCAGCTGTCTCTGCCCCTCTTCCTGGCCCTGGCTCCATCTCTCTGTCACCTCACCCTTCCCTGTGCCACATGGGCCCTCTCTCTCCTGCCAGGACGCTGCGGCTCTGGGGACCTCGGAGCCTGGGGGTGGCTCTGGGAGTCTTCATGACCATTGGCTTTGCACTCCAGCTCTTGGGAGGGCCCTTCCAGAGGAGGTGAGTTCCCACTTTGCCCCAACTCCTTCTAGACGCCCCGTACTTGCTCTTCCCCATCCCACCTGGGGCTGGTGACTCCTGAGGACTCAGAAGCCTCCATGCCCTCTGTCCCTTCTACCCATTTGCTGCTGAGGAACAGGACACTCCCCCTCCATCTCTTCCCAGGCTACCTGGGCTACAGCTCCGACAGCCCTCGGCCCCATCCCTACGACCAGCCCTTCCGTCCTGCCCACCCCGGCAGCGACTGGTGTTCCTGAAGACACATAAATCCGGGAGCAGCTCTGTGCTGAGCCTGCTTCACCGCTATGGGGACCAGCACGGGCTGCGCTTCGCCCTCCCTGCCCGCTACCAGTTTGGCTACCCAAAGCTCTTCCAGGCCTCTAGGGTAAAAGGCTACCGCCCACAGGGTGGAGGCACCCAGCTCCCCTTCCACATCCTCTGTCACCACATGAGGTTCAACCTGAAAGAGGTAAGGAGTGTCGCAGTGGTGGGAGGGACCAGAAACAGATGGGCTCAGGCTGACACCACCAAGGGAGGGGGCCCAGACCTGGGGGCTCCCCAGGCATCATCTCACCCTAAAGTTGGACATAGGGGCCACAAAGTTGGGCTCCCTGCCATCCTCTCTACAGGTGTCCCTTCCCCAGTAGTTTCTGGGAGCCCAAGTCCTCCTCCCTTCTCTCTCTGGCGCTTACTCCAGTCTCTCTCTTTCACCAATGTATTTCCCTGGCATCAGTGCCTTGCCAACTCTGAGCCCCCAACTCTCCCTCCAGGTGCCCCTTACTCTTCTGTTTTTAAATTATTTTTTGGAAGACAGGGTCTTACTCTGTCGCCCAGGCTGGAGTGCAGTGGCACAATCATAGCTCACTGCAGCCTTGACTTCCCAGGCTCAAGTGATCCTCCCACCTCAGCCTCCTGAGTAGCTATGGCTAAGGCATGTGCCACTACACGTGGCTACTTTTTAATTTTTTGTAGAGATGGGGTCTTGCTATGTTGCCCAGGCTGATCTCAAACCCCTGGGCTTAAATAAATAAATAAATAGTCCTGGGCTCAAGTGATCTGCTCACCTTGACCTCCCAAAGGGTTGGGATTACAGGAGTGAGCTTGCCCAGCCTGTGTGTGTGTGTGTGTGTGTGTGTGTGTGTGTGTGTGTGAGACAGGGTCTCATTCTGTCATCCAGGCTGGAATGCAGTGGTACAATTATAGCTCACTGTAACCTCAAACTCCTGGGCTCAAGCGATCCTCTCACCTCAGCCTCCCAACTAGCTGGGACTACAGGTGCATGCCACCACACCTGGCTATTTTTTTATTTTATTTTTTGTAGAGATGGAGTCTCACTATGTTGCCCAGGCTGGCCTCAAATGATCCTCCCACCTCAGCCTGGCAAGTACCTAGGACAACACGCCCCTTCCCTTTCTTAGCCTCCCTTTCACTGTCACACCAGGGCCCCACCTCCCCCACTGCCTTCTGACTTGTCTTCTTCAACCCCCTCACATTTTGAGGATCAGCTGTATTTTTAGCCCGGGACTAAGCCCAGCACTTTGGGAGACCAAGGTGGGCAGATCACCTGAGGTCAGAAGTTCGAGACCAGCCTGGCCAACATGGTGAAACCCTGTCTCTACTAAAAATACAAAAATTAGCCAGGCGTGGTGGCACACGCCTGTAATCCCAGCTACTCGGGAGGCTGAGGCAGGAGAATTGCTTGAACCCAGGAGGCAGAGGTTGCAGTGAGCCGAGATTGTGCCACTGCACTCCAGCCTGGGCAACAGAGCGAGACTCCATTTCACAAAAGAAAAAAAAGGCCGGGCGCAGTGGCTCACGCCTGTAATCCCAGCACTTTGGGAGGCCAAGGCGGGTGGATCACAAGGTCAGGAGATCGAGACCATCCTGGCTAACACAGTGAAACCCCGTTTCTACTAAAAATACAAAAAATTAGCCGGGCATGGTGGTGGGTGCCCGTAGTCCCAGCTACTCAGGAGGCTGAGGCAGGAAAATGGCATGAACCTGGGAGGCGGAGCTTGCAGTGAGCTGAGATCGTGCCACTGCACTCCAGCCTGGGTGACACAGTGAGACTCTGTCTCAAAAAAAAAAAAAAAAGGAAAGAAAGATAAATAAATAAAATTGAAAATTAAAGTGGCAGAGCTGGAAGTTGAGCCCAGGTCCATGCACTCCAAAGTCGAGGCTTCTTCCGAGGCTTGTGCATGTGTTTGTATCTGGAATGGTGAGAAGAATATTCACCAAAGAGGTGATGCTTTCTGGAGAGGGGGGTTTATTTTACTTTATTATTTAATTTTGATTTTTATTTTATTTATTTTGAGACAGAGTCTTGCTCTTTCCCCTGGGCTGGAGTGCAGTGGCACGATCTCAGCTCACTGCAACCTCTGCCTCCCGGGTTCAAGCAATTCTCATGCCTCCCAAGTAGCTGGGACTACAGGCACCCGCCACCACGCCTAGCTAATTTTTGTACTTTTAGTAGAGACAGGGTTTCGCCATGTTGACCAGGCTGGTCTCAAACTCCTGACCTCAAGTGATCCGCCCACCTCAGCCTCCCAAAATGCTGGGATTCCAGGTGTCAGCCACCGTGCCCAGCCGAGAGCGGGGGGTTTTAAAGGAAAAGGTGGATGTGGCTTGTGGTAAGGACAGCATGAGGCATTCTTAGAGGGAGCAAAACACCAGCAAGGACATGGTGGGGTGCACGTGTGTGTGTGCATGTAAGAGGGAGAACGTCTGTACTGGGGGTAGAAGTTCCACAGGGGCTGCAAAGTCACCCTTGTTGAAGCTGGAGCTGGAGACACCAGCTGAGGACATGGGCGTGCTCTGATGGGCAGCGAAAGGCCACTGCCAGGAGTGAGGCAATGACAGTGACCTTTGAGGTAGGTTTCTCCAGAGGCTAGGATGATGGCCTTCACTGACGCCACCATTCACTGAATACCTACCATGTTCCAGACACTTGCACATTCTTCCAGGTAAGTGTTACCCAGTTACTCAGATTTCTAGATGGAGGAATGATGGCTCTGAGACCTTCAATAACCCGCCCAAAGTCACAGAATTAGTAAATGGCAGAGTGGGATTTTATTCCAGGTCCAGATGCCAAAGACTGTTTTCTTCGCTTTCCCCTCTGCCTTCAAAGAGACCTGCAGGGCCAGGCATGGTGGCTCATGCCTGTGATCCGAGTGTTTTGGATGCTGAGGTGAGAGGATTACTTGAGCCCAGGAGTTCAACGCCAATCTGGGCAACATAGCAAGACCCCATCACTACAAAAAAATTAAAAATTAACAGGGAATGTTGGTGTGTGCCTGTAGTCCCAGCTATTCAGGAGGCTGAGATTGGGGAATCCCTTGAGCCCAGGAGTTTTCAAGGCTGCAGTGAGCTATGATATGCTGCCTAAGTGACAGAGCAAGGAGACACTGTCTCTTAAAAAATAGTAAGAAGAAAATAAACACTGAAAAGCTAAAATGCTCATTTCCTGTCCTCCCCCTCAAAAAAAAAAAAAAAAAAGAGAGTTCACAGGCTGCTATTCAGGTGTGCCATACTTGCAGAGCCGATTGAGGAACACCATGACAGACAGAAGTCAGATTCAATGATGGAAGTCATTTTTGGAGGCAGAAACCCTTCAAGGAGACTAGGAGCTAGGTTCTGACCTGCATCAGCCTGCAGGGCCACGTTAGGGTGTGGTGCAGCCTGATCTCCACCTTCATTCTTGCAGAGCGGTGTAATCACGTGTCCCAGCCCTCAGGGCAGCATCCTACCAGGCAGCCGTGGCTTCCCAGTGTCCCAGCCCAGGGTGTTTTTTGCCCTCTAGGATGCCCAGGAGACCCTGAAGTGCTTTACCCCTCAGCCATTCTGGGCCTGGCCTGCCCACCTGCTGCCTATGCCCGAGATGGCATTATAGTTGCTCCTTTGTTGCCAGTGATGCCCCCTCCCAGGCACTCAACAGGTTTTTGCTGGAGAAATGAGTACAAAGGTTGGTTCCTAGAGGTTTTACTGACCAAGGCAGACAGAAATGCCCGAGGAAATTAATGTTCTCCAGGAGTTTCCTATCCTCCAGGTTTCCGTCCCTCCCTTCTTTCTTTTTTTTTCTTTTTCTTTTTTTTCCCTTCCTTTTCCTCCCCTCCCCTCCCCTTTAAAATTAGTGCCCGGCTAATTTTTAAGTTCTGGGATACATGTGCAGAATATGCAGGTTTGTTACACAGGTATACATGTGCCACGGTGGTTTGCTGCACCTGTCAACCTGTCATCTAGGTTTTAAGCCTTGCATGCATTAGGCATTCATCCTCATGCTCTCTCTCTCTTCCTTTGCCCCTGACCCCGACAAGCCTCTCCTCTTCCCCCTCTCCCTCCCCTCTCCCCCCTCCCCTCCCCTCCCCTCCCCTCCTCTTCCCTTCCCTCCTTCCCTCTCTGGCTGCTTCTTTCTTTTTTTTTTTTTTTTGAGACAGAGTCTCACTTTGCTGCCCAGGCTGGAGTGCAGTGGCGCGATCTCGGCTCACTGCAACCTCTGCCACCCAGCTTCAAGCGATTCTCCTGCCTCAGCCTCCTGAGTAGCTGGGATTACAGGCGCCTGCCACCACGCCTGGCTAATTTTTATAGTTTTAGTAGAGATGTGGTTTCACCATCTTGGCCAGGCTGGTCTTGAACTCCTGACCTTGTGATCCACCCGCCTCAGCCTCCCAAAGTGCTGGGATTACAGGTGTGAGTCACTGCACCCGGCCCCTTTCTTTCAAGGCAGGGTCTTGCTGTGTTGCTCAGGCTTGTCTTGAACTCCTGGGCTTAAGCAATCCTACCACCTCAGCCTCTTGAGTAGCTGGGACTACAGGTGTGTACCAGGATACCGCGCTAATTTATTTTTATTTTAAGTTCTGGGATACATGTGCAGAACATGCAGGTTTGTTACATAGGTACACATGTGCCCTGGTGGTTTGATGCACTGATCAACACATCATCTAGGTTTTAAGCCCTGCAGGCATTAGGTATTCATCCTAATGCTCTCCCTCCCCTTGCTCCCCACCCCGACAGGCCCCAGTGTGTGATGCTCCCCTCCCTGTGTCCATGTGTTCTCACTGTTCAACTCCCACTTACTTATGAGTGAGAACACATGGTGTTTGGTTTTCTGTTCCTGTGTTAGTTTTGTTAGTTTACTGGAGTAGGTTAGTTTGCTGAGCATGATGATGGCTTCCAGCTTCATCCATGCACCTGCAAAGGACATTATCTCATTCTTTTCTATGGCTGCATAGTATTCCATGGTGTATATGTGCCACATTTTATTTATCCAGTCTATCATTGATTGACCTGCTAACTTTTTTAGTTTTTTTTTTTTTTTTTTTGAGACAGAGTCTTGCTCTGTTGGCCAGGCTGTCAAGTGCAGTGGCACGATCTCAGCTCACTGCAACCTCCGCCTCCTGGGCTCAAGCAATTCTCCTGCCTCAGCCTCCCGAGTAGCTGGGATTACAGGCGTGTGCCATCACACCTGGCTAATTTTTTTGTATTTTTAGTAGAGACGGGGTTTCACCATGTTGGCCAGGCTGGTCTCGAACTCCTGACCTCAAGTAATCCGCCCGCCTCGGCCTCCCAAAGTGCTGGGATTACAGGCTTGAGCCACCATGCCCGGCTTTTTAGTTTTATTTTTGTAGAGACAGGGTCTCGCTATGTTGCCCAGGCTGGCCTCGGCAACATAGCAATGCTCAAGCCATCCTACTGCCTCAGCCTCCTGAGTAGCTGGGACTACAGGCACACAAAACATGCCTGGCTCCATGCTCCAGATTTCTTGTATGTTTTATCTCATGTATCTTTCATAGTCACTTGAGAAAGTATGATTATCCCCATTTGCAGATAAGCAAATTGAGTCTCAGAGATGTTAAGTAACTTGCCACTCAGCAAGTGATGGAAGCTGGGGATTCCTAGCAGAGCTGGGAGGAGGAGGTTTCAGGAGGCTGGTCAGCGGACACATGGCTTGTGCATACTTATGCATACCTTCTCCCCAGCCCAGTTCTCTCTCTTCTGTCTTCCCTCCTCTGCAGGTACTTCAGGTCATGCCTTCTGACAGCTTCTTTTTTTCCATTGTCCGAGACCCAGCGGCTCTGGCTCGCTCTGCCTTCTCCTACTATAAATCCACCTCATCAGCCTTCCGCAAGTCACCATCTTTGGCTGCCTTCCTGGCCAATCCTCGAGGCTTCTACAGGCCTGGGGCCCGTGGGGACCACTACGCTCGCAACTTACTATGGTTTGACTTTGGCCTGCCCTTTCCCCCAGAGAAGAGGGCCAAGAGAGGGAATATTCATCCCCCCAGAGACCCCAACCCCCCACAGCTGCAGGTCTTGCCTTCTGGTGCTGGCCCTCGAGCCCAAACCCTCAATCCCAATGCCCTCATCCATCCTGTTTCCACTGTTACTGATCATCGCAGCCAGATATCAAGCCCTGCCTCTTTCGATTTGGGGTCTTCATCCTTCATCCAGTGGGGTCTGGCATGGCTGGACTCTGTCTTTGACCTGGTCATGGTGGCTGAGTACTTCGATGAGTCATTGGTTCTGCTGGCAGATGCCCTGTGCTGGGGTCTAGATGACGTGGTGGGCTTCATGCACAATGCCCAGGCTGGACATAAGCAGGGCCTCAGCACTGTCAGCAACAGTGGACTGACTGCGGAGGACCGGCAGCTGACTGCACGGGCCCGAGCCTGGAACAACCTGGACTGGGCTCTCTATGTCCACTTCAACCGCAGTCTCTGGGCACGGATAGAGAAATACGGCCAGGGCCGGCTGCAGACAGCTGTGGCCGAGCTCCGGGCTCGCCGAGAGGCCCTAGCGAAACATTGTCTGGTAGGGGGTGAGGCTTCTGACCCCAAATACATCACTGATCGCCGGTTCCGCCCCTTCCAGTTTGGGTCAGCTAAGGTTTTGGGCTATATACTTCGGAGTGGATTGAGCCCCCAAGACCAAGAGGAATGTGAGCGCCTAGCTACCCCTGAGCTCCAGTACAAGGACAAGCTGGATGCCAAGCAGTTCCCCCCTACCGTCTCACTGCCCCTCAAGACTTCAAGGCCACTCTCCCCATAAACATCAGACTACAGATTTAGGTGGAAGAGCAGCCATGTTTGAAGGGCACATGTGATGAGTGGGGGGCAGCAAGATGCCATTTCTGCATCTCCCAGAAGGGATGAGTCTTTGTCCCGATGCAAGCCCCCTCTTCGCTGGGCTCCCAGCAGTGCTTCCCTCCTCCACCCTCCACTCATTTTGTTCTTTCCCCCCAACTTTTTTTTTTTTTGAAACGGAGTCTTGCTCTGTCCCCCAGGCTGGAGTGCAGTGGCATGATCTCGGCTCACTGCAACCTCTGCCTCCCAGGTTCAAGCGATTCTCCTGCCTCAGCCTCCAGAGTAGCTAGGATTACAGATACGTGCCACCATACCCGGCTAATTTTTATATTTTTAGAGACAGGGATTCAACATGTTGGTTAGGCTGGTCTTGAACTCCTCACCTCAGGTGATCCACATGACTCTGCCTCCCAAAGTGCTGCCATTACAGGCGTGAGCCACTAGGCCTGACCTCCCCTTCCCCTTTCCTGCCCCAAGGCAGATCCACATCACCGAAGCTCCCTAGAGGGGCAAAAGATGGAGTGAGCCACAGGAAGTTTGGGGCGTGGTGAGTTGGAATGATACGTCCATTTCTCTATGAAATATTTGCTACTAGACTGTTCATTTCTCTCTGACATGTTTGTTGAATGAATAAATAATTTGAAACTTCTACTTGATTTATGGAGGGTGGAAAGGGGAGGGATGGAGAATCTTCCTGGGAGAAGTGGGGTTGGAAGGGTTGTTTTTTTTTTTTTTTCCGAGACAAGATCTCACTCTGTCACCTAGGCTGCAGTCCAGTGTCCCAATCATAGCTCACTTCAGCCTCAAACTCCTGGGCTCAAAGGATCCTCCTGCCTAGGCCTTCTAAGTAGCTGGGAATACAGGCGCGCGCCACCGCGCCCGGATAATTTTTAAATTTTTTGCAGAGAGGAGTTCTTGCTATGTTGGCCAGGGTGGTCTTGAACTCCTGGCCTCAAGCGATCCTGCCGCCTCGGCCTCCCACAGTGCTGGGATTACTGGCGTGAGCCAACCCGCCTGGCCGACGAGGTCTTCCATTTCTTTTCCAAGAAGCCTGGCCGCAGCCCCCGCCTGCATTCTCGCAGCCTCAGAGCAGCGGGACCCCGCCCCCTCCTCCACGGTCCGGGCACCCGCAGATTCCGGGGCCTCGGCGGCCACGCCCCCTCCCTTCCGCTTCCTGTTTCTCTCCAGTCATTCGGCTCAGTACCCCGGTTCCGGCGCTGCCGGGTCTCGGTTCGGGTTCGTTGCCCCGGTGCCGGGACCGGGCCGGTCTCTCCGGCCGCCCCAGCCGGGCGCAGCAGCCGGAGGTGTCGGGACCCTCTGGACCCACCCTAGCGGGCCCCGCCGGCGGTCGGCCTCCGGTCCGGGCTCCCAGTCGCGCCGTCCTCGCCGCCCCATGGAGTCCCAGTGCGACTACTCGATGTACTTCCCGGCCGTGCCGCTGCCGCCGCGCGCGGAGCTGGCAGGGGATCCGGGCCGGTACCGGGCGCTGCCCCGGCGCAACCATCTGTACTTGGGGGAGACTGTCCGTTTTCTGCTGGTGTTGCGCTGCCGGGGCGGTGCGGGGTCCGGCACCGGGGGCGGCCCGGGCTTGGGCTCCAGAGGAGCCTGGGCAGAACTGGCAACCGCCCTGGCCGCCCTGGCCTCGGTCAGCGCCGGAGGCGGGATGCCGGGGGGCGGCGGCGCCGGCGACCAGGATTCGGAGCCCCCAGGGGGAGGGGATCCTGGGGGTGGGGGTTTGTTCCGAGGCTGCAGCCCCCTTCTCACCCACGGCCCGGGCCCTGCTACCTCAGGGGGAGCGACCACGGTGAGGAGCTTTGGGGGACCTGGCACAGGACGGAGGGGCGGTTTGCTGGGGGCCTGAGGCAGGAGGCAGATGAACTGCCGGTCTTAAAGGGAAAGGCTGCAGGCTGCCTCTGACTTGCTCCTGACCTCTTCACCCCTTTCCCAACCCCAGCTGCCTGTGGAGGAACCGATTGTGTCCACAGATGAGGTCATCTTCCCACTCACCGTTTCACTGGATAGACTGCCCCCAGGGACACCTAAGGCCAAGGTAAGATGAGCAAGAGTGGAGCTATTGTCCTAATTCAGACACCTTTTCCGGGCTCAGCCATCTGTCTTTCCTCTTGACAGATTGTAGTGACTGTGTGGAAGCGGGAGATTGAGGCACCAGAGGTCAGAGATCAAGGCTACCTGCGATTGCTGCAGACCCGATCTCCTGGGGAGACATTCCGGGGCGAGCAGAGCGCTTTCAAGGCCCAAGGTGGGCAGGGCAGCGCAGAGGCAAAGGGCTAGAGTCTGGGAATTGGGGGACAGAGGGGAGGGGTCACACTGGAAAGTGGCTAATGGGCTCTGAGAAGAGGAAGGTGAGAATTCTGGGTTGGAGGTGAGGTCAGCCTCCAGACCATCACTTCTTGCCCCCACCCCCTCCCGCAGTGAGCACGCTGCTGACTCTGCTGCCCCCTCCGGTTCTGAGATGCCGGCAGTTCACTGTGGCTGGAAAACACTTGACCGTGCTCAAGGGTAAGCAGGGCTGCCGGCTCCAGCCTCCGGGAGCAACAAGGGAACTGATTGGATGCAGTTCCTCTGGGCAGGCTGGTGGGGTAGGTCCGGTTTTTTCTGGGTAAAGGTGGGGCCTGAGGGGTCCAGCTATTCTGAGCCAAGCTGGTCCTCTCCCACAGTGCTGAACAGCTCCTCTCAGGAGGAAATCTCCATCTGGGATATCCGAATCCTCCCCAACTTCAACGCCAGTTATCTACCTGTCATGCCCGATGGCTCTGTGCTGCTGGTGGACAATGTCTGGTGAGGTCCTGGGAGGGGCGAGGCTGTGAAGTGGTGGGGATGGCTTCAGGGGCTGAGCTCTGGCATGGGGAGACCATGCCTTGTCCTCTTTTCTGAGCTAGTCACCAGTCTGGGGAAGTCTCCATGGGCTCCTTCTGCCGCCTACCCGGGACCTCTGGCTGCTTCCCCTGCCCGCTGAATGCCCTGGAGGAACACAACTTCCTGTTTCAGCTGAGAGGGGGTGAGCAGCCCCCTCCAGGGGCCAAGGAGGTGAGCATAAGGGGCTGGTGTGTTCAAAGAAAAGTGATAAGGCAGTGGGAGGGAAAGACCAGGCAGCTGACTCAAGATGGGAGGGGCACTCTTAATACCTGTGCCAACCCCCTTTGTCCCTCCTGCAGGGCCTGGAAGTTCCCCTGATTGCTGTGGTTCAGTGGTCTACCCCAAAGCTGCCCTTCACTCAGAGCATCTACACCCACTACCGGTGAGTGTGGATCCTGGAGGAATCGTGGCGTTCGCCTTTGTGGCCTGACACACACAGCCAGCATCCCTCTCTCACCACTCCTAGCCTGCCCAGTGTCCGCTTGGACCGCCCGTGTTTTGTGATGACCGCTTCTTGTAAGTCCCCTGTTCGGACCTACGAGCGTTTCACTGTCACCTACACGCTGCTTAACAATCTCCAAGACTTCCTTGCTGTGAGGCTCGTGTGGACCCCAGAGCATGCACAGGCTGGTAGGTCAGCTGCCAGGTAGGAATTTGGTCCCCAGGGAGGGGAAGAGAAAGGAAAAAGTCAGGGAGGCAGGACAGTGAAAACAGCCAAATTTGGTGCCAGCCCCATCACAGGAGGCGACTTGTGGCAGGTGGCTTCCGCCCTGTACCTGGGTGGTCTCCCCAGTGTCCTAGATGGAGAGTTTAGAGAGGCAGTGGGGCAGAGTGACTTTCAGGGCATAGACACTGGAGCTGCACTCGCTGGTGTGAACTCTACTTCTCTCCTTTACTAGCTGTGTGACCTTGAATAAGTTACTTAACCTCTCTGGGCCTCAGAGTCCTCACCTTTAAAATAGAGCAACTCATATCTGATGGGGCTGTCATGCAGATACTGAGTTAATATACGTGACGTGCCTTGCACACAGTACGTATTAGCTGTTGTTATCTACAACATGCACAAAAGATAACGTTTGCTCAGTTTACTCCACAGAGTGGCTTTGAGAATCAGATGAGACTGTGCTGGCGAAGGCCCTGTGGGAATGAGGAACGCTGTAGTGTTTGCTGGTCCCTGTTTCTGCCCCCAGGAAAGCAGCTGTGTGAGGAGGAGCGCCGGGCCATGCAGGCTGCCCTGGACTCCGTCGTCTGCCACACGCCCCTCAACAACCTTGGCTTTTCCCGGAAGGGCAGCGCGCTCACCTTCAGTGTGGCCTTCCAGGCTCTGAGGACGGGGCTCTTCGAGGTGGGCTGGGGAGGGTCTGGGCTGAGTGCTGAGTGATGCAGAATGCTGGGGTGGACGGAGGCAGGACCCTTAGATTTTGGGGATGAAATAAAAAGCTGGGCAGAGGGAAGGTGGGATTTAGATTTGACATCAGTCTGTCACATGGGGAAGACCATTTGGAAGGAGGCCTGGGTCCTGGAAGCCGAGCTGGCATGCTGACCTGTGTCTCCCCCCAGCTAAGCCAGCACATGAAACTGAAGCTGCAGTTCACCGCCAGCGTGTCCCACCCTCCACCCGAGGCCCGGCCCCTCTCCCGCAAGAGCAGCCCCAGCAGCCCTGCTGTCCGGGACTTGGTGGAGAGGCATCAGGCTAGCCTGGGCCGCTCCCAGTCCTTCTCCCACCAGCAGCCTTCCCGAAGCCACCTCATGAGGTACAGAACCAGGGGGCGTGGCATGGGACCGGGTAGAGGATGGGAGCAGCGAGGGTGCCGGGTCTGACCAGCGCCCACAGCCTCTGCCTTCCCCCAGGTCGGGCAGTGTGATGGAGCGCAGAGCCATCACGCCCCCTGTGGCCTCTCCTGTTGGCCGCCCCCTCTACCTGCCCCCGGACAAGGCTGTGTTGTCTCTGGACAAGATTGCCAAGCGCGAGTGCAAGGTCCTGGTGGTGGAACCCGTCAAGTAGCACCGTGCCAGCTCTGTTCCCTCTTACACTCCAGAGACCCAACGCCCCCAGAGGGGATCCCTGCTCCCGGGCTGTGCCTCCCCTGGGATGCCTCCCAGACGGGGGTGAAGAGGCCTGGCAGAGCTGCCTGTCTTGTGTCTGCTGATGAGGGATGGGGGAAGAAGCTGTGAAGTGGGCGGGCATGGCTGGGACTAAGCCACCAGTATTCCCCGAGTTCCTGTGGGGGGGGCTGGCCCCACCCCTAGGCCAGGGCAAGGGTTCCCAGAGCTCCCTTGTCCCCGGCCCTTTACCCTGGTTCTGAGTTTACAAAGTCTCTTCCTCATTCCCGTTGAGTTCTTTCCCACCTCTGACATTCCCTCCCTCCCTCCCGCAGGGCTGAGATTAGAGGGTGGTGATGGCTAAGGGCCCCTGACAGTGACCTTCCTGTCTCAGGGGTTGGGGACAGGGCCAGGTAGCCTCCTGCCCCTTATGTTTACGTTTGCAGCCTGAAGCACTTTAATTTTTTTTTTTTTGGTCTGTTCCTGTAACTTATTTTCCAACTATTGCTTCCAACTGAAATAAGACTATTAAATGCCTGTTCAGGAGGGAGAAGGATGACTAGTTTGTGTACTGATGGGAAGAGCAGAGGTCGCCAGGGCTCAGGGTGACTCCCTTCCCCTCCAGCTTTTTCTGCTTCCCAGTTTTATAGCACACAGAGGTGGCCCTGCCGCACCCAACTTGGGCTAAGGTGCATGACTTTCTCCCCAGAAGGTGGAAGACAGACATGGGGTGTAACCATTCCAACACTAAACACACATGTCCCTGGGCTGGAGAACATCAGACTCATGTTTATTAGGGAGTGAGGGAGCACAAAGGGAGGTCTCCTTGCCCTTGTTCTCCTTAACACAGCTCAGAGTCCCCAAGCCTGGGCCCGTCCAGGTAGGGGTGGGAGGTGGGCGAGCAGAAGGCCCTAGTTCTAGCAGCAAGCCAAGACCGACAGGTGTGCCTGCCTCATCACAGAGGCCCAGGACCCAATCCGCTTCTCCGACCCTCGCCCTCCGGCAGGCTCAGACATCAATGGGCTCCCGACCTCGGTTCTGCCTCTTCACCACAAACACCCTCTGTCCTGACACCGTCACCAGCAGTGTGTGTTCTCCAAAGACCACTGGAGGAGAGACACACCTTCCCCCGCCCCAGGAGAGGGAAGGGAGCACAGAGTTAGTGGGTGCAACAGACTCCATGGGGCGGGGCCACACGCACATTGGCTGGGATCAAAGCCAAAGAAGTTCTATAGTTCCAGGCTCAGAGATTTGAAGATGAGTGGCCTCTGCTAGATCTCCTTTCTCTTGCCTTCTCATTCACAATTCTGATACCAGGGAGTCCCAAAGGGAGGAAAGTGGCCAGACCAGAGACCCCAGGAGATGGTAGGAGGCTGGAAGAAGAGAAGCCGAGAAGCCCCTGGAAGTAGCCCCCCGCTCCCAGTACCACCACCAAGGGCAGGGGCAGGGGCTCACCAGACAGGCGCTTGAAGGGCACATTCATGCCGCGGTGCAGCCGGAAACCGCAGGCTGTGCTGACCAGCTCAGAGATGGCACTGGCTGCCTGCTCATCATTCTCCAGGTCCCCAGATGACTGCATGCAGACGGAGGAGGGAGAGGGGCGGGCATTACGGCACAGGCTCAGGAAGGAATTCCAGGCACAGTCCCCTTGGTTCTCACACTTAGACCCTCTCCCCCTTGGCTTGCCAGTACCCTCAGCTTTGGAAAAAAACAACCTGAAATCTCCCCCTATAATGTTGTCACCCTCCGGATGCCATCCTGTTTCCCATAATACTGGCCTTCCCCGGATGAGCAGTAACTTATCCATCTTTTTTTTTTTTTTCTTTTTTGAGACGGAATCTCGTTCTGTCACCCAGGCTGTAGTGCAGTGGTGCAATCTCGGCCTCTCGGGTTCAAGTGATTCTCCTGCCTCAGCCTCCCAAATAGCTGAGATTACAGGCACGTACCAGCACCACCACATCTAGCTAATTTTTTATATTTTTAGTAGAGACGGGGTTTTACCATATTAATCAGCTGGTCTCAAACTCTTGACCTCAAATGATCTGCCCGCCTCAGCCTCCCAAAATGCTGGGATTACAGACGTGAGCCACCGTGCCTGGCCATCCATCTCTTTATTGACCATGCTTTTCTAACCCCATAAAACTGGATTTCTCCCATGTCCCTGCCTATTTGATAAAGCCACATTCTCCAAAATGAATGCCTGCCCACCACTTACCTGTTAATGGCTCCATCTTTTTCTGTCTTCACACTTGCTGCCCTGTTTGCAGAATCTCAAACATAAACATTCCCTTTGTCCTTGAATACCTCCCTCTGTTGACCCCTAGAGTAAGTGATGGGACAGTGGCTTGGGCTTCCTCTTTTCTGGTGACTGTCTCAACTTCCTCTTCCCTCTTCCTTGATATGGGCCTCCACTAGATTTAGTTCCTTTTGCTGAACTAGCAATATATATTAACTGCTATTTTATATCAAACTCAATGTCTAAAGTTGGGCCATCAAATTTCACCTTATCCTTATCCACCTCCTTCCCAATCCACTTCTTTTTTTGATTTCCTGTTTGTTTGTTTGTTTTTTGAGACAGAGTCTCACTCTATCACCCAGGCTGGAGTACAGTGGTGCAATCTTGGCTCACTGCAACCTCTGCCTCCTGGGTTCAAGCAATTCTCCTGCCTCAACCTCCCAAGAAGCTGGGATTACATGCATGTGCTTCCATGCCAGGCTAATTTTTTGTAGAGATGAGGTTTCACCATGTTGGCTAGGGTGCTCTCGAACTCCCAACCTCAAGTGATCCACCCACCTCAGCCTCCCAAAGTGCTGGGATTAAAGGCGTGAGCCACCACGCAGGGACATGTTTCTTAAGGCATCATCACTCTTCCAGGCTTTAGAGTTCTGGCTACAGAAATATTTCCTCTATTACCTATTTCTAGTCATTAGCAAGATATACTGATTCCTCCTTTAAAATAACTTCTTCCAGCCAAGCACAGGAGCTCATGCCTGTAATCTCAGCACTCTGGGAGGCCAAGGCAGGAGGAATGCTGGAGGCCAGGAGTTTGAGACCAGCCTGGGCAACATAGCAAGGCCCCTGTCTCCACACATTTTTTTTTTTTTTTTAATGGCTGGGCGTGGTGGTGCTTGCCTGTAGTTCTAGTTACTTGGGATGCTGAGGCGGGAGGATTGCTTGGGCCCAGGAGTTCAAGGCTACAATGAGATGTGATCGTTACCACTGCACTCCAGCCTGAGTGACGGCGAGACTCTATCTTAAAAAAAAACAAACAAACAAAAAAACAGGACGGGGTGCTGTGGCTCACACCTGTAATCCCAGCACTTTGGGAGGCCGAGGTAGGCGGATCACGAGGTCAGGAGATCCAGACCATCCTGGCTAACATGGTGAAACCCCATCTCTACTAAAAATACAAAAAAGTAGCCGGGCATGGTGGCGGGCGCCTGTAGTCCCAGCTACTAGGGAGGCTGAGGCAGGAGAATGGCGTGAACCCGGGAGGCGGAGCTTGCAGTGAGGGGAGACTGCACCACTGCACTCCAGCCTGGGTGACAGAGTGAGACTCCGTCTCAAAAAAAACAAAAACAAAAACAAAAAAACAGGCCGGGTGCAGTGGCTTATGCCTGTAATCCCAGCACTTTGGGTGGGAGGCTGAGGCGGGCAAATCATGAGGTCAGGAGTTCGAGACCAGCCCGGCCAACATGGTGAAACCCTCTCTCTACTAAAAATACAAAAATTAGCTGGGCATGGTGGTGCACACCTGTAATCCTAGCTAATCAGGAGGCTGAGGCAGGAAAATCACTTGAACCCGGAAGACGGAGGTTGCAGTGAGCTGAGATCATGCCACTGCACTCCAGCCTGGGCCACAGAGCGAGACTCTGTCTCAAAAAACAAAAACAAAAAAAAACAAAAACAAAACTCTTCTCTCCTTGCTCCTCCTTCTTACCACCACTTGCCCAGTCTCATCTCTTTTTTTTTTTGTTTTTTTTGAGACGGAGTCTTGCTCTGTCGCCCAGGCTGGAGTACAGTGGTGTGATCTCGGCTAACTGCAACCTCCACCTTCCAGGTTCACGCCATTCTACTGCCTCAGCTTCCCGAGTAGCTGGGACTACAAGTGCCCGCCACCAGGCCTGGCTAATTTTGTTTTTGTATTTTTAGTACAGACGGGGTTTCACCGTGTTGGCCAGGATGGTCTCGATCTCCTGACCTCGTGATCCGCCCGCCTTGGCCTCCCAAAGTGCTAGAATTACAGGCATGAACCACCACGCCCAGCCCAGTCTCATCTCTTAATGACGCCTCCTTCTGCCCATCTTCACATCACTAACAACAATATTGCTCAACCACCTCACTGGGTCTTGTTTCTGTTTTAAAAAACCTTTCAAACTGTATTACCTTCAAGAATAAGTTCAAGTGTGTTAACCTGGCCTTGAAGATCCTTCACAATTACATCCTCCCTGACCATATCCTCCTCTCTTCCCTCAAACCTTCCCAAATCTTTTCAGCATAAACTTACCATCAGTTCAGATAGGTTAGTGCCACACACCTGCAAATAAGTCCTCCCCCACTGTAAATACTCTCCTTTAAGGTGGGCTGAATTCCTACCTCCCGGAAAGTTAGTTACCTTGTCATAACATGTTGAATTTTTAATATCCTGGATTCCCTCAATAGTCTTTACCACCTGTATTGTTTTCAACCCTTAACCTTAAGCTTTGTCTCTACCTAAGTCAAAAACATCTGGAGACTTAACACTATACAGTACTATGGAACAAAATACAAATGCCTCTTTAAGAAATACCAAATAAAGGCCAGACGTGGTGGCTCACGCCTGTAATCTAGAGACCTAACACCATACAGTACTATGGAACAAAATACAAATGCCTTTTTAAGAAATACCAAATAAAGGCCAGGCATGTTGGCTCACGCCTGTAATCCCAGCACTTTGGGAGGCTGAGGCAGGTGGATCACCTGAGGTCAGGAGTTTGAGACCAGCCTGGCTAACACGGTGAAACCCCGTTTCTACTAAAAATACAAAAAATTAGCAGAGCATGGTGGCACGTGCCTATAATCCCAGCTACTCGGGAGGCTGAGGCAGGAGAATCGCTTGAACCCCGGAGGCGGAGGTTGCAGTGAGCCGAGGTCGCACCACTGCACTCCAGCTTGGGCAACAAGAACGAAACTCAGTCTCAAAAACTATAAATAAATAAATCGCAGCCGTTAGGAGACTAAGATTCCACAGACTGATTACTGAAAGTAATTGCAAAAACTGCAAATACTTTTGTACCAACCTAATAGATGCCAGGCAGGAAACCAGATAAAAGCCGAGAAAAGAAGGGCCAATATTAGAAGGGGTTACCGGGCTGTGTGCACTAAGGGACCCCCTCCCTTTCCCAGAACGCACCGCCAGCACTGCACCTTCACTCAGTACCAGGTAGCCGAGCTGGTCTGGGATTCGCTCCAGCCCCTGGGTCAGCGCAGAAGTCTAGTGGGTAAAGATGCAAGTCGTGAGAAGCATGCTAGAGGGATGGACGGCCCGATACCCTTCACCTGCAAACCCAAGTCTCTGGGTTGACGATGGCCCCAGGTTTTCTCATTCCCCAGCCAGGTCCCTTCCCGGCCCCCTCCCCCCTACATGGTCCTCAATACTGATCTTCCCGAGCCTCCATCTGCCCCCACTCTCGCCCCCGGGCTCCCCTGGCCTTCCACATCCCACCTTTGCTACCCCAAGGGGCCTTTGCTGCCCCACTGGCCCCTGCCCCCAGACCCTCTCTTCACCTCCCTTCGTCTCCGCCCGACCTGCAGACTACCCGCAGCCCCAGAACACCCTCCCACAGACCCCTCCCCAGCATTCTCGTCGCCATCCCTCCCATTTCCATCCCCTCTTCCTCCCCGAGCGGATAGGAGGTGAGGGTGGAGCGCAGGCCCACCAGGGGGAAACCACACAGACTGGGGAGCAGAGACGCTGAACCCCCGGCGGGTCCTCTCGCGCATGCGTCCTCACTCACCATCGCAGTCTTCGGTGCTGGGGGAGCTCCCTACCAGATAGGTAGCTTCCGGCTTCAGGCCCCGGTCACGTGCTTGCAGCCGCTGCGCTCCTCCTTCTGCTTGCGCCACTGGCCTTTAGCCCCGCCTCTAGCATGAGGATTGGACAGTGGCCACGTCGTCAGACCCAACCAGCCAGTGCGAAGCGCTGTTTCCCGGAGGCGCACGTTGATTGGTGATATCCCCTCTTTAACACCCATCTCCCCGCCCCTCAGTGCCTGAGCGAGAGGAAGACGCGGGAGCGTCCGAGGAGGGGAGGATCTGGGAGGGGCGGGAGTAGGCCGGGGTTGACCGTTTGGTCCTGGGCGCACTGTCTGGAGCCAGAGTTCCGCCTGAGCCAGGATGCCCGCTGGTGTGACCCCCCCAAATGAATCCCTTCCCAGGTTTAAGACTGGACCCAAAAACTAGAGAATAAAAGGAAATAACGTGCAATGCATGTGAAAAACTATTCAAGGCTGGGCGCCGTGGCTCACGCCTGTAATCTCAGCGCTTTGCGAGGCCGAGGACGGATCATTTCAGGGCAAGAGTTCGAGACGAGCCTGAGCAACATAGCGAGACCCTCCCCAGTCCCCCCGCTCCAACCACCTCTACAAAAAAATAAGAAAATAAGCCGGGCATGGTGCCTCACGCCAGTAATTCCAGCTACTAGGGAGGCTGATGGAGGAGAATCTCTTGAGCTCAGCAGTTGCAGAGTGCAGTGAGCTATTATGGTGCCACTGCACTCCAGCCTGGGTGCCCTTCCTCTAAAAAAAAAAGAAAAGAAAAGGAAAAAAAAGGTACTCAAATGCTACTTTTTTTTTTTTTTGAGTCGGAGTCTCACTCGGTCGCCCAGGTTGCAGTGCAATGGCGCGATCTCTGGCTCAATACAACTTCCGCCTCCCGTGTTCAAGCAATTCTCCTGCCTCAGCCTCGCGAGTAGCTGGGATTACAGGCGCCCACCACCACGCCCGGCTATTTTTGTGTTTTTAGTAGAGATAGGGTTTCACCATATTGGCCAGGCTGGTCTCAAACTCCTGACCTCGTGATCCGCCCGCCTCGGCCTCCCAAAGTGCTGGGATTACAGGCTTGAGCCACCGCGTCCGGCCCTCAAATGCTACTTTTGTGCCTACTCAAGACAGCTCTTTGTTGAAGACAAGAATTTGTTCCCGAAGTGGTTTTTTTGTCCCCAGATTCAGTCCGGGACAATGTGGTGGTAAATAGAATCCCCAGCTAGCCAATGCAGCTGCAATACTGAATATTCATTCCCTACAGGAAAAAATTAGAAACAGTACCTTGGAATGATACACACACACACACACACACACACACACACACACATCACACAATATATGTAAACATTAGAAATTTTTGTTTTAAATAATTTCTAAACCTGTTGCCATATTAATGTGGTGGAGGCTGTGTTAGTGAAATAATATGAAGAATGATTCTAGAAGCCTGGGCAACATAGCAAGACCCCATCTCTAAAAATTTAAAAATTAACCAGGCATGATACTGCACATGTAGTCCCAGCTACCCGGGAGGCTGAGGTGGGAGAATCGCTTGAGCCCAGGAGGTTGAGGCTGCAGTGAGCCATGATCATGCTACTGCACTCAAGACTGGGTAAAAGAGCAAGATTGTCTCAAAAAGCAACAAAAAAATCTGAATATAATAACAATTGTTAAAGTCTGGGTGTCTTTTAAGACTTGTTAGAAACAGCAATTTCAAGGCTGGGCGTGGTAGCTCACACCTGTAATCCCAGCACTTTGGGAGACCAAGGCGGGTGGATCACCTGAAGTCAGGAGTTCGAGACCTGCCTGGCCAACATGGTGAAACCTCATCACTACTAAAAATACAAAACAAACAAACAAAAAAAAAAAAAACTAGGTGGGTGTGGTGGTGCATGCCTGTAATCCCAGCTACTGGGGAGGCTGAGGCAGGAGAATCCTTGAATCCAGGAGGCGAAGGTTGCAATGAGCTGAGATTGTGCCATTGCACTCCAACCTGGGCAACAAGAATGAAACTCCGTCTCAAAAGAAAAAAAAAAGATTTTGATGTAATAAATTATGGTGGCAGTATTCTTGATATTTAACCATCTTTGTGTTTCTGGAATAAAATCTGCTGGAACAAATTATACTACCCATTTGTTTTACTGCTTTATTTAGAATTTTTAAAATCTATTATGATAAATGAGATTGGGCTGTAGTTTCTTTTTGGTATATTCTTTATCTGCTTTTGGTAGAAAGAGCAGGTTGCCAGATAAAATGAATCAGAGAGTTTCCTATCTTTTTTATCTATGGTCTGCAAATCAAACTGGTTGGACCAACTCACACTCCTCTAGCAATGTGTCAGAGTTCCCAGTTATCTCCAGCTCCATTAACACATGGTATTGCCACACTTTTTGTTTTTTGTTTTTTTTTTGAGACAGTCTTGTTCTGTTGCCCAGGCTGGAGTGCAGTGGCGCAATCTCAGCTCACTGCAACCTCCACCTCCTGGTTCCCGGGTTCAAGCAATTCTTCTGCCTCAGCCTCCCGAGTAGCTGGGACTACAGGAGCGCACCACCACACCCAGCTAATTTTTGTATTTTTAGTAGAGATGGGTTTCACCATGTTGGCCAGGATAGTCTTGATCTCTTGACCTCGTGATCTGCCTGCATCAGCCTCCCAAAGTGTTGGGATTACAGGCCTGAGCCACCATGCCCAGCCAGTATTGCCACACTTTTAGGGTAAAGTTTTTGGATATGCGATGGCTTCTCATTGTAGTTTTTATTTGCATTTACCTAAATATTAATGAGGTTGATCACATTTTCAGACAGGTTTGGCTTTTGGGATATCATCTTTTGTGAAGTATCAGTTCAACTTTTTTTTTTTTTTGAGACAGAGTCTTGCTATGTTGCCCAGGCTGGAGTGCAATGGTGCGCTCTTGGCTCACTGCAACCTCCGCCTCCTGGATTCAAGCAATTCCCTTGCCTCAGCCTCCCAAGTAGCTGGGACTACAGGGGCACGTTGCCATCCCGGCTTTTTTTTTTGTATTTTTAGTAGAGACGGGGTTTCACCGTGTTGCCCAGGCTGGTCTTGAACTCCTGAGCTCAGAGCAATCCACCTGCCTCGGCCTCCCAAAGTGCTACGATTACAGGCATGAGCCACTGCAACTGGCTTATTTATTTATTTTTTTTTTGAGATAGTCTTCCTCTGTTGCCCAGGCTAGAGAGCGGTGGTGCGATCTCGGCCCACTGCAACCTCCACCTCCCAGGTTCAAGCAATCCTCCTGCCTCAGCCTCCCGAGTAGCTGGGATTACAGGCACGCACCACCAGGCACGACTAATTTTTTTGGGTTTTTAGTAGAAAGGGGGTTTCACCATGTTGACCATGTTGGCCAGGCTGGTCTCAAACTCCTGACCTTAAGTGATCTACCCACCTCGGCCTCCCAAAGTGCTGGGATTACAGGCATGAGCCACCATGCCGGCCCAGTTCAACTCTTTTCTCATTTTTCTATTGAGTTTGTCTCTCTCTTTTTTTTTTTTTTTTTTTCCCGCCCAGGCTGGCTAGAGTGCAGTGGCGTGATCTCAGCTCACTGCAAACTCCTCCTCCCGGGTTCACATCATTCTCCTGCCTCAGCCTCCCGAGTAGTTGGGACTACAGGCGTCTGCCACCACGCCCGGCTAATTTTTTAGCTCAGGAGTTTGAGACCAGCCTGGCCAACGTGGCCTGTTGTGGGAAGTCAGGGACCCCAAACGGAGGGATTGGCTGAAGCCATGGCAGAAGAACGTGGATTGTGAAGATTTCATGGACATTTATTAGTTCCCCAAATTAATACTTTTATAATTTCTTACGCCTGTCTTTACTGCAATCTCTGAATGTAAATTGTGAAGATTTCATGGACGCTTATCACTTCCCCAATCAATACCCTTGTGATTTCCTATGCCTGTCTTTAATCTCTTAATCCCGTCATTTTGGTAAGCTGAGGAGGATGTATGTCACCTCAGGACCCTGTGATGATTGTGTTAACACAAATTGTTTGTAGAGGATGTGTGTTTGAACAATATGAAATCTGGGCACCTTGAAAAAAGAACAGGATAACAGCAATGTTCAGGGAACAAGAGAGATAACCTTAAACTCTGACTGCCGGTGAGCCGGGTGGAACAGTGCCATATTTCTCTTCTTTCAAAAGCAAATGGGAGAAATATTGCTGAATTCTTTTTCTCAGCAAGGAGCATCCCTGAGAAAGAGAGTGTGTCCCTGAGGGTAGGCCTCTGAAATGGCCGCTTTGTGGGGCGGCCGTCTTTCATGGTCGAAGCTGTAGGGATGAAATAAGCCCCAGTCTCCCGTAGCGCTCCCAGGCTTATTAGGACGAAGAAATTCCCGCCTAATAAATTTTGGTCAGACCAGTTGTCTGCTCAAACCTGTCTCCTGATAAGATGTTATCAATGACAATGCGTGCCCGAAACTTCATTAGCAATTTTAATTTGTCCCGTCTTGTGGTCCTGTGATCTCGCCCTGCCTCCATTTACCTTGTGATATCTTATTACCTTGTGAAGCATGTGATCTCTGTGACCCACACCCTATTCGTACACTCCCTCCCCTTTTGAAAAAATCACTAATAAAAACTTGCTGGTTTTTATTAGTCATCACGGAACCTGCCGACATGTGATGTCTTCCCTGGACACCCAGCTTTAAAATTTCTCTTTTTTGTACTCTGTCCCTTTATTTCTCAGACCGGCCGACTCTTAGGGAATATAGAAAAGAAGCTATGTGAAATATTGGGGGTGAATTTCCCCCGATAGCGGCCAAATCCTGTCTCTACTAAAAATTCAAAAATTGGCTGCACATATTGGCAGGCACCTGTAATCCCAGCTACTCGGGAGGCTCAGGCCTTGAACCTGGGAGACAGAGGTTGCAGTGAGCCAAGATCGCACTACTGCACTCCAGCCCGGATGATAGAGCGAGACTCAGTCTCAAAAAAAAAAAAAAGGAAAAAGTAATAATAAAACCACAGAATGAAGTTAAAGATAACTTTAGGCTGGGCGCAGTGGTTTACGCCTGTAATCTCAGCACTTTGGGAGGCCGAGGCAGGCGGATCACGAGGTCAGGTGTTAAAGACCAGCCTGGCCAACACTTTGAAACCCCGTCTCTACTAAAAATATAAAAATTAGCCAGGCGTGGTGGCATGTGCCTGTAATCCCAGCTACTCAGGTGGCTGAGGCAGGAGAATCGCTTGAATCCGGGAGGTGGAGGTTGCAGTGAATGGAGATCACACCACTGCACTCCAGCCTGGACAACAGAATGTGACTCCTTCTCAAAGAATAGACAAATAAATAAATAAATAAAAAGATAACTTTATTGGTGACTAGGGTTGTGTCAAAAGAACTCAAAGGCCAACTTGAAGAGGCTTCCACTGGACAAAAAAAAAAAAAGAATATTTTGAAATCAATCAGGACAATAACTGCAGTGAATTGAAACATAACAAACATGCCTAAATCCACAAACTTATTTTTAAATTTTTGTTTGTTATTGTTTGTTACAGAGATGAGGTCTCGCTATGTTGCCCAGGCTGCTCTTGAACTCCTGGTCTCAAGTGATCTGTGCCTCAGCCTTGCACAGTGCTGGAATTTCAGGTGTGAGCTGCACTGCCCGGCCACTGAGATCTTAAAATTGGACTTTCATTTCCTTCAACATAGTAAGTGTTACAATCTGTGTCTGATAATTCCAACATCTGGAGTCCTTGTGTGTCTGTGTGTGTCCATGTTTCTGTAGTCTGTTGTTTCTATTGTTCTGGCTGCCCTGCTTTATTACCTGCTTTGTGATATTTGATTGTTTTCTGGACATTTTATTTGAAAAAATACTTTTATGTATACCGTTAAGACCTAAGGCACTATTATCTTACTCTGAACAGTTTCCACTATTAGATATCTAAGGTATTTAACAGTTCAGACACATGGTTTGAAGTTCTGTGGCCACACAGAAAAATTCCTGGGAGTACAGTCTACCCCAACAAACAGAGTAAAATTCTTCAGTTTTCAACCCAGTACAGGGACTGTTACATAGCATCTTCCATTTGGTGAACGTTAAGCTCCAACTCCCATTGTGCTAATGCATGAAAGCCACCAAAAATACATCTCTGCCTTTCAGTGAATGCCCATGGATTAGAGTCTCAACAAACAGCAGAAGATGCTTCTCTAAAGTTTACCTTCCCAGTTGCTGAAGGACTTTCACCCATGTTCACTCTATCTCTCTTGTTTTTTGGACACGGGGTCTCACCTTGTTACCCAGGCTGGAGTGCAGTGTCGCAATCTCAGCTCAATGCAGCCTTGACCTCCCAGGTTCAAGCGATCCTCCTGCCTCAGCCCCCCAAGTAGCTGGGACTACAGGTGCATGCCACCACACCTGGCTGTTTTTTTTTTTTTTTTTTTTTAAAGAGATGGGGTCTTACTATTTTGCCCAGGCTGGTGTAAAACTCCTGGGCTCATGTGATCTTCCCACCTTGGCCTACCACCTGCTGGGATTACAGGCATGAGCCACTGTACCCGGCCCACTCTACTCTTGAGAATGGCAAAAGCCAAGCTTTATGTCTCTGCTGTCTTTACTCACAAATATCCCTGGTTTAGAATCACCCCTAAGCCATCTATTTGAGCTCCAGTCCTTTTCCCTGTTCTCTCCTGATAATTCTTCAGTGTCATACAAGGTCTTTGATGCATTTTAAATATTTTTATTTTATTTTATTTTTTGAGACAGAGTTTCTCTGTGTCACCCAGGCTGGAGTGCAGTGGCACAATCTCGGCTCACTGCAACCTCCACCTCCTGGGTTGAAACGATTCTCCTACCTCAGCCTCCCAAGTAGCTGAGATTGCAGGTGTGCACCAGCATGCCTGGTGAATTTTTGTATTTTTAGTACACATGGAGTTTTGCCATGTTGGCCAGGCTGGTCTCGAACTCCTGACCTCAGGTGATCCACCCGCCTTGGCCTCCCAAAGTGCTGGGATTACAGGTGTGAGCCACTGTGCCCAGCCATAAATATTTTTATTTTAAATCTTTTTTCAGTTGTCTTTATTGGGGGTAGTCAGGCCAAAAGCCACAGTTCATTTGCAGATTGTTCTTTTTTTTCACGCTTAGTAAACAGCATAGACCAACCACACCTTCCTTTATTGGGAAATCTTATCTCATCTTGGCTTTCATAATATCACTTCCTTCAATGCACACGTGAGCAACTTGAAAATGAGGTCCACATGGGATCCATTTTGCTGGTGAGGGTGGTATTAGAGGCACCTGGCCCTCAATAGTGGTGGTAGTTTGCGAGGCTAGACTCCTGGCACAGAAAGGCATGCATCCTTGGTGCAGTGTGAATGACAGCAGGAGTCTCTCCTACCCCAATGAGTAGGGCTGCAGCACTGGGGGTCTGAGCATGATTTTAGGACATAGTTCTTGGAAGATCAGCATTCAAGTTTTCATCTCCATTCTCCTAATACTTATGTGGGCTGCCCAGGATCCTTTTATTAATTCCCTTTATCTGTAATCAGCCAGAATTAGCTTCAGTTTCTTGAGAGGAAAAGCAATGACTAATCAGAGTGTGTGATTGTGCTGCCCCAGTAACTGGCAGCTTCAGTTTCATATGGTGACTGTCATGATTAGAAGTGAGCTATGGGGCAGACACGGTGGCTCACATCTGTAATCTCACCACTTTGGGAGACCAAGGTGGGTGTATCACCTGAGGTCAGGAGTTTGAGACCAGCCTGATCAACATGGAGAAATCCATCTCTACTAAAAATACAAAATTAGCCGGGCGTGGTGGCGCATGCCTGTAATCCCGGCTACTCGGGAGGCTGAGGCAGGAAGGAGAATCACTTGAACCCAGGAGGTGGAGGTTGCGGTGAGCCGAGATTGCGCCATCGTATTCCACCCTGGGCAACAAGAGCGAAACTCCCTCTCAAAAACAAACAAACAACAAAAAAAATGAGCCTGTGAGGGCTGGGCGAAGTGGCTTATGCCTATAATCCCAGCACTCTGGGAGGCCAAGGCGGGCCAGATCACCTGAGGTCAGAAGTTTGAGACCAGCCTGGCCAACATAGAGAAACCCCGTCTCTACTAAAAATACAAAAATTAGTTGGGTGTGGTGGTACGTGCCTATAATCCCAGCTACTCGGGAGGCTGAGGCAGGAGAATTGTTTAAACCCGGGAGGCGGAGGTTGCAGCAAGCTGAGATCACACCATTGCACTCCATAACAAGGCTCTATCTCAAAAAAAAAAAAAAAAAAGTGACCTATGAGGCTCTTTTCCAACTGGAACCATGGAGGGTGTTGAAAAGAAGAAGGTTCCTGCTGTGCCAGAAACCCTTAAGAAAAAGCGAAGGAATTTTGCAGAGCTGAAGATCAAGCACCTGAGAAATAAGTTTGCCTAAAGATGCTTCAAGAGGCCAGGAGGAAGCTTAGGTAGGAAAAAGCGAAGCACTATCACAAGGACTATAGGCGAATGGACAGAACTGAAATTCAAATGGCTAAGATGACAAGAAAAGCTAGCAACTTCTGTGTACCTGCAGAACACAAATTGGCATTGGTCATCAGGATCAGCAGTATCAATGGTGTGAGCCCAAAGGTCCGAAAGGTGTTGCAGCTTCTTCATCTTCCTCAAATCTTCAATGGAACCTTTGTGAAGCTCTACAAGGCTTCAATTAATATGCTGATGCCAGCCACGGTGCTTCACGCTGGTAATCTCAGCATTTTGGGAAGCTGAGGCAGTACGATCACTTGAGGTCAGGAGTTGGAGACCAGCCTGGTCAACATGGTGAAACCTCGTCTCTACTAAAAATAATTAAAAAACAAAAAAATTAGCCGCACATGGTGGTGTGTGCCTGTAGCCTCAGCTACTTGGGAGGCTGAGGCAGGAGAATCGCTTGAGCTCGGGAGGCAGAGGTTGCAGTGAGCCAAGATCGCGCCACTGCGCTCCACCCTAGGTGACAGAGCAAGACTCCATCTCAAACAAACAAACAAAAAACATGCTGAGGATTGTGGAACCATATATTGCATGGGGATACCCAAATCTGAAGTCAGTAATTGAACTAATCTACAAGTGTGGTTATGGCAAAATCAATAAGAAGTGAATTGCTTTGACAGATAACACTTGATTGCTTGATCTCTTGGTAAACATGGCATCACCTACATGGAGGATCTGATTCATAAGATCTATACTGTTGGAAAATGCTTCAAAGAAGCAAATAACTTCCCATGCTCCTTTCAATTATCCTCTCCACGAGGTAGAATGAAGAAAAAGACCACCCATTTTGTAGAAGGTGGAGATACTGGCAACAGAGAGGACCAGATCAACAGACTTATTAGATGAACTAAGGTGTCTACCATGATTATTGTTCTAATGTTTTCAGTTAATAAACAGTAACTGCTCTCAAATTGAGAAAAAAAAAAAAAAAGTCCATGCGCGGTGGCTCACACCTGTAATCCCAGCAGTTTGGGAGGCCAAGGCAGGTGAGTCACGAGGTCAGAAGATCGAGACCATCCTGGCTAACATGGTGAAACCCCGTCTCTGCTAAAAATACAAAAAAAAAAAAAAAATTAGCTGGGCGTGGTGGCGGGTGCCTGTAATCCCAGCTACTCAGGAGGCTGAATCAGGAGGATCGCTTGAACCCAGGAGGTGGAGCTTGCAGTGAGCCAAGATCGCACCACTGCACTCCAGCCTGGGCGACAGAGCGAGACTCCATCTTAAAAAAAAAAAAAAAGAAGTGAGAATACACAGGAAAGGTATGTGACTCAGCCTTTGGGGTTGTGGGAAGAATTCCACAAAAAGGAGATATCTTGGCCAGGCACAGTAGCTCACGCCTGTAATCCCAGCACTTTGGGAGGCCGAGGCAGGTGGATCACCTGAGGTCAGGAGTTCGAGACCAGCCTGGTCAACATGGCGAAACCTCGTCTCTACTAAAAATACAAAAATTAGCTGGGCGTGGTGGCACGTGCCTGTAATCTCAGCTACTGGGGGGGCTGAGGCAGGAGGATTGCTTGAACCTGGGAGGCGGAGGTTGCAGTGAGCCGAGATTGTGCCATTGCACACCAGCCTGGGCAACAGAGCTAGACTCCATCTCAAAAAAAAAAAAAAAAAAAAGGAGATATCTTTTTTGTTGTTGTTGGAGATGGGGTCTCACCCTTTTGCCTAGGCTGAAGTGAAGTGTAGTGGCTCAATCTCGGCTCACTGCAACCTCCACCTCCTGGGTTCAAGCGATGCTCCAGCCTCAGCCTCCCGAGTAGCTGGGAGTAGGTGCGCACCACCGTACCAGCTAATTTTTGTATTTTTAGTAGATGTGGGGTTTCACCATGTTGACTAGGCTGGTTTTCAACTCCGGGCCTCAACTGATCTGCCCGCCTCAGCCTCCCAGAGTGCTGGGGATTACAGGCATGAACCATCGTGCCCCACCCAAAGGGGAGATATCTAAGCTGCGTTCTCAAAGAGGACTTTGTGTCAGCCAGGTACAGAGTGTCAGAAGGGCACTCACGGCTGGGGAACAGAGATGCCCAGGTATAACATAAATCACACAGAAAAATGTTTGAGTTGGGGATGGGATGAGGCAAGAGGTGAGGCAGCAGAATAAAGCAAGAAGGTCCCCAAGGACTTCATACACCGGGCTCAGATTTGTGCATTATAATTTCTAAAAATGGCTTCAGATAAAACTGAACAATTCATTTCTCCCAAAGCATCTCAGCTGAAGCTCAGGCTTTATTTTGTAAAAAAGGTTTGTACATTTTGGAAGGCTGATTTCCTGGCAGATGGGACTAACGCGCTTCAGGAAGGTGTAGGTTTCTAGACACACGAAGTTACTTCCTGGACTAGCAGCAGGGCTAAGAGCCAGTGACTTGCAATATATACCCTAGGGGAAAGCAGGTGCCTGTCACCACCTAGATATGGCTTCAGGTGAAGATTTTTGTGTGTGTGTGTATTCAGCTCCCAACCTTGTTTGATCACTCAATGGAACAGGTAGCTGAATGTGACCACAGCTTATGATGGAACCTACTGACCTGGAAAGAAACCAGCATGCTGAACCACTACCTTATAAACCCTTGAGCACAACCTTCCTCCCTCAGTTTTTGCAACAATGACCCTACTTTACCCTCAGGGACTCTATTATCTCAAGTTTTCTCCAAACAACTCTACTTTCGTCTTTGTACCTTGTATTAATATTTTAGTTAACAGGACTTTTTCTCCAGACAAATTTGTATCTTACCTTACAGGGAAATAAAACATTTTACTTTTGGCACTAGAAAAAAATATGTAAATATATGTGTTTAAAAAAAAAAAAAGTGGGCCGGGCGTGGTGGCTCACGCCTGTAATCCCAGCACTTTGGGAGGCCAAGGCGGGCGGATCACAAGATCAGGAGATCGAGACCATCCTGGCTAACACGGTGAAACCCCGTTCCTACTAAAAAATACAAAAAATTAGCCGGGTGTGGTGGCAGGCGCCTGTAGTCCCAGCTACTCCAGAGGCCAAGGCGAGAATGGCGCGAACCCGGGAGATGGAGCTTGCAATGAGCCGAGATTGCGCCACTGCACTCCAGCCTGGGCGACAGAGTGAGACTCCATTTCAAAAAAAATAATTAAAAAAAAAAAAAGAAAGAACAAATTTTAAAAAGCAAGAAAACATCTTATAACCTTTAGTGTTGGCCTTGCTGCTAGAAAACGTAAGTCTAAACATATTGCTGTGGCCGGGTGCAGTGGCTCACCTGTAATCTCCGCACTTTGGGAGGCCGAGGCAGGCGGATTACCTGAGGGCGGGAGTTCCAGACCAGCCTGACCAATATGGTGAAACCCTATCTCTACTAAAAATAAAAAAAATTAGCCAGGCATGGTGGCATGCGCCTTAGTCCCAGCTATTTGTGAGGCTGAGGCAGGAGAATCACTTGAACCCAGGAGGTGGAGGCTGCAGTGAGCCAAGATCGCGCCACTGCACTCCAGCCTGGGCGACAGAGGGAGATTCCGTCCCAGAAAAAAAATAAATAAAATAAAAAACATATTGGTCACATGAAGCAACTTTTTAATTTTTTAATTGTTTATTTTTTTGAGATGGGGTCTTGCTCTGTTGCCTAGGCTGGAGTGCAGTGGTGCAATCATAGCTTACTGCAGCCTCCAACTCCTGGGCTCAAGTGATCCTCCCACTTCAGCCTCCTGAGTAACTGAGACTACAGATGTGCGCCCCCATGCCCAGCTAATTTTTGTATTTTTTGTAGTAATAGGGTCTCACTTTGCTGCCAGGCTGGTCTCAAACTCCTGAGCTCAAGCCATAGAGCTCAATATACCATCCATCCCTGCATAATTTCTTTATATACTTAGGTACTGCCTTCAAGTCCAGTTTCTTTCTAGAAAGCAGAGAAACGCAACCCTCTCCCCAGGGCATTGCTTTCTTCTACAGATATCCAGTAGAAAAGGCTTTCTGGGCTGGGCGTGGTGGGTCACACCTGTAAATCCGACCTTTGGGAGGCCAAGGCGGGCGGATCACTTGAGGTCAGGAGTTTGTGACCAGCCTGGCCAACATGATGAAACCCCATCTCTACCAAAAACACAAAAATTAGCTGGGTGTGGTGGCGTGTGCCTATAATCCCAGCTCTTCAGGAGGCTGAGGCAGGAGAATCGCTTGAACCCGGGCGGCGGAGGTTGCATGGCGCCACTACACTCCAGTCTGGGTGACACAATGAGACTCCGTCTCAAACAAACAAACAAACAAAAATGCTTTCTGGTGGGTGAGTGGGAGGAGGAGGTGATTATTCTTTTCCTGGGGGTCTGGACCATTAAGTTCCACAGTCATTAGGTTCCTCTTGCCGGCAGCCTTATTCCTTCTTTGCGCTTGCATTCCCAGACTCTACATTTACTCTACTAAGAAGTGTGGTTCTCTCCTTCCTCAGGCAGCTGCCTTTCTCCCCACTGAACTTCCTTCTGGGTGCTTGACCAGCCACATCTTCCACACATTTTCAGATGCTGTACTTTGGCAGTAGGTGAAACATCACCAGGACGCTACCCTGTGAGTTTTTTATGAAAAGAGGACACAAGGCTTTGGGGACTTACAGAGGGAGGGGAGCAAGGGTTGAGGAGTATCCTGCAATGGGGGAAGGGGATTTAAATTTCAGAAAGAAAATGTAGGCAGGGGAAACAGACACATGGACAGACTCAGGTTTAGGGAGCAGTGTATTTCTTCTATTTGTCAAGCAATCAGTATGGATTAAAATCATGATCTGGGGCTGGGCACAGTGGCTCATGCCTGTAATCCCAGCACTTTGGGAGGCCAAGGCGGGCAGATCGCCTGAGGTCATGAGTTCGAGACCAGCCTGGTCAACATGGTGAAACCCCATCTGTACTAACAATACAAAAATTAGCTGGGCGTGGTGGTGGGCACCTGTAATCCCAGCTACTCGGGAGGCTAAGGCAGGAGAATTGCTTAAACCTGGACAACGGAGGTTGCAGTGAGCTGAGATCACGCCACGCCACTGCACTCCCGCCTGGGCAACAGAGCTAGACTCCGTCTCAAAAAAAAAAAAAAAAAAAAAAAAAATATATATATATATATATATATATATAATTTATAAAATAAAATTTAAAAAAATAAAAAATACAAAAATTAGCCAGGCATGGTGGCATGCACCTGTAGTCCCAGTCTGGCGGCTGAGGCAGGAAAATTGTTTGAGGCAGAGGTTGCAGTGAGCCGAGATGGTGCCACTGCACTCTAGCCTGGGCTACAGAGAGAGACTCTGTCTCAGAAAAAAAAAAAAAGAAGACGACAATGAAAATTCAGACTTAGAAAAAAAGCATTCATGCTGGGCATGGCAGCTCAAGTCTGTAATCCCAGTACCCTGGGAGAGACTCTGTCTCTACAAAAAATCAAAAAATTAGCTGGGCATGGTGGCAAGTGCCTGTGGTCCCAGCTACTTGGGAGTCTGAGGTGGGAGGATCACTTGAGTCTGGGAGGTCGAGGCTGCAGCAAGCTATGATCACCCCCACTGCACCAGCCTGGGTGACAGAGTGAGATCCTGTCTCAAAAAAAAAAAAAAAAAAAAAAGGTAAAAGGAAGAAAGAAAAAAAAAGAAAAGGATCAACTGAGTGGTAGGATGTCTGGAATTTATTTATTTACTTATTTATTTTTTTGAGACAGAGTCTCACTCTGTCGCCCAGGCTGGAGTACAGTGGCATGATCTTGGCTCACTGCAAGCTCCGCCTCCCGGGTTCACGCCATTCTCCTGCCTCAGCCTCCCAAGTAGCTGGGACTACAGGCGCCGGCCACCACGCCCGGCTAATTTTTTGTATTTTTAGTAGAGACGGGGTTTCACTGTGTTAGCCAGGATGGTCTCGATCTCCTGACCTCATGATCCGCCCGCCTCAGCCTCCCAAAGTGCTGGGATTACAGGCGTGAGCCACCGTGCCTGGCCGGATGTCTGGAATTTCTAAGAGATGATGGTCTGAATTCCTGGGTTTTCCCTTAGCCCCAAAAACTAAATGCTGAGAAGGACAAAAACTCCCAATTAAAGGTGGGGCTGCAGGGAGAGAAATTGGAGAGTAGACAGCAGTTGCTTTTTCTTTTTTTTTTTTTTTTTAGACAGAGTCTCATTCTGTTGCCCAGGCTGGAGTGCAGTGGCACATTCTCGGCTCACTGCAACCTCCGCCTCCCGGGTTCCAGCAATTCTCCTGCCTCAGCCTCCCGAGTAGCTGGGATTACAGGCGCACACCACCACGCCCAGCTAATTTTTGTATTTTTAGTAGAGACAGGGTTTCACCATGTTGGCCAGGCTGGTCTCTAGTTGCAGGAAAACAAGCTCAGGGCTCCCACTGATTCTACATGATGATGAGTTGTAGAATTATTTCATTATATATTACAAACACTGCTGAACACAGCTTCTAATTATTTAATCATGCAACTGGAAACTTCAAAAACTGCCATTATTGATATACATCTTCTACATTGATGGTTTCTTACTGATCCTTGGATTAAAATTTTTTTTTTTTTTTTGAGACAGAGTCTCGCTCTGTCACCCAGGCTGGAGTGCACTGGCACAGTCTCAGCTCACTGCAACCTCCACCTCCCGGATTCACGCCATTCTCCTGCCTCAGCCTCCTGAGTAGCTGGGACTACGGGCACCCGCCACCATGCCCGGCTAATTTTTTGTATTTTTAGTAGAGACAGGGTTTCACCATGTTAGCCAGGATGGTCTCCATCTCCTGACCTCGTGATCTGCCTATCTCGGCCTCCCAAAGGGCTGGGATTACAGGCATGAGCCACCGCGCCTGGCCTGGATTTTAAAAATTTTCTACCTGGGGTCTTGAGCACAGGTCCGATGTCTAATAAACAACTTCAAGCTTCATGGCCAGGCACGGTGGCTCACGCCTGTAATCCCAGCACTTTGGGAGGCCAAGGCGGGTGGATAATTTGAGGTCAGGAGTTCAAGACCAGCCTGGCCAACATGATGAAACCCCATCTTTACTAAAAATACAAAAATTAGGCGGGCGTGGTGGCGTGTGCCTATAATCCCAGCTACTCAGGAGGCTGAGGCAGGAGAATTGCTTGAACCTGGGAGGTGGAGGCTGCACTGAGCCGAGATTGCACCAAAGCACTCCAGCCTGGGCGACAGAGACTCCGTCTAAAAAAAAAAAAAAAAAAGTACACCAAACTAATGCTGATCTCATCTGGCAGAGGTCACTCTGCTCTGCCCTCCGAGAGTGGAATACTGTGCTTAATACAGTTTTGCTGCTTTGCTTTGCTATCTGTTTGTGTCTCGTCCAATTCTTTGTTCGGGACACCAAGAGCCTGGAATTGCACGGCACCATCTGGTAACACTTTCCCAGTTCTCCCTTTGATCTGTGCATTTATGCAGCTTTGCCCTTTGTGATCTGTCTATCTTCTCTGGCATCTCTCCCTCTTTTTAGCCCACTGTGCAAGGAATCCCCAGGACCTCAGAGATCCACTTTCATTAGCTACTCCCTAACTCAGCGCCTCTCTTTCTTCTGTGTGTAAACAAGCTCCTTGTTCTACGTCTAGGATGGAGATGGTAGAAGCAGGGTTGCCAACAGAGGAGATAGGAGGGGAAAGGGGGATTTACTCCAGGTTTTGAGGCACAGAGAAGGAAGGGTTTGTCAGGGGTAGGGAGAGCTGGAGACCAGGGAGTTGGAGGCAAGCCTAGACTCCCCTCTGGTGGCAAGGGGAGGGTGTGCAGGTGCACCAGTGAGGATCAGGAGACAGAGATGCGAGTTATTCTCTGTGGGATTTAGCAAAACCCACAGACATACAGTTGTTTTTTGTTTGTTTGTTTTTTGAGATGGAGTCTCCCTCTGTCATCCAGGCTGGAGTTCAGTGGCACAATCGACTCACTGCAACCTCCACTTCCCGTGTTCAAGCGATTCTCCTACCTCAGCCTCCCGAGTAACTGGGATTATAGGTGCATGCTACCACGCCGAGCTAATTTTTGTATTTTTAGTAGAGATAGGATTTCACCATGCTGGCCAGGCTGGTCTCGGACTCCTGACGTCAAGTGACCCACCCCCCTCAGCCTCCCAAAGTGCTGGGATTACAGGCGTAAGCCACCACGCCCAGCCACAGACATATAGTTTTAAACACAAGAAGGGACCTGCAGATGTGTTTGGTGGTGGCTTAGACACTAGGCTTTGGGTCAGAGCCAGTATAAGACCGTATATGCCAGTATAAGTGGAGCACCTGCTGGAGACCTACCAGCAAGAGGAGGATTATGTTTGGTGAACCAAAACCTCCTTCCAGGCTGGGCGCAATGGCTCATGCCTGTAATCCCAGTACTTTGAGAGGCCAAGGCGAGAGAATCACTTGAGCCCAGGCAACACAGTGAGACCCCATCTCTATAAAAAATAAAATAAAAAATTAGCCAGGCATAGTGTTGTGTACCTGTAGTCCCAGCTACTCTAGAGTATGAGGTGGAAGGATTGCTTTAGCCTGGAAGTTCAAGACCAGCCTGGGCAACACGGTGACACCTCATGGCTACATAAATTTTATTTATTTATTTATTTATTTATTTATTTATTTATGAGATGGAATCTTGCAGGTATGAGCCACTGTGCCCGGCCCAAGACTCTGTCTCTAAAAAAAGAAAGGAAGGAAGGAAGAGAGAGAGAGAAGAAAGAAAAAGAAAGAAAGAAAGAAAGAAAGAAAGAAAGAAAGAAAGAAAGAAAGAAACAAAGAAACAAAGAAAGAAAGAAAAGAAAGAAAAGGAAAAGGAAAGAAAAGGGCCCGGCGCGGTTGCTCAAGCCTGTAATCCCAGCACTTTGGGAGGCGGAGGCGGGCGAATCACGACATCAGGAGATCGAGACCATCGTGGCTAACACGGTGAAACCCCGTCTCTACTAAAAATACAAAAATTAGCCGGGTGTGGTGGCGGGCGCCTGTAGTCCCAGCTACTCGGGATGCTGAGGCAGGAGAATGGCGTGAACCTGGAAGGCAGAGCTTGCAGCGAGTCGAGATCGCGCCACTGCATTCCAGCCTGGGTAACAGAGCGAGACTCCGTCTCAAAAGAAAAAAAGAAAGAAAGAGAGAAGCGGGGAGAGAAAGAGAGAGAGAAAGAAAGAAAGAAAGGAAGGAAGGAAGGAGAGAAAAAGAAGGAAAGAAGGAAAGAGAGAAAGAGAGAAAGAAAGAGAGAAAGAAAGAAAAAGAAAAGAAAAGAAAAGAAAAGAAAAGAAAAGAAAAGAAAAGAAAAGAAAAGAAAAGAAAAGAAAAGAAAAGAAAAGAAAAGAAAAGAAAAAGGAAAGAAAGAGGCTGCTGCGCTCCCGGGAGAGGGACGGCAGTCGAGACGGCTGCTGCTCCGCGGGCCTGCAGAAGGGGGCGCCAAAGATCACGAAAGTTAACAGCTGCCGCTCGGATGCCTGGAGGTAGTGGGGCCGGGGCGAAGTACCCAGGTAGGGGGGCTAAGCTGGAGGCTCCTGCAGCGCCTTCTCTTACCGGATGCCGGTCCCTGGAGGCTCCAAGCAGCTTTTCGTCCGGGAAATTTCCAGTGGCACTCAGTCCTCAACCTGAGAACTTAGCACTAGGAAACTCTGGTCTTTCCAGTCTAATGCGTATGCTCTCTTTGGTTAGAAAAGAAAAACCACGTGTCCCTTTTGCATTGGTCGATTGGAAATCAATCTATTATTCATTGCAGGAGCCGCCTCAGAATGCCATGAAGAGGTAAAGTCCACCTCTGTAGCGAGATTGCCTGGGTTGGAATCTCTGCTCTGCCAGTTACTCTTTGCCAATAACTTTCAGGGTCTTGACCTGTTGCCCATGCTGGAGTGCAGTGATGCAATCATGGCTTCACTGCAGCCTCCAACTCCTGGGCTCAAGTGATCCTTCTGCCTCAGCCTCCCAAGTAGCTGGGGCTGCAGGTGGGCTCCACCAAGCCCAACTAATTTTTTTTTTCTTTTTTTAGAGTTGGGGTTTTGCTATGTTGCCCAGGCTGGCCTCAAACTCCTGGGCTCAAGCAATCCTCCCACCTCAGCTTCCCAAAGCTCTGGGATTACAGGTGTGAGCCACCTCACCCAGCCACTAATTACTATTTATGTCATCTCTGTTGACTTAAGGTCAAGTCACTTAACCACTCAGCACTTCAGTATTTTCTTATTTGTGAAAAGGAATAATAGGCCAGGTGTGGCAGCTCAACATCTGTAATCCTAGCACTTTGGGAGGCTGAGGCAGCTGGATCACCTGAGGTCAGGAGTTCAACCAGCCTGGCCAACATGGCAAAACCCCATCTCCGCTTAAAAAAAAAAATACAAAAAGCCAGGCGCAGTGACTCACGCCTGTAATCCCAGCACTTTGGGAGGCTGAGGTGGGTGGATCGCCTGAGGTCAGGAGTTCGAGACCAGCCTGGCCAACATGGTGAAACCCTGTCTCTACTAAAAATAGAAAATTTAGCTAGATGTGGTGGTGTGCGCCTGTAGTCCCAGCTACTCGGGTGGCTGAGGCACAAGAATCGCTTGAACCCAGGAGGCGGAGGTTGCAGTGAGCTGAGACTGTGCCACTGTATTCCAGCCTGGGCAACAAGAGTGAAACTCCGTCTCAGAAAAAAAAAAAAAATGTAGCTGGGCACGGTGGCAGGCACCTGTAATCCCAGCTACTCGGAAGGCTGAGGCAGAGAAGTGCTTGAACCCAGGAGGCGGAGGTTGCATTGACCGAGATCGAGCCACTGCACTCCTCCAACCTGGGCAACAGAGTGAGACTCTGTGGAAAGAAAGAAAGAGACAGAGAGAGAGAGAGAAAGGAAAGAAAGAAAGAAAGATAATAATAGTACTTAGCTCAGAGCTGCGATGAGGAACAAATAAGTTAATGGATGGGGCTGGGCACGGTGGCTCACGCCTGTAACCCCAGCAGTTTGGGAGGCTGAAGGCTGAAGTGGAAGGATCACTTAAGCCCAGGAGTTCCAGGTCACAGTGAGTTTTGATTGCACCACTACACTCCAGCCTGGGTTACAGAGCAAGACTCAGTCAATAATAATAATAATAATAATGTACAGAAAGTGCTTAGAGCAAGTAGAACTGGTCTGCTCTGTGAGCTCTTAGGATCTCACTTCAGGCATCTGTTGCTGTTTCACCCCGCCCTACTCTGTGCCAGAGGTTGTCCAAGGTGCTGGAGGTCCCAAGCATAGGAGAGCCAGGCAGGTGTGGCCCCATCCCATGCCCATGGGAGCAATCCGGCTGCTGAAAGAAAACAGATATTAAATCATCACACTTGGGGAAGGGCACAGTGGCTCATGCCTGTAATCCCAGCAAAAAAAAATGCAGAGGGCCTGAGAAGGTAGGATCTTTTTAGGTCAGGAGTTCAAGACCAGCCTGGGCAACACAGTGAGACCATTTCTGAAAAAAAATGAAAAAAAAAAATTAGCTGATAGCCAGGCATGGTGGTTCATACCTGTAACCTCAGCACTTTGGGAGGCTGAGATGGGCAGATCACTTGAGGCCAGGAGTTTGAGACCAGTGTGGCCAACATGGTAAGACCCTTTCTCTACTAAAAATATAAAAATTAGCTGGACATGGTAGTGTGAGCCTGTAATCCCAGCTGCTGGGAAGGCTGAGGCACAAGAACCAATTGAACCCAGGAGGCAGAGGTTGCAGTGCAGTCTGCAGTACAAGATTGTGCTATTGCATTGCAGCCTGTGGGGACAGAGTGAAACCGTGTTTCAAAAAAAAAAAAAAATTAGTGGGGCATAGTGGCACTTGCCTGTCATCCCAGCTACTTGGGAGGCTGAGGCAGGTGGATGGCTTAAGCTGGAGGCTGCAGTGAGCTATGACTGCACAACTGCACTCTAGCCTGTGTGACAAAAAAATATGAACAAATACATAAGTCAGGTGACTAAGGGGTCATCTTTATGCCCTGTACCTTCTCTCAGCAACCTCCATCCTATAAGAAAGGGGCAATTGGCCAAAGTATGCCTCTGCTGTAGTTGTAGATTACCATGTTTGCACGATTATCATTGTCAATGCTTCACATTTACACTAGGGCACTATGATTTTCAATGCAGTTTCCATTTTTATTTTGGAGGCCCCTCCCACGAACCTTCTCCCATTTTACTGAGGCCCAGGGAGAATGCACAGGGAGCTGAGCCCCTCCTTTGATCTTAGTTTGGTGGCAGAGACAGGCAGTGATACTGACGATGTGATGGCAGTGTCAGGTGCACTCTGTCTTCACTAGAAAACTGGCCTCCTGGAAGGGCTGGAAGCTCCCACCCTTGACTGCTCTGACTCTGTCTCCAGCAGCTCTTCGCTGTTAGGGCTTCCCTGACAAGAGTGCAGTCCCTCTCGAGGCTGATTAGTGCAGGGCGGGCTCCTCGTCTCCGACCACCGGCTCCTGCTGGCTGTTCCCTCCACCCTCCGTCTCGGGCTGCGAGGCTTCCCTTAACACTCGAAAGGGGGGCCCGTGACCAGGTACGACCACGTCGGCAACGACCAGGACCCTCTTCCGGCTCCGCTCCTGGGCTGCGGGGTCTTCACTCAGTGCCTGCCACGAATCCTCGTCCCCATCTCGCTCAAACACATCTCCCGCCACCACCACGGTGCCCAGAGCCGTGCCGGCCACCACCACGCTCACGTCGCGCTGGCCCCCGTGGCCCGGCGTGGCCCACACCTCGAGCCCCGGGCCCAGGCGCAGGGGCTGCCCCTCACCCAGCCCGTGGGGCAGGTAGCGGCCTCCGGGAAGGCAGAAGTCGTGCGAGACCAGCAGAGCCGCGCCTGGGAACAGCCCCAAGTTCCCGATGTGATCCGAGTGCCCGTGGGTCCCCACCACTAGCGTCACGTCTCCCGGGGCCACGCCCTGCCCCGCCAGCGCCCCCAGCAGCGCCTCCCGAGCCCAGGGGCCCCCGGTGTCCACCAGGATGGGGCCACGGGCCGCCTCCTCCAGGGCGGCCTCTGCGCCGCCACTCCCGCGCGGGGACTCTCGGTGGCTGGAGGCCGGGCCCCGGGTCTGGGGTAGGACCAGGGTCACGGAGCCGTCGGCGCGCACGGCATCGCCCACACCCTCTGGCTCCGCGTAGCCCTGCAGCAGAACCACCACAGAGTAGGGGTCGCCGGGCACCAGCAGAGGGGATGCCCCGCACAGCGGCTCGGTCCGCATGAGGCTGCTCCTGGCAGGGAGGGACGGGCTGGGGAGAAAGGAAATGGAGCAGTGGGCGACCGTCCTGTCCCTCCGCGATCCCCCACCCGCGCTCGGCCCCGCCACTGCCCCTAAGCCTCGGTTCTCTGCCACCCGCCTCCCATTAAGTTGGTATCACCCTCAACCCCTGCCCAAAATGGTATCGCCCAGACTCCCTTCACACTTGGGCCCGCCCCTCCCTCGGCGTCCTCGGCCCCCGCCCCATTCCGTTCGCGGTACGTACGTCCTTGCCCGTCACCCTCCAAAGGCTATCCTTTATGTTTCCCTCCATCGAATCCTAGCCGCGCTCTACCTTGGGCCTCTGCTAGGTCTTGCCTCACTCGAAGAAAGCGCAGAAATCGAAAACGCGGGTGAGAGTTTGTCCTCTGCGGTTCCCGTGTACCCAGATATGGCGGCCGAAGCGGCGCCGCGGAGGTAGCTGTAGTTCCGGCGCCTTCACCGTGTGCCCGAGGAGGCTGCCTGGCTGGGCTCCAGCCTCCTGGCGGTTCTCCGCTCCGCAACCCCAGCAACTTCTTTGCACTGCAGAATTTTGAAGCGCCATTAGCTTTGAGGAGGGTTCATGCTCAGTTGCCCAGGCAGGAGTGCAGTGGCGCGATCATACCTCACTGCAGCCTCAACCTCCTGGGCTCATGTGATCCTCCCGCCTCAGCGTCCCGAGTATCTGGGACCACAGATGCGCACCACCAAGCCCAGCTAAGGTTTCTATTTTTTCTTTCTCTTTTTTTTTGGAGACACGGTCTAGTTCTGTTGCCAGGACTGGTCTGGAACTCCTGGGCTCCAGCGATCCTCCAGTCTTGGTCTCCTGAAGTGCTAGGATTACAGGTGTGAGCCACCGCGCCTGGTCTTTTTTTCTTTTGAGACAGTCTCGCCCTGTCGCCCAGGCTAGAGTGCAGGGGCACCATCATAGCTCGCCCCAGTCTTGAACCCCTGGTTCTAGCGATCCTCCTGCTTCAGCCTCCTGGAGTGCTGGGAATACAGGCGTGCACGCCCCTCTAAATTTTTTTTGGTTTTTTTTGAGACGGAGTCTTGTTCTGTCGCCCAGGCTAGAGTGCAGTGGCGTGATCTCAGCTCACTGCAACCTCCGCCTCCTGGGTTCAAGCGATTCTCCTGTCTCAGCCTCCCGAGTAACTGGGATTACAGGCGCCCACCACCATGCGTGGCTTTTTTTTTTGAGACGGAGTCTCGCTCTATCACCCAGGCTGGAGTGCAGTGGCACGATCTTGGCTCACTGCCAGCTCCGCCTCCCGGGTTCCCGCCATTCTTCTGCCTCAGCCTCCCGAGTAGCTGGGACTGCAGGCGCCTGCCACCACACCCGGCTAATTTTTTGTATTTTTAGTAGAGACGGGCTTTCACCGTATTAGCCAGGATGGTCTCGATCTCCTAATCTTGTTATCCACCCGCCTTGGCCTCCCAAAGTGCTGGGATTACAGGCGTGAGTCACCGCGCCCAGCCGCCCGGCTAATTTTTGTATTTTTGGTAGAGACGAGGTTTCTCCATGTTGGCCAGGCTGCTCTCGAACTCCTACACTCAGGTGATCCGCCTGCCTCGGCCTCCCAAAGTGCTAGGATTACAGGTGTGAGTCACTGCGCCCAGCCTCCAGGCTGGTCTTGACCTTTTGGACTCAAGTGATCCTCCCATCTCCACCTCTGCAGTAACTGGGACTACAGGCGCTGCACCACCAGCCCTGCAGTCTTCTTTGTGTGTGTGTGTGTGTGTAGAATTGGGGTTTCACTATGTTGCTCAGGCTGGAGCTTGAGCTTAACAAGACAGCGGCCATTCTGGGTGCTGCCTCATCGACCAGCTAGCTATGTGTGCCCGGCTGTTGTTTGAAACTTTGGGCCCAGCTAGTTTTTAGAAAAAAAGAAAAAAGTTTAATAGCGATATAGAAAATTGAGCACCTATAAAACTATATGGTGGGCTCTGGGTTACATTGAGCTTAAGTAGACCAAGTATCTATCCCACCTAAATTATCAGCAACTCCAGGCCATGACCCAGTGTCCCATTCTCCTTCACGGTTTGCTGGTGTGTAGCCTCCTGGATACAGGCAATGTATATAGATCGCAGAGAATGTCCGTTCTGGCCTCTTCCTTGGAAGGGTCTAAAAACAGACCTTAAGGAGCTAAGTGACTTCCCCAAAGCCCACAGCTCCAGTGCCACTGCTGACTTTTGGGTGGGGGTGGGATCAGTTAAAGAGGAAAGCTTTCAGTACTGTCAGCACATACACCTGCCAATTAAGGGGCTGGATAGAGTTCATCTCTAGGAGCAGGACCTCCACCCCCACCCTCCACCCCAGAAGCCATGTCATGCTGTTTCACCAGGATCTTGCCTGAGGTTAGATGGGAGAGAACAGCTACAAGCTTGGGTGGAGTCACTCATAAACACACCCTGAAAGCTGTGGAGCAGGGAGAGTGCAGGCTTTAGAGGGCTCTCCATGATCCCTTCCCCTCCTGGGGGCTCAAAGGCAAGGGTCAAAGATCTTCTCGGTCAAGTTTGGGGTGGCTTCCTGTCTTGGTCATCTTGTCTCCCCCTTCCTCTTCCTCCTCTTCCTCCTCCTCCTCCTGCTCTTCCTCCCCTTCTGTTTTCTCTTCCCCATCTGTGATCTCCTTTCCAGTCCAAGTTTCCTGTAGACATGCTAGATCGGATGACAGAAAACAATTTAGATATTAGTCCTGGAGGCAGGGGAGGCTATGGCTTGGCAGGAGAGGAGTTCAACCCTTACGCTTACCAGTTTCAGCAGCTGGGAGCACATGACCTTCACAGAGAAAATTTTGTAGGGGCTGCTCCTGATGGTGGAAGTACCAGTCTCCCACAATGTCTTCAAACTCCTCCAACATGGTCTCACACTGGTCAAGTAGAAGGGCCAGAAGAGTATCTGCTCTGGAGGGATTTGGGATCCCGCCTGTCTTCTCTCCCTGCTCAACCTGACTGATTTTGGAGAGGCAGGTAGCCAGGAAGCTAAGTTTGGCCTACTAGATGTGCAATCCTCATTCATTCAACAAACATTTACCAGCACCTATTCTGCCAAGTAGATTATTAAACTCTTGAGTCTCAGCTCCTTGCCTGTAAAATATGTATGGTAATTGCACCTACCACATCAGGCTGTTAAGGGTAAAATGAGGCTACAGATGCAAAGTATCTGGTCCAGAGTCTGGGACACAGTAGGTGCTCAATAAGTGATGGTGGATATCATTAGCAACCATTGTTACTTTTTTTTTTTTTTGAGATGGAGTCTCGCTCTGTCACCCAGGCTGGACTGCAGTGGTGGGATCTCAGCTCACTGCAACCTCCGCCTCCCGGGTTCAAGTGATTCTCCTGCCTCAGCTTCCTGAGTAGCTGGGACTACAGATGCATGCCACCACACCACCACGCCCGGCTAATTCTTGTATTTTTAGTAGAGACAGGGTTTCACTATGATGGCCCGGCTGGTCTTGAACCCCTGATGTCGTGATCCGCCTGTCTCGCCCTCCCAAAGTGCTGGGATTACATACGTGAGCCATCGCACCTGGCCCATTATTACTTTTTAAAAATTTTCCTTAAGGCAGGGCCCAATGGCTCATGCCTGTAATCCCAGCACTTTGGGAGGCCAAGGCGGGTGGATCACCTGAGGTCAGGAGTTCGACCAGCCTGGCCAACATGATGAAACCCCGTCTCTACTAAAATTACAAAAAATTAGCTGGGCGTGGTGGCAGGGGCCTGTAATCCCAGCTACTCGGGAGGCTGAAGCAGGAGAATGGCTTGAACCCGGGAGGCGGAGGTCGCGGTGAGCCGAGATGGTGCCGGTGCACTCCAGCCTGGGCAATAAGAGTGAAACTCCGTCTTGAAAAAAAAAATTCTTTAAAATTATTATTATTTGTAGAGAAGGGGGTCTCTTATGTTGCACAAGCTGGTCTCTAACTCTGGTCTCAAACAGTCCTTCTCCCTCAGACTCACTAAGTGCTAGCATTACAGTTGTGAGCCACTCCACCCGGCTCATTATGATTTCTTTTTTTTTGTTTTTGTTTTTGTTTTTTTTTTTAAGATGGAGTCTTGCTCTGTCGCCCTGGCTGGAGTGCAATGGTGCGATCTTGGCTCATGGCAACCTCCACCTCCTGGATTCAAGCAATTCTCTTGCCTCAGCCTCCCAAGTAGCTGGGATCACAGGCGTGCACCACCACGCCCAGCTAACTTTTGTGTTTTTATTAAAGACGGGGTTTTGCCTTGTTGGCCAGGCTGGTCTCGAACTTATGACCTCAGGTGATCCACCTGCCTCAGCCTCCCAAATTGCTGGGATTACAGGTGTGAGCCACCGCACCCCACCGCTCCTGGACCCACTTTAATCAATGGCACAGTCCTCACTCTGGCCCCTTCCCCATGCTTAGGGGTAGACATCCCCTATAGTCAAACCCTAGAACCTAGCTCCCCTCTCAGGTTCCCTTCTCACCTCCCTGGATGGTGCAGTGTCTTATCCTACCTGCTTCTTGAGGTATGTGACCTCCACGCTGGGCTCATCCCAAAGCTCCAGAGGGATCCCCAGATCCACCTTCACCCCCTTCTGCACTAGGCCTTTCAGTGTTGCCATGGTCTGACTCTGACCCTGAGAGATTAAGAATTTGGCATCAGCCCAGCTCACCACCCCACCCCTCCCTTCCCCTTTCTGCCATTTCAGTTTTGTCAACTACTGGAGATTCAAGGGTGAGTTCCATGATGGTGAGATGATGGGCAGATAACCTCTGGAGGGCCTCAGGGGATACAGATCTTTGTATCTGAGAAGTGGGGTCCTGCCCTGGGGAAGGGTCTGACCTTGGCATATCTCAGTGAGCCCTTGCGCTCAGCGTGAACACTATAGTCCAGGATCCGCTCACATAAATTCTCTAAGGCCTCTTCCAGCCTTGTCTCTCTGTGGAAAGAGAGGAAACAAAGATTCCCTGGATGCTGTAGGAACTCCCAGGGCTCCGTTGGGGGTTGGAAAGGGGAGGAGCACGAAGGACTCACGAAACGCTGTAAGGCACGTGTCTCTTCCTCTTGCCTGTATCCAGCACCTGCCCCAGCTCCAGCACCTCTCGAGATCGACCGGTGCGACTCAGTTCCGCCTGTAGCTCTGTGCTCAGCAGCTTACACACTGGTGGGGAGGAGAAACGTCCGGGGGGAGGTAAAAGACAAACACACCAGCCATTCATTCTGCAGATGACCTGAGGCAGCAGAGCATACAAGTGCAGACTATGGAGCCAGACTGGCTGGGTTGGAATCCTGGCTCAGCCATTTAGCAGCTGTGTGGCAATCTTCCTGCTTGCTGTGCCTCGGTTTCTTCATCTTTTTTTTTTTTTTTTTCAGACGGACTCTCGCTCTGTCGCCCAGGCTGTAGTGCAGTGGCGCAGTCTCGGCTCACTGCCAGCTCCGCCTCCTGGGTTCACGCCATTCTCCTGCCTCAGTCTCCCGAGTAGCTGGGACTACAGGCACCCACCACCACGCCCGGCTAATTTTTTGTATTTTTAGTAGAGACAGGGTTTCACCGTGTTAGCCAGGATGGTCTCGATCAGCTGACCTTGTGATCCGCCCGCCTTGGCCTCCCAAAGTACTGGGATTACAGGCGTGAGCCACCACGCCCGGCCGGTTTCTTCATCTTTATAATGGGATAATAGGCCAGGAGTGGTGGCTCACACCTGTAATCCCAGCACTTTGGGAGGCTGAGGCGGGCAGATCACTTGAGGAGTTCAAGACCAGCCTGGCCCACATGGTGAAACCCCATCTCTATTAAAAATACAAAAACTAGCCAGGTGTGGTGGTGCGCACCTGTAATAGCTACTCGGGAAGCTGAGGCAGGAGAATCACTCGAACCCAGGAGGTGGAGGTTGCAGTGAGCTGAGATCCCACCACTGCACCCCAGCCCAGGCAACAAAGGGAGACTCCATCTTAAAAAAAGTAAAATACATTAAAAATAAATAGGCCAGCACAGTGACTCATGCCTGTAATCCCAACACTTTGGGAGGCTGAGGTGGGTGGATCACGAGGTCAAGAGATTGAGACCATCCTGGCCAACATAGTGAAACCTTGTCTCTACTAAAAATACAAAAATTAGCTGGGCATGGTGGCGGGCGCCTGTAATCCCAGCTACTTGGGAGGCTGAGGCAGGAGAATCGCTTGAACCCGGGAGGCGGAGGTTGCAGTGAGCGAGATTGCACCACTGCACTCCAGCCTGGGCAACGGCATGAGACGCTGTCTGAAAAGAGAAAAAAAAAAAAAAAAAAAAAAAAAAAAAAAAAATATATATATATATATATATATATATAAAATTAATACAATTGGATAATAATAGTATGTCCCTCATAGGAGTGTGATGAAGATTAAATAAATCAACATATATAAAGGCTGGCACATAGTGAGCACTGTATAAGTATTCACTGTTATCCTGCAGTTATTTATTGAGCTCCTTCTGTATGCATACTAACAATATAGACAGCAATAAGACCTATTATCTCTATCTACAGGTCTCTGTCAGTGTAGTTGGGACAGATAAACCAAGGATGACAAGCTGTGGTGAAGCTGGGCCTGAACTCATGGGCTCAAGTGATCCTCCCACCTTGGCCTTCCAAAGTGCTGGGATTACAGATGTGAGCCACTGTGCCCAGGCCCGTTGGCTGTATTCTGATAGAAGGCCTGCAGAGGTGTTAAAGCAAGGACTGATACAATTAGGTGATTAAGTCTGTTTAAAAAGATTGACAGGTCAGGGGAGAAGAGCGGCACACGGAGGTGAAAGGAGACAGAGATGAGGACCAAGTCATGAGACTGTCATGACTGCCTTTCATGATACTGGAATACAGTTGAGGGGGTGAAGCGAAGAGAAAAGGAATCCAGGGAAGAAACGTAAAGTCAGGAGGGCAGCAAACTAGGGCATCAGGGCCAGCCCCCTTTCTCAACTGGGCCCCACGCTAGTGCAGCTATGGAAGGCGCTGCTTGCTGAAAAATCCATATAGTACGCACCGTCTGCAAAGTCTCACCGGATGGGGACACTCTCCTAGTTGTGTGGCTTCCTTTTGTTTATGAGCTTCAAAGGCTGAATTACTCACCCTCAAACCCCCTCAGCGGGGTGTGGGGCCTGTAATTTGGGAGCGTCTATGCTAGGGTAGGGCAGCGGATGTCCACAAGGCCTGAGCCTCACACCCGGCTCCTGCAGCCTCTGCAGATTAAGGTCTGGTGACATGAGGTAAACACTCACTGAAGATGCTCTAAAAGTTGGCAGTCCCGGGCCGATGGTCCCTGAACTACAATTCCCACAATCCATTGGCGGGCGGGGGGTTCCAAGCCAGCCAAAAAAATGCAGGCTCTCTCTGGATGCAGTTTGAGGTGGCACTACACGTTCGCTTCCTTGACCCCATCCAAATTCAGCCAAGCTCCACCAGAACCTCCCTCAAGCCTTCAAGGAGGTCGGGTGACCCACCCAATACAGGCTAGGATGTCCGGCCTAGAAGAAGGAGGTGTGGCCGGGCGATGCCTATAGGGGCTACCCCCTTCAAATACCTTCGCATTTGCTGGGCAAGCGTTCTGTGTCATCGTCCTCCTCCTTCAACATCCCAGCCCAAGCCTCGTGCACGGCCAAAAAAAGGAAAAGCAATATTCCCAACCGCACAGGTCCCATGACAAAGCGCCGTCTACAAACAATCACCGCTTGCCTTCAACTTCGGGAAGGTAGTGTGGGTCCCTTAAATTCCCAGGCGGCTAGCGGCAACCTTAAATCCAGCCGAGGAAGGTCGGCGCATGCGCAGGATCAGCCCAACAAGGGTGGGGCCTCGTTGCTACGGGTTTCCCTGCCTCCGTTTTGTGGCGCCTCTTGAAGGTCCTGGCAGCCGGGTAGTGAAGGAATAAATTGCAGTAATTACACCAAGAGGGAGTGCTCCTTATATATAGATGTAGAAACAAACTTTTAAAATATAATTTCATTCTGCGAGCCTAGAGGACTTATTCTGGTACGGGGAAGGGGCAGTGACTTGCTCTTAGGCTCTGCCAGGACCTGCTCCCACGAGGGGGCGGGGCCAAGATGGCGCCGAGCGCCGGGTGAGCAGCGTCTCGGCTGCCGCTAGAGTTTTCCTGCTCCCCGCGCTCGGGTGGCGGGGGCGGGTCTGAGTGGTACCCCGGAGGAGACCCTTTGAAGGTCCCTTGTGGGGACTGGAAAGAGGACGGTTGGTTGTGTGTCTGTGCTCGTGGGGACCCCGTGTGTGTGCCTGCATTGGAGAGATGTTGCAGGAGATGGGGTGGGCTCTCTGAACCTCCTTTCGCGCTGCCCGGGGATCTTCGACCTGCTTCTCTGCTGGGATCTCGCTTAAGTTAACCCTTCCCTGGGACGCCTTCCTGCCGCCTCCACTGATCTGAGGAGATCCTGTGACTGTAGCGTGTTTTATGAGCCTTTACTGGCAGAGGGTACCGCCGGGTATTGAAGGATTCGTAGGAGTTCGCCAGGGAAGTGGGACACGACCCCCTCTTGTAAACCCGGCGCCAGGCACAGAGTATGTCTCGAATAGTTGTGTTCCCTATAGATAAGACTTATAAAAGTCGGGGAGGAGATCAGGGATGGTTTGAAAAGAACCAATTTGTTTTTCGGCCTCCCTCTTCCCATCCTTCCAGCACGGCCCCACCCTACCTGTACTACTCCTAAGCAGTATTGATATGTTAATCTTCCTAATGTCCAACTGCAAGTGTGCCACTTTAATTTTTTTTTGTTTTTTTTTTGAGACAGGGTTTCCGTCTGTTACCCAGGCTGTTGTGCAGTGGCACCATCTTGGCTCACTGCAGCCTCCAACTCCTCAGTTCAAGCGATCCTCCTGCCTCAGCCTCCTAAGTAGCTGGGATGACAGGTTCACACCACCAGGTCCGTCTAATTTTTTAATTTTTGCAGAAATGGGGGTCTCACTATGTTGACCAGGCTGTCTCAAACTCCTGGCCTCAAACAATCCCCCCACCTCTGCCTTCCAAAGTGCTGGGATTACTGGGGTGAGTTACCTCTCTTGGCTCCAATTTGCTTTTTTTTTTTTTTTGAGATGGAGTCTCTCTCTATCGCCCAGGCTGGAGTGCAGTGGCACGATCTCGGTTCACTGCAACCTCCGCTTCCTGGTTCAAGCGGTTCTCCCACCTCAGCCTCCCAGATAGCTGGGACTACAGGCGCCCGCCACCATGTCTGGTTAATTTTTGTGTTTTTACAAAAAGACAGGGTTTCACCATGTTGGCCAGGGTGGTCTCGAACTCCTAACCTCAGGTGATCTTCCCGCCTTGGCCTCCCAAATTACAGGCGTGAGCCACTGCACCTGGCTCCACTTTGCTTTTTTTGTTTTTTTTTTTTTTTTGAGACAGAGTCTGGCTCTGTTGCCCAGGCTGGAGTGCAGTGGTGCGATCTCGGCTCACTGCAAGCTCCGCCTCCCGGGCTCACGCCATTCTCCTGCCTCAGCAGCCTCCCGAGTAGCAGGGACTATAGGTGCCTGCCACCATGCCTGGCTAATTTTTTCTATTTTTTAGTAGAGACGAGGTTTCACCTTGTTAGCCAGGATGGTCTCAATCTCCTGACCTAGTGATCCGCCCGCCTCGGCCTCCCAAAGTGCTGGGATTACAGGCGTGAGCCACCACGGCCGGCCCAGTTTGCTTTTAACTACAGTGTAGGCTCAAAGCTTGGGCCTATGACCTATTAATAATAGTGATACCAAGTATTTACTGAGCACCAATATCTCTAAGCCTTACAACTAATTCATTTACTTCACAAATATTTATGATGTCCCAGGCTGGGCTCCTGGAATACATCAGTGAACATAATAAAGAGCTCTGTCGGCCGGGCACAGTGGCTCACGCCTGTAATCCCAGCACTTTGGGAGGCCAGGGTGGGTGGAACACCTGAGGTCAGGAGTTCAAGACCAGCCTGAGCAACATGGTGAAACCCCATCTCTACTAAAAATACAAAAATTAGCCAGGTGTGGTGGCGCATGCCTGTAATCCCAGCTACGCAGGAGGCTGAGACAGGAGAATTGCTTGAATCTGGGAGGCGGAGGTTGCAGTGAGCCAAGATCGCGCCATTGCTCTCCAGCCTGGACAACAAGAGTGAAACTCTAGCTCAAAAAAAAAAAAAAAAAAAAAGAGCCCTGTCTAGATGGTGGACGGAGACGGGGTCTCACTCTGTTGCCAGGCTGGAGTGCAGTGGCACAACCTCTACTCACTGCAACCTCCACCTCCTGGGTTCAAGCAATTCTCCTGCCTCAGCCTCCCGAGTATCTGGGACTACAGGTGCACATCACCACGCCCAGCTAATTTTTGTATTTTTAGTAGAGATGGGGTTTAACCATGTTGGCCAGGATGGTCTCGATCTCTTGACCTCGTGATCTGCCCACCTCGGCCTCCCAAAGTGTTGGGATTACAGGCGTGAGCCACTGCGCCATGCCCAAAAGATGTTAAATGCTATGGAAAAGAAAAAGTGGGCTGCCCCCACTCTGAGGGCAGAGTGCAGAGTTAAATAGGGTGGTCAGGGTAGGCAGCCAATTAGATATTTGGGAAGAACATTCCAGGCAGAGGGAATGCAGCAAAGGCTATTAAGCAAGTACATACCTGGCAAGTTTAAGGAGCAGCCAGAAGGAATGTATGTGTCTGGATCAAAGTGGAAGAAGGAAGGGCGTTCAGAGATATAATGGGGAGAAGGTAATTTTGAAGGGCTTTGTAGGACATTATAAGGATTTCGTCTGTTTTTTTTGTTGTTGTTGTTGTTGTTTTTGAGAAGAAGTCTTGCTTTGTTGCCCAGGCTGGAGTGCAATGACACAGATCTTTGCTCACTGCAACCTCCGCCTCCCGGGTTCGAGTGATTCTTCTGCCTCAGCCTCCCGAGTAGCTGTGATTACAGGTGCCCGCCACCATGCCCATCTAATTTTTTTATTTTTAGTAGAGATAGGGTTTCACCATGTTGGCCAGGCTGGTCTTGAACTCCTGCCCTCAAGTGATCCGCCCACCTTCGTCTCCCAAAGTGCTAGGATTACAGGCGTGAGCCACTGTGCCTGGCCTGAGATGGGGTTTTGCTATGTTGCCCAGGGTGGTCAGGAATTCCTAAGCCCAAGCAGTCTTCCCACCTCACCCTCCCAAAGTGCACAGATTACAGGCATGAGCTGAGCCACTGCACCTGCCCATTATAAGGATTTCAGGTTTTACTTTATGGCAAGTGGAGAGCCATTATGAGGGTTTGAGCAAAGAAATGACAATCTGCTTTACAGTTTGACAGAAGCATTTTGGCTGCAACGTTAGGAATAGATGTAGAGAAAGGCAAGGGTAGACTCCGGTTGACATTGTTAGGAGGTTTTTGGAGTTACCCAGTGGATAGATGATGGTGACCTGGGCCAAGCAGTGGGAGCAGAGGAGTCAGGTTGGACTACCTGGTGGATTGATTGATTTTTGAGACAGAGTCTCGCTCTGTCGCCAGGCTGGAGTCCAGTGGCACGATCTTGGCTCACTGCAACCTCCACTTCCCAGGTTCAAGTGATTCTCTTGCCTCAGCCTCCCGAGTAGCTGGGACTACAGGTGCGTGCCACCACGCCAAGCTAGTTTTTGTATTTTTAGTAGAGATGGGATTTCACCATGTTGGCCAGGATGGTCTCCATCTCTTGACCTGGTGATCCGTCCGCCTCGGCCTCCCAAAGTGCTGGGATTACAGGTGTGAGCCAACGCGCCCGACCGGATTTATTTTTTTACCTTTTTTTTTTTTTTGAGACAGAGTCCATCTGTCACTGAGGCTGGAGTGCAATGGCGCAATCTCAACTCACTGCAAACTCTACTGCCGAGGCTCAAGTGATTCTCCTGCCTCAGCCTCCCAAGTAGCTGGGATTACAGGCACGCGCCACCATGCCCAGCTAATTTTTGTATTTTTAGTAGAGAAAGGGTTTTACCATGTTGCTCAGGCTGGTCTCGAACTCCTGACCTGAAGTGATCCACCCACCTTGGCCTCCCAAATTGCTGGAATTACAGACGTGAGCCACCGCACCTGGCCTACCTGGTGGATTTGATGTGAAGGCTCAGATAAAGAACAAGTGTCTGGATGGATGGCATTGCTATGAAGATAAGGAAAGCTGAGCCTGGGCCAGACACTTCGGCTCACGCCTTTAATTCCAACACTTTGAGAGGCCAACGCTGGAGGATTGCTTGAGCCCAAAACTTCAAAGTGGTGGGATTGAAGCCCTGAGGTGTAACAGAAAAAGATAAAAATCTGGGCTGGGCCTGGTGGCTCAGGCCTGTAATTCCAACACTTTGGGAGGCCGAAGCAGGAGGACTGCGTGAGCCCAGCAGTTCAAGACCAGCCTGGACAACATAGTGAGACTCTGTCTCTGCCCCTGCCCCTGCAAAAAATTGGCTGTGTGTAGTGGTACACACCTATAGTCCCAGCTACTTGGGAGGCTGAGGTGTGAGGATTGCTTGAGCCTAGGAGCTCCTGGGCTCTATCAGTTTTCCCACCTCTGCCTCCTGAGTAGCTAGAACAACAGCCCTGTGCCTGCATACCCAGCTAATTTTTGTATTTTTTGTACAGATGGGGTCTCACTGTGTTGTCCAGGCTGGTCGTGAACTGCTGGGCTCAAGCGATCCTCCTACCTTGGGCTCCCAGAGTGTTGGAATTACAGGCATGAGCCACTAGGCCCAGTCCAGATTTTTTTTTTTTTTTTCCTGAGACGGAGTCACCCTGGCTGGAGTGCAGTGGCGTGATCTCGGCTCACTGCAACCTCTGCCCTCTGGTTTCAAGTGATTCTCGTGCCTTAGTCTCCCTAGTAGCTGGGATTACAGGTGTGCACTACCACGCCCTGCTAATTTTTGTATTTTTAGTAGAGATGGGGTTTCTCCATGTTGGCCAGGCTGGTCTCGAATTCCTGACCTCAAGTGATCCGCCCGCCTCGTCCTCCCAAAGTGCTGGTGGGATTACAGGCGTGAGCCACTGAACCTGGCCCCAGCCCAGATTTGTATCTTTCTCTGTTACACCTCAGGGCTGACTCACGTGGGGATGGACATAAGACACTCGGAGTTCCTCCCCTGTCTCCACTGTCCTCCCTTTGTTGGCCCTCTCCCTGTGTCTCACGTTTCTTTTTCTTCTGCCTGCCCCGTTCCTCTGCCAGGGTCTCCGTCTCTCCACCGGGGGCTTCATCCTTCCAGGGAGGAGAAGAGGGACTCCAGAATGGCTGAGGAGAAGAAGCTGAAGCTTAGCAACACTGTGCTGCCCTCGGAGTCCATGAAGGTGGTGGCTGAATCCATGGGCATCGCCCAGATTCAGGAGGAGACCTGCCAGCTGCTAACGGATGAGGTCAGCTACCGCATCAAAGAGATCGCACAGGTGACCCGGCCCTTCTGTCCAGCTCTACATTGGGTCCATGTCACCCAGGGCCCCGTCCTTAGGATTTTGGGCTGATGTCTGTTCTGTCACCGACCCCAGGATGCCTTGAAGTTCATGCACATGGGGAAGCGGCAGAAGCTCACCACCAGTGACATTGACTACGCCTTGAAGCTAAAGAATGTCGAGGTGATTTGGGGAGACAGGCGGGGGGGGGGTGAGACGCCATCCTTCAGCCAGGTCTCCTCCGGCTCCCTTCTTACCCATGCCCCTCTCTCCTGCCACAGCCACTCTATGGCTTCCACGCCCAGGAGTTCATTCCTTTCCGCTTCGCCTCTGGTGGGGGCCGGGAGCTTTACTTCTATGAGGAGAAGGAGGTTGATCTGAGCGACATCATCAATACCCCTCTGCCCCGGGTGCCCCTGGACGTCTGCCTCAAAGGTTGGGGGAGGGGAGAGCAGGGTGGCAGGGAGGAGGGAAAGGAGGACAGATGTGTGTAGGTGTGAGGAGCCTCACAATAGAAGAAAAGCTCAGTGTGAGATCCCTGGTGAGTTGCAAGGGGAGCAGGAGTGGAAACACGCTTCCATAGCATGGGGCAACTCCCCAATGTCCATGCGTGGCAATTCACCTTGACACCTGCCTTCCTTGCAGCTCATTGGCTGAGCATCGAGGGCTGCCAGCCAGCTATCCCCGAGAACCCGCCCCCAGGTAACCTCCATGCCCCACCCTCTGGGTCTCTGGGTCCCTTTCCCCTTCCTTCCACCTTTTTTTTTTGAGACAGAGTCTCACTCTGTTGCCTGTGCTGGAGTGCAGGAGTGCTGGAGTGCAGTGGCTCAATCTTGGCTCACTGCAAACCTGTGCCTCCTGGGTTCACGCGATTCTTGTGTCTCAGCCTCCTGAGTAGCTGGGACTACAAGCACACACCACCACGCCCGGCTAATTTTTTGTAATTTTAGTAGACACGAGGTTTCACCATGTTGGCCAGGCTGGTCTCGAACTTCTGACCTGAGGTGATCCACCCGCCTTGGCCTCCCAAAGTGCTGGGATTACAGGCATGAGCCACCGCATCCGGCCTCCTCCCACCTTTTACTTTTCTACTATGCTCATCACCCCTCCCGCTGTGCCTGCTTTCCCACCAGCTCCCAAAGAGCAACAGAAGGCTGAAGCCACAGAACCCCTGAAGTCAGCCAAGCCAGGCCAGGAGGAAGACGGACCCCTGAAGGGCAAAGGTCAAGGGGCCACCACAGCCGACGGCAAAGGTCAGTCCTCCTAGGCTAGGCCTCTCTGGACTCTTGCCCAAAGCCACATGGCCGTTTGTTTTGTTTCCTTTTTTTTTGTTTTTGAGACAGAGTCTCACTCTGTCACCCAGGCTGGAGTGTAGTGGTACGATCTCAGCTCACTGCAACCTCCACCTCCAGGGTTCAAGCGATTCTCCTGCCTCAGCCTCCTGAGTAGCTGGGCTTACAGGTGCCCACCACCACGCCCGGCTAATTTTTGTAATTTTTTTTAGTAGAGACAGGGTTTTGCTATGTTGGCCAGGCTGGTTTCAAACTCAGCCTCATGTGATCCGCCCGCCTTGGCCTCCCAAAGTGCTGGGATTACAGGTGTGAGCCACCATGCCAGGCCTCCATGTGGCCATTGGTGAAGTGGCTGAGGTCAGGGCCAGAGCCCCAGAAAGGATGGGGGAGCCTAAGAAGAAGCCAGGTCTCCTGGGTCTCAGGGGAAGTGGAGGGTTAAGGTTCTTCTGTTACTGAGGTTTCTTCTGGAGCTTTCTTTGTCAGACCCACCTTTCCAATCACACAGGGAAAGAGAAGAAGGCGCCGCCCTTGCTGGAGGGGGCCCCCTTGCGACTGAAGCCCCGGAGCATCCACGAGTTGTCTGTGGAGCAGCAGCTCTACTACAAGGAGATCACCGAGGCCTGCGTGGGCTCCTGCGAGGCCAAGAGGGCGGTGAGGGCCCCACCAGCTTGCCCTGGCCCTGAGACGCCTCCTCCTGGGGGCCCTATGAATTGCTCCCCACATCCCACCCCCACCTGACTGGCTTCCCTCCTCCCACAGGAAGCCCTGCAAAGCATTGCCACGGACCCTGGACTGTATCAGATGCTGCCACGGTTCAGTACCTTTATCTCGGAGGGGGTGAGAGCATGAGGTTCCACAGTGCAGGGACGGCAGTGGAAGCTCCTGTGAGGGTCTCCCTGCCCCATGCCCAGCACTTCTCCCTCCCACAGGTCCGTGTGAACGTGGTTCAGAACAACCTGGCCCTACTCATCTACCTGATGCGTATGGTGAAAGCGCTGATGGACAACCCCACGCTCTATCTAGAAAAATACGTGAGTGATCCTGCCCATCCTCCCTTCCAGGGACTAGGGACCCTGCTGCCACCAACAGGAAGTCAGTGGTCAGCAGTGGCTCACACCTGAAATCCCAGCAACTTTGGGAGGCCGAAGTGGGAGGATTGCTTGAGCTCAGGAGTTTGAGGACAGCCTGAGGACAGTAGTGAGACTGCTATCTCTACAAAAAAAATTAACCAAAACAAAATTAGCCAGGCATGGTGGTGCACACCTGTGGCCCCAGCTACCTGGGAGGCTGAGATGGGAGAATTGCTTGAGCCCGGGAGATTGATGCTGCAGTTAGCCATGATTGTGTCCCTGCACACCAGCCTGGGTGACAGAGCAAGACTTTATCTCAAGCAGACAAACAAAACCAGAATCAGCTGTCCCGCCCTTTCTCCCTTAGGTCCATGAGCTGATTCCAGCTGTGATGACCTGCATCGTGAGCAGACAGTTGTGCCTGCGACCAGATGTGGACAATCACTGGGCACTCCGAGACTTTGCTGCCCGCCTGGTGGCCCAGATCTGCAAGCATTTTAGCACAACCACTAACAACATCCAGTCCCGGATCACCAAGACCTTCACCAAGGTGAGCCAGGAAAACTTGAGCGTCATTTGCTTCATCACTGGCCACCTCTGGTTGGGGGAAGTCACACTGGAAACAAGGGGGCAGAGGGAAGAGGGACTGGAACTTGTGGGGGTCTAAGGGTCTTGAGGCTTGTCTGTAATACCTTTTTTTTTTTTTTTTGAGATGGAGTCTCGCTCTTGCCCAGGCTGGAGTGCAGTGGTGCAATCTCTGCTGACCGCACCCTCTGCCTCCTGGGTTCAAGCGATTCTTCTCCCTCAGACTCTTGAGTACTTGGGATTACAGGCACCTGCCACCACAACTGGCTAATTTTTTTGTTTTTGTTTTTTTGAGATGGAGTTTCGCTCTTCTTGCCCAGGCTGGAGTGCAATGGTGCAATCTTGGCTTACCACAACCTCCGCCTCCTGGGTTCCAATGATTCTCCTGCCTCAGCCTCCCGAGTAGCTGGGATTACAGGCATGTGCCGCCACACCCAGCTAATTTTGTGTTTTTAGTAGAGACGGGGTTTCTCCATGTTGGTCAGGCTGCTCTAGAACTCCCGACCTCAGGTGATCTGCCTGCCTTGGCCTCCCAAAGTGCTGGGATTACGGGTATGAGCCACTGCACCTGGCCACAACTGGCTAATTTTTGTATTTTTAGTAGAGACAGAGTTTCACCATGTTGACTAGGGTGGTCTGGAACTCCTGACCTCAGGTGATCTGCCTGCCTCGGCCTCCCAAAGTGCTGGGATTACAGGTGTGAGCCACCACGTCTGGCCTCATTGTAATGTCTTAATGATTTACAAGGAAAGTGTCTATGAAAGACTTAGGTCCCTGTCAATCATCCTTTCAGACCCCTTCATCTTAGTTTATTTCCTTCCCCTTACAGAGCTGGGTGGACGAGAAGACGCCCTGGACGACTCGTTATGGCTCCATCGCAGGCTTGGCTGAGCTGGGACACGATGTTAGGCCTCTGGGAGGAAGAAATGGGGGAGGGGACACAGTCATGAGGTTATAGAGGGCACTGTACCCCCATCTGGGAGACCCTGGTGACCCTCCGGCTTTTGCTTGTCCTTTTCCCTTCTAACAGGTTATCAAGACTCTGATTCTGCCCCGGCTGCAGCAGGAAGGGGAGCGGATCCGCAGTGTGCTGGACGGCCCTGTGCTGAGCAACATTGACCGGATTGGAGCAGACCATGTGCAGAGCCTCCTGCTGGTGACTGAAGCCCCTGTCCCCACACCTGCCCACTGAGACACAGGCAGTGTTTAGCAAGCATATGGCATATTTTATTCACTTACTCCCATCTTTGCCTCATGTTTTCAGAGGACATTGCAGAGTCTGATACTATTTTACAGATGGAAAGACTGAGATTAGACTGAGTAAGAAATAAGGGGGCTGGGCATGATGGCTTCTGCCTGTAATCCCAGCACTCTGGGAGCCTAGGAGTATGAGGCCAGCCTGGACAACGTAGCGAGATCCCACCTGCAAAAAAAAAAACCAAAAAGCCGGGAGTGGTGACGTGTCTGTGGTCCCAGCTACTAGGGAGGCCGAGGTGGGAGGATTGCTTGAACCCAGGAGTTCAAGGCTACAGAGAGCTATGATCGTGCCACTGCACTCCAGCCTGGGTTACAGAGGGAGACCACCGCCCCCCAAAAAAGAAGGGTTTAACACGCTCAGCCTGTGGCATTTGGACCATCCTTCCCCAATGCTCCTGTTACTCTGTGGTCTTCTCTGTACAAGGCAAATGCGCTCTTGATTAACCATCCTGCCACAGTATTTAGCAAGTTCATTCACACATTAGTGCCCATGTTTTCTTTTTCTTTTCTTTTTTTTTTTTTGAGATGGAGTCTCACTCTGTAACCCAGGCTGGAGTGCAGTGGTGCGATCTCAGGCTCACTGCAACCTCTGCCTCTCAGGTTCAAGCAATTCTCATGCCTCAGCCTCCCAAGTAGCTGGGACCACAGGCACGCGCCACCATGCCTGGCTAATTTTTTGTATTTTTAGTAGAGACGGGGTTTCACCATATTGGCCAGGCTGGTCTTGAGCTCCTGACCTCAGGTGATCTGCCAGCCTCAGCCTCCCAAAGTGCTGGGATTACAGGCATGAACCACCACACCCAGCCATTCTTTTTTTTTTTTTTCTGAGACAGTCTCACTCTGTCACCCAAGCGGGAGTGCACTGATGCAACCTCTGCTCACTGCAGCCTCCACCACCTGGGTTCAAGCATTCTAGTACCTCAACCTCCCCAGTAGCTGGGACTACAGGTGCGTGCCACCATGCCTGGCTAGTTTTTGTATTTTTAGTGGAGATGAGGTTTCTCCATTTTGGCCAGGCTCTTGACCTCAAGTGATCCACCCACCTCAGCCTCCCAAGTGCTGGGATACAGGCCTAAGATGCTGCACCTGGCCCCGTGCCCATCTTTTCTTATGAGAAAGCCCACAGTGTTCTGTACACACACTAATAGTTCAGCATAATTTGGCCTTCAACAGGGGCACTGAGATGATAAGGAATGTCCTTTTTTACCCCATCCCCAAGGTTCTTCTCAAGAGTGTCACCAGCCCTCCCTCTACCTGGCTTTTTTCCCCAGCCCTCCCTCTACCTGGCTTTTTTTCTGTTCTGCAGAAACACTGTGCTCCTGTTCTGGCAAAGCTGCGCCCACCGCCTGACAATCAGGACGCCTATCGGGCAGAATTCGGGTCCCTTGGGCCCCTCCTCTGCTCCCAGGTGGTCAAGGCTCGGGCCCAGGCTGCTCTGCAGGCTCAGCAGGTCAACAGGACCACTCTGACCATCACGCAGGTCCGTGGCCGGGTGGGGAGGAGGAATAGGAGGAAGCAGAGGAGAACCCCTGTGTGGGACAGGCACTTGCACACAGCCACATGTGCCCTCAGTCAGTAGTCTCAGGGCAACCAGGCCCTGAGTGAGGATGCCCCAGCCCTAGTGAGAGCCACTGAGGAAGAGCGAGGGGAGCCCAGGCCTCTCCCTTCAGACTCCTCTTCTTAGTAGATGGTGCCACTTCCCCCTTTCCTCTTCTCCCCGCAGCCCCGGCCCACGCTGACCCTCTCGCAGGCCCCACAGCCTGGCCCTCGCACCCCTGGCTTGCTGAAGGTTCCTGGCTCCATCGCACTTCCTGTCCAGACACTGGTGTCTGCACGAGCGGCTGCCCCACCACAGCCTTCCCCTCCTCCAACCAAGTTTATTGTAATGTCATCGTCCTCCAGCGCCCCATCCACCCAGCAGGTATGCAGAGCTGTGGGACAGGGAGCATCTGGAGGGCCTGGGTTACCTCAGAGCACCCTGGGGAGGCCCAGGAGTAGAGCACAGTCCCCTCTGGGCCCCAAGTCAAGAGCTGGAAGAGGCGCCCACCAGGGTCCTGCAGGGCTGTAGCTGCCCTGCATGAACAAGGTCTCCAGCCATAGCTGTCTACAGGGTGAACTACAGGAACAACTTGTTCAGGCAGGGAGCGAGTGAAGCGTCCTCGCCAGGCCTCTGGGGGGCAGGGAGGGCACAGGGCAAGCGGCCTGCCTTTCCTTTCTATCCAGGTCCTGTCCCTCAGCACCTCGGCCCCCGGCTCAGGTTCCACCACCACTTCGCCCGTCACCACCACCGTCCCCAGCGTGCAGCCCATCGTCAAGTTGGTCTCCACCGCCACCACCGCACCCCCCAGCACTGCTCCCTCTGGTCCTGGGAGTGTCCAGAAGTACATCGTGGTCTCACTTCCCCCAACAGGGGAGGGCAAAGGAGGCCCCACCTCCCATCCTTCTCCAGTTCCTCCCCCGGCATCGTCCCCGTCCCCACTCAGCGGCAGTGCCCTTTGTGGGGGGAAGCAGGAGGCTGGGGACAGTCCCCCTCCAGCTCCAGGGACTCCAAAAGCCAATGGCTCCCAGCCCAACTCCGGCTCCCCTCAGCCTGCTCCGTGATGCTCCACCTGCCAGCCCCCGGATTCCCACACATGCAGACATGTACACACGTGCACGTACACACATGCATGCTCGCTAAGCGGAAGGAAGTTGTAGATTGCTTCCTTCATGTCACTTTCTTTTTAGATATTGTACAGCCAGTTTCTCAGAATAAAAGTTTGGTTTGTAAGTTCTGATCCACTGCAGTCCTTCCTGCATCAGATACCACAGAAAGGCTGGGCCCATTGCCCCCTCCTGGTCTTGGGACTGAGGACTCTTCCTGCCCAGATTCAGAGTCCGAAGGCCAGGAGGCTGGAAAAGAAACGACTGTCCTCCCGTGGGACAAACTGCCACCTTGGCCGTCGTGTCCTCGTTTGGGGAGCCTCAGATCCGAATGACATAGGCGTCGCTGTGGCTTAGGTGTCGCACCCACTTGTGGGGGTTGGCATTGCCGCATGGCCTGAAGGCCAGCCTGAGGAATCGGACCTGGAGGCCAGAGCACGTGTGCCGGGGAAGCTCGAAGGAGAGACTGGCAGGGCCCAGCCCCAGAGGAGAGGCCGAGGTGGAGAGCCCATGGCTGGGAGGTCCTGGGGGCCCTGGGACGTCCATCTGTGAGGGGCAGAGGCAGGGAGAGGAAGGAGGGCAAGAAGCTGACCACGCTGGGGGAACCAGGCAGCAGCTGCTTCGGGAGGGTGGGGTGGGGGCTGCAAGTGAATGTGGGAGGAGAGGGGCTGGGGGTCCACAGCGAATACCTGGAAAAGGCCTGAGAGTTGAGAGCCTCCTTGCACCCGAGGCAGGTCCCAGCGAAGGGCTCCCTCTGCCAGCTCAGCCTTCTGCTCTGGGCTGCTCAGCTCCTGAGACAGGCTGGAGTTTGGAAAGGGAAGGTGCTGGGCTTGGCACCTTCTTGAGGCAGACCCGTCATGCTGAGCTCACTCTCTCCCCAGGAATCTCCCCGTGGTGGGTGCACACACTCACCTGACCACCCCTCGAGGCAGGGGGAGGTGCAGCCTGACATTGAGGGCTTGGCTACAGAGGAGACGGGAACAAAGTCAGCCCCAGGAAGGCACAGTCCCTTGTCCTGTTCCTCTTCAATGTCATAACAGGATTTCAGCACAGGTGCCCCCCACCTTCCCAAATTCTACAGCCTCTACCTTAACTGGCTTCTGAGGCTGGCAGCTGCATCTGAAGGGAGAAGCAGCAGGTGCCCTGGCCCTGTCTTCCGTCCCATAGAGCTGAACTCAGCCAGGCCAGCCTCACTCTTACCTCTTTGAGAGCAGGTCACATCGCAACTTTAGATAAACCTGGAGCCTGGATGAGAGGGTAAAACACCACGACTCAGGCCATCTTCTACTGGCATCTCACCATTCCCCACCAGGGACCTCCATGTGGGGCTGTGTGGGTGTGGGCTGTACTCCCAAGAGGGAAAAGGGCTGAAGCCCAGCCCAACTCCATTAGCCAAAGCTTTTTCCTTTTTTTTTTTTTCAGAGAGATGGGGTCTCACTATGTTGCCCAGGCTGGTCTGGAACTCCTGGGCTCAAGTGATCCTCCCGCCTCAGCCTCCCAAAGTGCTAGGATTACAGGTGTGAGCCACCGGCCGCAACCCAAGCCTTTTTCCAATTTGCACTCCATCACCACTACCACCACCCCCACTCTGCAGTGAGTCTTGGGAACATACAGGTCTTGGCTTGGGTTCCAAGGTAGTTCTAGAACCCAGGAAATTGTCTCACCGGCCTGAGCCTCGGTCCCACTGCACAGAGGGGAAGAGCCGGAAGGGGAGCGGTGAGGGGAGGTCATCGGAGAGTTGGTACCGCATCACAGTCAGCTGAGAGACCAGAGAGCAACAAGGTTAGTTTGGTCTCACGACCCCACTGCCCCCTTCCCCATGGTGGACGGAATTTATGAGGCCACCCCAACCCTGACCTCGCCCTGAGGTGGTTGCAAGCGGAGGATTCGATGAGACTCAAATTCGTCCAGATTCACAGAGCTGTGAAACGAGACTTCATCGACCCGGATTCCTGGCCCATAACCTGGAAAGAGAGAGAGAGAGACTTCTCTCCTGACTCCTGTTTTGGGAGAGGAGCAAGGAGAGGGGAGGCTCTGTCTGACTTCTCTCCATGAACTCTGGCAATGACCTACTCCAAGGGGAGAAAGACCCACTTTCTCCTCACCTCTCAGCTCTGACTTCCCCACACAAAACTCTTCCGTCAAGCCAATGCGCATCTCTGTCGGAGGAGAGACCATCAGGAGAGCTCAGCAATGCCATGGTTTAAGACACCAAGGAACCCGCCCTAACCCCAACCCTTGGTCCTGCCTGCAGATGCCTCACCAGAGCCGCTAGGAAGGAAGCTCTTGAGCCGAATCTCTCCCTGCACATCCACCTTCAGCAGGGATCCCTGAGAGGCAGGGGCGTCAAGGTTAGAGTCTTTTTTTCTTTCTTTTTTTGAGACGGTCTCGCTCTGTCGCCCAGGCTGGCAGTGGCGTGATCTCGGCTCACTGCAACCTCCACCTCCCAGGTTCAAGACATTCTCCTGCCTCAGCCTCACAAGTAGCTAGGGTTACAGATGCCTGCCACCATAAGTAGCTAATTTTTGTATTTTTAGTAGAGATGGAGTTTCACTGTGTTGGCCAGGCTGGTCTCAAACTCCTGACCTTAAGTGATCCACCCACCTCGGCCTCTCAAAGTGCTGGGATTACAGGCATGAGCCACTGTGCCCAGCCTTTTTTACTTATTTATTTTTTTTAAGAGACAGGGTCTTGCTCTGTCATCCGGGCTAGCGTGCAGTGACTCGATCTTGGCTTACTGCAGCCTTAACCTCCTGGGCTCAAGTGATCCTCCTGGCTCAGCCTCCCAAGTAGCTGGGACAGCAGGTGTACACTACCATGTCTGGGTAATTTGTTTATTTGTATTTTTTGTAGAGACGGGGTCTGGCTATGTTGCCCAGGCTGGTTTCAAACTCCTGGCCCCAAGTAATTCTCCCACCTCGGCCTCCCAAAGCACTGGGATTACAAGCATGAGCCACTGTGCCCGGCCGTTGCTGGGAGTCTTAGCCACCCCACCATGTTTCCCAAGTCCCATCTGTCCTCAGCTCCAGGTTTGGGAGCTCAAACTTACATTAGATGCTATCAGTACAGACAATCTCTCGACCACATCCAAAAAAACTTCATTCTTTTGGCTCTGAGAAAGAGAGAGAATTTGGGTGGTTGGAAGCAGAATAGCCTATGTTCTGAAATGGACAGACAGGGAGAAAGAACAGGACAGTCAAAGCTACAGCTCTAGGGTGAGGACATGGGTGATGGAAGGGATCATCTCCCACCTCCACCCACATCTGGGGGGGTGGGAGATGTGCCAAGATCTTTTTCTTTTTTTTTTTTTTTTTTTGCATTTTTAGTAGAGACAGGTTTTCACCATGTTGGCCAGGCTGCTCTGAAACTCCTGGCATCAGGTGATCTGCCCACCTCGGCCTCCCAAAGTGCTGGGACTACAGGCGTGAGCCGCTGTGCCCGACCTAAGATCTTGGACTCCCGGATCCCAGAGCAAAACCAGAGCGTCTGACCCCATGGATCCTTCCCTCACCTGGTCAGAGCGACTGGACAGGACGGGGCGGCTGGCTGCACTGCTGGGGGCCACTTTGCTCTGTTGTGTCTCAGCCCCAAACTGTAAAGCATCCAAAGCAATCAATCATCAGGTCTGACAACCCCAGCCAACCCCTCTTCTCTTTCCTCACCCTCCTCTTTCCCTCTACTGACCAAGCCAACGCTGCTGAGGTCAAAGAGGCTGAAGGGCTTGCTGACCACAGCTTCCGTCTGGATGAAATTCCTCAGCATCTCCGTGGATGTGGTCTGTACATAGCCATAGTCCTAGTGGTAAAGGAAGGACAGTCTGAGTGATCAGTGGAGGGAAGGGGTAAAGAGGGGGAGTGGGGCCAGGCATGGTGACTCACTCCTGTACTCTCAGCGCTTTGGAAGGCCGAGACGTAGGAGAATGGCTTGAGGCCATGAGTTCAAGACCAGCCTGGGCAACACAGTGAGACTCTAGTCTCTACAAAAAATAAACAATTAGCTAGGCACAGGGGAGGCTGGGGCAGGAGGACGGCTTGAGCCCAGGAGTTCCAGGCTGCAGTGAGCTATAACTGCACCACTGCAGTCCAGCCTGGGCAACAGAGCAAGACCCTGTCTCTAAAAGCAAAAAAAAAAAAAAAAAAAAAGGTAGACTTGGCCTCCTAACCACGGCATCCCACAGTAGAAGAGCAGATGTATCTTCAGGGGAATTGGGTAGGGGCCACAGAAGGGGATTGTTGATTCTCACCAGCACTTCATCCAGGAGTTCGTATACCAGAGCCACATTGCGGGAGATGGTCCCCTCGCCCAGGGAGCCACAGTAATCGCCCAGAAGGGTGGCCAACCTGAGGAAACACTTGGAGCGTGTATTTTCTCCTCCTCTCAGACCCCTCCTAGCTACCAGGTGCCCAGCCCAACCCTCCTCACCTGGAGAGCAGTTCTAGGAGGCTGAAGGGAGAAACGTTTTCTGAAGTTGTGACCACCAAATAGAGGCCGCTGTGTCTGATGTGAATGAAATGACGGCCATGGTGATGCTGAGACACAGGCAGGGAGAAGAGAGGCGTTAAAAAAAGGGAGGTGGAGTGATCAGAACCCAGGAGACCTGAGCTCGGATCCCGATGCCTCTTACTAGTCACAACAGCAGTGCCTTTGGGAGATACATGACATATGCCTGGGCCCAGCTTCCCAATGTGGAAAGGGGGTTAATTACACTAACTACCCCGAGTTGCTGAGGATGGAGTCACGCAGGGAGCTGGGCCTGGTGTGTTGCTGGCGCCCATTGACTCTTTTTTTTTTTTTCCCCACCCCCACCTACCCCGAGAGGGAGTCTCGCTCTGTCTCCCAGGCTGGAGTGCGGTGTCCGGATCTCGGCTCACTGCAACCTCTGCCTCTTGGATTCAAGCGATTCTCAAGCCTCAGCTTCCCGAGTAGATGGGATTACAGGCGCCCGCCACCACGCCCAGCTATGTTTTTTTTTTTTTTGTATTTTTAGTAGAGGCGGAGTTTCACCATGTTGGCCAGGCTGATTTCGAACTCCTGACCTCAGGTGATCCGCCCGCCTCGGTCTCCCAAAGTGCTGGGATTACAGGCGTGAGCCACCGCGCCGGGCCTCACGTTAGCTTTATTTGGCGGAATGCACCCCCCAAGTGGAATCTACCAATGAACCAGTCCTGGGAGGGAGCTGGCGCCCACCCGGCCCGACGGGACCCCGCTCCTCACCCGCCTCCCGCCACTGGTTACCATGACAACCGGGGACTCGTCTCCTGGCAGTCCCGTCAGCTTCCGGTAGAAGAGCTCGGCCACATCCCGGCCGCCACTGTCCCCGCGGACTGGCGGGTGGAAGGACTCAGTGAAGGATCCTGCGACACAGGCTGGCCCTGGGCGCCCCTCCCGCCCGGCCCCTCCGCCCCTTCCCAGCCCCAAGGGTCTAGGATACAGTCTTTGTAGATGAGCGGGTCCCCCTTGGAGGACAGAATGAAGAATTGGGAAATCATGGCCGTTCTGGAGAGTAGACAAGAAGACGGCGAAAGTCGGGCCTGCCCCGCCCTGCGGCCCCGGAACAAAAGAACGCGTGTGCGCTGGCCCTTTAAGAGCGATTCTCCTCCGCCCGCGCCAGCTCGGACCGCGGGAAACCCGGCGCCTGCACTACCCCGCCCGGAGATTCCCTTCCGACGCCCGCACCGCCTCCCCGTCACTCATTCTAGGCCCGCACGGTGATTGGCTTGCGGCTAGCGGGAGGTGAAGAAGGCCGCCTTGTCCGATTGGCCCGCACGCAGTGGCGCCGGTCACGTGGGGGGCGACGTTTCGCGCCAATTTCGGTTGGCCGGCCACAGTCCACCGCGCGGAGATTCTCAGCTTCCCCAGGAGCAAGACCTCTGAGCCCGCCAAGCGCGGCCGCACGGCCCTCGGCAGCGATGGCACTGAAGGACTACGCGCTAGAGAAGGGTACGGGTCTACGAGCCCGGGAGGGCGTCCTGCGCGGGGAGCCTCCCGGGGAACACCTGTTGGTGTGAGCTGGGGTCTTGGGGGACCGGGGTCGGCGGGTTCTGGGGTGCGCGAGGCCAGAGGCAGGGTCGAGCTGCGGCCTGGCTAAGGCCCACGGGGCCTGGGAAGCGTGCGGGGGGCCATCGATGTTGAAGAAAAGCTAGTAATCCCACCTGGTAAAGGTGTTAGGGTCGTGGGGTTGGGGGCTTGGGGGCGCGCTAACCCGGCTGGGGGCTGCACAGGGAAAAGTCGCGCCCAGGACCTCAGGAGAGTCTTAAGGGCTCTGGGCTCCCGTGCCCGCTTTCCTTCGCGCTTTTGGGCATTCCCAGGTTCCCGCGCCCTCCCCAGGCGCGCGTAGGCCCCGGGGGCGGGCAGGCCGGGGCCGCTGCGCGCCGGGATTGGCCGTTTGAGGCCGCCCTCCGAGCGGAAGTGGAGCCGGGCGGAAGTGGCGCGAGGAGGCTGGAGGGAGTGTCGTGTAAACAGTGTCCTTCCGCGCGGCGGCCGCGGAGAGAGCTGCGGCCCGGGGGGGCGTGCCTGGGATCCGGAGCTTCGCTCGGGCCCGGGAAAGGCGGCAGTGGGCTGGGATCGCGGTGTCTCTGGGTGTGATGGCCAATGGCTGGACTGGCTCCCGCCCTGGGCGGAGGAATCCCGAGCTGTGAAGCGGCTGGAATCCGGGCCCATGTGCTTCTTTGTTTACTAAGAGCGGAAGCGATGGCGGGAGCGGGGGTGGGGTGCGGTGGCGGGGTGCGGTGGCGGAGGTCCCGGTGAAATCAGGGGCTAAGGGGACCCAAAGAAGGCGGGGGATCATAGGGGTGGAAAGAAAGCTGAGAACCTTGAGACCGGAGTGTGAGGGGCCAACGGGGAAGGGCGCTAGAATTTTAAACTAAAGTAGGGACCGGAATTCCCCTGGGGAGATGTTGGATGGCCCTGTGCACTGCCACGGGCTCTTTATTCTTCGCTGGTTAGAAACAGACTTGTGAAAAAGAGTTATGCCCACTTTGGGGAGACTTCGGTAGGTTTATTTAAATGCTCATATTATTAATTAGTTCATAGGTCGTGTTTTAAGCGAAAATGGGTATCTAAGATTTGTCTTAAAGTTTGTGTCTTACGGTTTTACATTTCATGTTACAGAAAAGGTTAAGAAGTTCTTACAAGAGTTCTACCAGGATGATGAACTCGGGAAGAAGCAGTTCAAGTATGGGAACCAGTTGGTAAGTCTAAGATTGGGTAAAGGGAATGGGGAGCGGGGTGCTTAAGGAGCCATAAGCAGCAGCTTGGCTTGTTTTATTAAAGACATAACAATTAGAGGGTTTGAGGGCTGAAAAGCGAGTATCGCTCTGTGTGGCGCTGCGTTCTCCCCTGTGGATGCCCAGAGCCTGTGCTGAGTTCTCAGTGATGCATTTTCACATATGAACACTGGTGAGCAAAGTGAATGTGGCTCTGAGGTGTTTCTGTCTCTTCCCCACTTGAGGTTCGGCTGGCTCATCGGGAACAGGTGGCTCTGTATGTGGACCTGGACGACGTAGCCGAGGATGACCCCGAGTTGGTGGACTCAATTTGTGAGAATGCCAGGCGCTACGCGAAGCTCTTTGCTGATGCCGTACAAGAGCTGCTGCCTCAGTACAAGGAGAGGGAAGTGAGTGGTTAGAGAACAATGGCAAACAAAGGGCGAGGCGTTTAAGCTTCTGTAGAGAGGCTGCTCAGATACTGATGTTTTCTGAGCAGGCAGAAAGGAGGGGCACTTCTGCCTGGTGTTCTCTGTGCTCTCCTTTCCCCATCCTGTTGCTCTTTTTTTTTTTTTTTTTTGTTCTTCTCCTTTAGGTGGTAAATAAAGATGTCCTGGACGTTTACATTGAGCATCGGCTAATGATGGAGCAGCGGAGTCGGGACCCTGGGATGGTCCGAAGCCCCCAGAACCAGTACCCTGCTGAACTCATGCGCAGATTGTGAGTGGTCTCTGTCGGGAAAGATGTAGGGATTGGTTCTCCAGGATCTTGTTTGTGACTGTTTTCTCCCCTTAGTGAGCTGTATTTTCAAGGCCCTAGCAGCAACAAGCCTCGTGTGATCCGGGAAGTGCGGGCTGACTCTGTGGGGAAGTTGGTAACTGTGCGTGGAATCGTCACTCGTGTCTCTGAAGTCAAACCCAAGATGGTGGTGGCCACTTACACTTGTGACCAGTGTGGGGCAGAGACCTACCAGCCGGTACGTGTGGAGCAAGAAGCAGGAAAGCACTTACCCATTAGTTGTTTTGTAGAGATTAATTTGATCCTGTGATGCCTATTGTTTTATTTGGTTGTAAAAGTTGCCTGTGTGTTCGCCTTTCATTCTTGGGTATGTAGTGGTCTTTCTACCTATTTTCTGGGTGTTTGTTGTTGACCCAGAGTAAGTTCAGAGGGTTCTTGACACTTACAAGATGTCTGCCATGAAGAGAAAATGTGATTCAAAGGACCGACCCAATGGGGCTCTTTTCCTTCTGAGTTCCTTTGGTGTTTCTGTTCTCACATCCTAGATCCAGTCTCCCACTTTCATGCCTCTGATCATGTGCCCAAGCCAGGAGTGCCAAACCAACCGCTCAGGAGGGCGGCTGTATCTGCAGACACGGGGCTCCAGATTCATCAAATTCCAGGAGATGAAGATGCAAGAACATGTGAGTTTGGGGTACGTGGCCCTGGGCAGGTGGATCGGGAGTCCACTTGAATCCTGTAGTCACTTGTGGAATGGCAGGAAGAAAGAAGAACAAAAGAGGGAAGTGCAGGAGGGAGGTGGAACTAGAATTTCCTGGGAGCCTTGGGAAGGGGAAAGGAGGTCTCAGCACCCCTGCTGTGGGCTTGTCTGTGGCTGGGTAGCCTGGGAGCCTTTGAGTGGGATGCCTAGGGAGGGAAGGTTGGGTCCTTGTCCATTTCTCCTAGTCTTATGTGCCTTTCCCTCCCCTAGAGTGATCAGGTGCCTGTGGGAAATATCCCTCGTAGTATCACGGTGCTGGTAGAAGGAGAGAACACAAGGATTGCCCAGCCTGGAGACCACGTCAGCGTCACTGGTATTTTCTTGCCAATCCTGCGCACTGGGTTCCGACAGGTGGTACAGGTAAGGAAGAGTTTGACATGAGGAATGGATCATCCCCTTTTCCCTCACCTACTCATTCTACCCACACAGAGAAAAGAGCAGCAAAACCCCAAACAAAACAGAACCCAGGGATTTGTCAAGAAATTGTTAGGGAATCCAGTGATGGGCAAGTTGAAGGGATTACATCTGTATCCTGGCATTTTCCTGCCCAAGGGTTTACTCTCAGAAACCTACCTGGAAGCCCATCGGATTGTGAAGATGAACAAGAGTGAGGATGATGAGTCTGGGGCTGGAGAGCTCACCAGGGAGGAGCTGAGGCAAATTGCAGGTGAGGGGCAGGGGAGAGAGAGGAAATTCCGTTTACATCCTAGCTCCCTTTTCCCCCAGAAAATAAAACAACCTTAACTTCTCTACAGAGGAGGATTTCTACGAAAAGCTGGCAGCTTCAATCGCCCCAGAAATATACGGGCATGAAGATGTGAAGAAGGCACTGCTGCTCCTGCTAGTCGGGGGTGTGGACCAGTCTCCTCGAGGCATGAAAATCCGGGGTAAGAAGAAACAAGGGAGAGGCTCAGGGTGGATGAAGTCATTTAGGAGGAAAAAAGGATGACAAGTGTCCCTGTAGGTCACAGTATGAGTGGACATCTTGCCTTCGTGGACACAGGGAGGGCTTAGAAATAGTGCTGGGTGTTAGGGGTAGGCAGAACTCAAAATTGCTCTGTTGTTGGCCAAGCACTGGGAGAAGAGTCATTCCAGGGCTGCCTTCCCTTCCTCCAGGCAACATCAACATCTGTCTGATGGGGGATCCTGGTGTGGCCAAGTCTCAGCTCCTGTCATACATTGATCGACTGGCGCCTCGCAGTAAGTAGTTGGGCTTTGCGGGAGGTGAATATAGTGACAGACAGGACCACAGTGTTTATTCAAAAAGTAGGGGTGCATGTTTGCTCACGCCTGTAATCCCAATGCTCTGAGAGGCTGAGGCAGGAGAATCATTTGAGGCGAGGATTTTGAGACCGCTTCCATGTCTACTAAAAAGTTTTGTTTTTGTTTTTGTTTTTTTTGAGATAGAGGCTTGCTCTTTCGCCCAGGCCGGAGTGCAGTGGCGCTATCTCGGTTCACTGCAAGCTCCACCTCCTGGGGTCACGCCATTCTCCTGCCTCAGCCTCCCGAGTAGCTGGGACTACAGGCGCCCGCCACCACGCCTGGCTAATTCTTTGTATTTTTAATAGAGACGGGGTTTCACCGTGTTAGCCAGATGGTCTCGATATCCTGACCTCGTGATCCGCCCGCCTCGGCCTCCCAAAGTGCTGGGATTACAGGCGTGAGCCACCGCACCCGGCCTAAAAAGTTTTTTTTGTTGTTTGGGTATTGTTTTGTTTTTTGTTTTTTTTGAGACGGAGTCTCAGTCACCCAGACTGGAGTGCAATGGCATGGTCTTGGCTCACTGCAACCTCTGCCTCCCAGGTTCAAGCAATTCTCCTGCTTCGGCCTCCCGAGTAGCTGGGACTACAGGCGCGTGCCACCACACTTGGCCACTTTTTGTATTTTTAGTAGAGACAGGGTTTACTGTGTTGGGCAGGCTGGTCTCGAACTCCTGACCTCGTGATCTGCCCGCCTTGTTATCGGCCTCCGAAAGTGCTGGGATTAGAGGAGTTAGCCACTGCGCCCGGCCTCTACTAAAAAGTTTTAAAAATTGGTTGGGTGTGGTAGTGAGTGCCTATAGTCTCAGTTACTTGGGAGGCTGAGGCCGGAGGATGGCTTGAGCCCAGGAGCCAAGGTTTCAGTGAGCCACAGTTGTGTTCTGAAGAGAACCAGTGGGAGGGGAAGGGGGACATTGCCAGTGCCCCACAGATCCTCGGGCATCTCAAGAAGGCCTGGTGGAGGGAGTGGAATGATCCCAGCGCAGGCCTCGCCTCCCTGGCCCGTTTGTTGTCTTTTGCTTGTTCTCTTTCTTGTTCTTTCTCTCTCATGGTTCCTTATTTCTTCTCTTCCAGGCCAGTACACAACAGGCCGGGGCTCCTCAGGAGTGGGGCTTACGGCAGCTGTGCTGAGAGACTCCGTGAGTGGAGAACTGACCTTAGAGGGTGGGGCCCTGGTGCTGGCTGACCAGGGTGTGTGCTGCATTGATGAGTTCGACAAGATGGCTGAGGCCGACCGCACAGCCATCCACGAGGTCATGGAGCAGCAGACCATCTCCATTGCCAAGGCCGGCATTCTCACCACACTCAATGCCCGCTGCTCCATCCTGGCTGCCGCCAACCCTGCCTACGGGCGCTACAACCCTCGCCGCAGCCTGGAGCAGAACATACAGCTACCTGCTGCACTGCTCTCCCGGTTTGACCTCCTCTGGCTGATTCAGGACCGGCCCGACCGAGACAATGACCTACGGTGAATGAAGCTCAACACCCAAAGAGAGGTCCCCTGTAATGATCTGTGTAGGGAGGAGGAGAGGTGAATCAGAAAACAAATTCCACGCTCCTGGAAACCCCAGAGCCTCCCCTTTGCAGCAGGGGCTGGTCCATGGTTCTCAGGGAAATGGTGGGTTGGGGCTGAAATGCTGATGAGGATTTCCCGGGAAAGCTTGTCCCTCCTACACTGTGAGGAAGTGGCAGAGCCAAAGGAGGGACACCTAAGAGGACATGGGTGCGTAGCCCTAAAAAGGGTGTTCCTTCTAACCTTCCCTCTGTCCAGGTTGGCCCAGCACATCACCTATGTGCACCAGCACAGCCGGCAGCCCCCCTCCCAGTTTGAACCTCTGGACATGAAGCTCATGAGGTAGGAGAGCTGGGTGCGGGTGGGCAAACGTTGGCGTGGGCCGTGCGAGCCTCCTGAAAAAGTGCTTATTAGTCTTAGGGTGTGTGTTTTTCACACCACCACTTCCCGCTACAGACATGTCCAGAGCCTCAGATCAGCTTTTAAGTGGAAAATTCCACACTTCATATCATAGGGACACAGGAAATTTTGTTTCCTACACTATTTATTTTTTTTGAGACGAAGTCTTGCTCTGTCACCCAGGCTGGAGTGTAGTGATCTCAGCTCTCTGCAACCTCTGCCTCCCAGATTCAAGCGATTCTCCTGCCTCAGCCTCCTGAGTAGCTGGGATTACAGGCGCACGCCACCACGCCTGGTTAATTTTTTGTATTTTAGTAGAGAGCAGTTTCACCATGTTGGCCAGGATGCCCACCTCTGCCTCCCAAAGTGCTGGGATTACAGGCATGAACCACTGCTCCTGGCCCACAAAAATATTTTTAATAAAATTACCTTCAGGTTATGTGTATCAGTTGTATATGAAATACAGGTGAATTTCATGTTTAGACTGGAGTCCCATCCCCAAGCTATCTCATGCATATGCAAATACTCCAAAATTTAAAGTTTAAAACACCTGCTCCCAGGCATTCTGGATGATAATCTCTATCGCTATTTTCCCATGAGCCTCCAGTGTTCTTTCCGGTTTTTACTCCCTTTTAAATATTCTGTAAACAGTTCTCTTTAAATAAAATATATGTTTTGCCATGTCATGCGCTCAGAGGAGGGGTCTGGATCCTCTCTTAATGACAGACGGATTTGTCTTACAAAGGCCATTTTCCCGAAAAAAATAGGAAATAACTTGGAGGATACTGGTGGGGGCTATACGTTTGGTGAAATCCATCAGTGATATTCAAGCCAAGCAAATAATCACCCACTAATTTGTGTTTTCCACTTAAAATTCTTGGAGGGGACCATGTTAAATGGGGAGCCCTGGTACAGAAAACAACATGGGCTCATATTCACTCCCTTCCCCATCTCCCTCTTCTGCTTCCCCATGAACCTTCCCCCACAGGCGTTACATAGCCATGTGCCGCGAGAAGCAGCCCATGGTGCCAGAGTCTCTGGCTGACTACATCACAGCAGCATACGTGGAGATGAGGCGAGAGGCTTGGGCTAGTAAGGATGCCACCTATACTTCTGCCCGGACCCTGCTGGCTATCCTGCGCCTTTCCACTGCTCTGGTAAGTGCCCAAATTGCTGGAGGGCCATCTGTTTTGACCCTTAAAGGGGTAGCTCCTTACCGTGCTCTCATTGCCGCCTCCCCACCTCCCGCTCCAGCCCTGCCGGGGCTAAAGTGCTGACAGTGCAGATAGTGGTCCTCTCCGTGCTACCGCACTGTGGGTACTTGCTGCTCCAGCAGGGCACGCACAGCGTCCGTGGAGGGAAAGGCCTTTTCCCCACTTCTTAACCTTCACTGAGAGGGTGGTTGGGGTCTGTTTCACTCCATGTGTCCTAGATCCTGTGCTACAGACCTTCCTTTCTGTCCTCCCGTCTTGGACCTCAGTCCTGGGGGCTCCAAAGTGCTGTTCGTGCAGGTAGTGTGATTACCCAACCTACTGCTGAGCTAGCACTTCCCGAGCCCCCGGGACACGTTCTCTCTGCCAATTGTCTTCTTGGCTGAGCTCCCCAAGCTCCATCTGTCATGCTGGGGAGCCCAGTGGCGTTCAAAAGGGTCTGGTCTCCCTCACAGGACAGCTGAACTCCGGGACTGGCCAGTGTTGAGAGGCGGAGACTTGGGCAATTGCTGGACGCTGCCCTGGGCATTGCACTTGTCTCGGTCTGACAGTGCCGGCCCAACACTGCGGATGCTGGGGGGAGGGGGGATTCCACTCCTGTTTTGTGAGTAGGCGACCCATGGGCTGCCCAGCCTTAAAGCCAGAACAAGGGTGTCCCCTGACCTCGTTCCACTGCCCTCCTCCCGTTCCCATCTTTCCCCCCTACCTTCCCCTTAGGCACGTCTGAGAATGGTGGATGTGGTGGAGAAAGAAGATGTGAATGAAGCCATCAGGCTAATGGAGATGTCAAAGGACTCTCTTCTAGGAGACAAGGGGCAGACAGCTAGGTGAGTGGTTTAGTGAAGGACAAAGCTGTGTCACTTTGTCTTCTGTGGCCATGTGTCTGAGGTTGGCCTCAATTCTAACACTGGCCACCATTGTTCTCTGTTGATGTCGAGCATTCCTGTTTGTATCCTGACCTTACACACCCACTCATTTCCTTCAGGACTCAGAGACCAGCAGATGTGATATTTGCCACCGTCCGTGAACTGGTCTCAGGGGGCCGAAGTGTCCGGTTCTCTGAGGCAGAGCAGCGCTGTGTATCTCGTGGCTTCACACCCGCCCAGTTCCAGGCGGCTCTGGATGAATATGAGGAGCTCAATGTCTGGCAGGTCAATGCTTCCCGGACACGGATCACTTTTGTCTGATTCCAGCCTGCTTGCAACCCTGGGGTCCTCTTGTTCCCTGCTGGCCTGCCCCTTGGGAAGGGGCAGTGATGCCTTTGAGGGGAAGGAGGAGCCCCTCTTTCTCCCATGCTGCACTTACTCCTTTTGCTAATAAAAGTGTTTGTAGATTGTCATCTTCTAGCCTGGGCCTGACTTCCATTAAAACAGGGTTTTGTGCGTTTTTTAGATTCCTGTTCGTTTTTATGCTATTTCATCCACTCAGTAAATTACCTGAGTAAAGTGCATCTCCCTGCCAGGCCCCCAGTATAGACACTGGGGATGCGGCAAGGACTAAGCGGTCCCTGCTGTTTGGAGATACTTAAGATGGGGCTCCACTTTTTGAGCCCCCCGACTCCCTTATTTGGTCTTATACTGCCTGTGTGCAAGTCAGGCTCTGGGGATATGGCGCCAGTATGAAATGCAGGGTCTCTTGGTTTTTCCCCTTTTCTAGCAGACAGGTCATTACTTAGTTCCCAACTCCCACTCTAAAGCTCTGGTTAGCGGGTGATGAAAATCAGCACAAGTGATCACATACAGCAATCCCAACCTTTAGACCACTTCCTAGCTGCCTCTCCAAAATATGTAGTAAACGGTCATTGAGAAACTCTCCCTCCTGGTAATTCACAGTGCCCACAGGATCAAGGCTTGGACTTCTTTCTAATAAAAATCTGCTTACTATCCCTTCTTTTTTGCGTATGTGAAAAACAAGTTAATTTAGCTCAGGAAAGTAGTCAATTATCATGTTTATAAGGTTGGGTGGGCTAGGTAAGATGATGTAGAGGGTGACATTAAAGTGTAGAACAGAGACCACTTAGGTGGAAGCAGGCAGCCTTGGACTTTGCTAAAGACCAGTCCATGTGACTGACATGGGGTCACTTCAAATGGTAGTGCCTCCCTCACTGAAGAGCATCAGAAGGGCTTCTGAGCAAGGCCAGAATGAGCCTCGATGAACATCCAAGTTGACCAACCAGTGTGGTGCCTAACAGAGGACAGAGCCACCAGCAGGGGTGCTCAGGGGCTGCTCCCCTTTTATTAATGACAGCGGTTTCTCTCAAGGAAGTGTAGTGCCCTCCCCTTTGGGATAGTTGCCTGACCCCTGTCCATCAGCCCTTCAAGTACCCTCATCAGAAAAAGAGCCCGCGCATTCTCCTGCCGATGCCTTGTCGGTCGTAGAGGACATTGAACTTGTTCACAAACTGGTTCATGGTGTTGCACGTTTTGGTGATGGTGCCGAGGTAGGCCATGAGCCCCACGTCGTTGCATTGCTGGGAGGGAACAGAAAGGACCAGTTCCTCGGGATCCCTCGTGGCATGCCCGGGGAACAACAGTCCCCAGTCCTGCACGTGAAAGTGACAGCATAAGCCCCGCCTCCCCATCCGGGTTTTACACTCACATCATAAAAATCTGTCTTGAACTTGTCTGTGCTGAGCACCGGGAGACAGTGACACAGAGCATAGGCCTCCCGCAGGATCTCATGATTAAAGGGGACCTCTCCTAAAGGCACAAAAAGAGACTACATTAGTTTGGATGCTGTCACTTCCCCAGGAGGGAGAGGAAGAATGCCAGGGAAGCCCCTGTCCTACCCGCTTCAGAGGCCTTGACGTACTCCAAGATGAGCTTGACGCGGCTGTGCAGCATCTTGATGGCGCTGTGCTGTGCTATCAGGTGTTCAGCCACTGCAAGGGGATGAGGACAGGAGGAGGTTGAGACGGGATGTGGCCACACCTTCCAACCCCACTTCCAAGGAATCCCCTCCATTACCAGTGGAGTTCTCTCCACTGCCTGTTGCTGTCATTCGGGCTACGTGGTCTACACCAATGCGTTCCGCTTCCTCTGTGGCCAGAGTGTAGGTCAGCTCAGCAAACAGCATTGTGGCCTACAGGGCAAGGTAACCCACAAAGGGAGAATCAAAAGCAGGAAAGAGGCCAAGAGCAGGATCTGAGGGTTGAAGGGTAGGGTATTACCTCTCCATTGATTATATCAATGACAGACTCAAAAACGCTGACAGGAAGCTGTGAAGGAGACGGAGAAACCTGAACACTATATGCCAACATTTGGGCTAGCTGCTTTTACACATTTCCTCTCATCTTCCCAAGAAACCAATGAAGTAGGGATTACCTCCTTTCACAGTTTGGAGATTAAATGACTAAGCCAGAGTCACAGCTGGTAAGTGGCATCTGGCATTCCCCAATAGAGGAGTGTCACACAGTAAAAGGTATAGCGACAATCATGACAGAGTAGGCATGGAGTATTACTCACATCTGTGTGCTTGGTCATAGGGTTCAACTTCAGAAAGAGGGGGCTCTCGATGATCTCACACACCTGGAAGAGAGGGACAATGCACAGGAAGTCAGTGCCCCCTACCTTTCTCCTTCCCCTCATTCTCCATTCTCTGCCCCAGCATGCACAGGTGTGAGCATGCATACCTGCTTATGGACGTGGATGTCCGAGGGGTCAGGTGGCCCCCCTGTGGTATACCAACCCAGAAACTCCAGCTCCTTGAACACCTGTTTAACTAGAGGGGAAGGGGCCAGAACATATAGTAATTCTTTTTTTTTTTTTTTCTGAGACGGAATCTCGCTCTGTTGCCCAGGCTGGAGTGCAGTGGCATGATCTCAGCTCACCACAACCTCCGCCTCCCAGGTTCAAGCAATTCTCCTGCCTCAGCATCCCGCGTAGCTGGGACTACAGGCACGCACCACCATGCCAGACTAATTTTTGTATTTTTAGTAGAGGTGGGGTTTCACTATGTTTGCCAGGCTGGTCTTGAACTCCTGACCTCATGATCCACCCACCTCGGCCTCCCAAAGTGCTGGGATTAGAGGCATGAGTCACTGAGCCCGGCCTGACATAGTAATTCTTTAAACCATCCTTCCTCAATGTGAAGCTCCTGGTGTATTTTCACCAGCTTCTCTCCTCCCTCCTCAAATCCTGGCTCAGTTTAGAATAACTACTCCCTTCTATCCTGTCTCCTCTCATCCTTTGCTTTCTTTTGAGAAAGAACTCTGAACGTTTTCTTTTTCTGAGATCTCTCCAGCTACTCTTCACTTTTTCTCCCCTGTTCTTGGTCTCCTCTCCTGTTTCTTTCCAACCCTCTCCATCTTCCCCACCCTGTACATTTTTTTTTTAACTCCCACTCCTCTTCCCCACATCTATTCCACTCTCACACTGCTCCTCCTTGGTGTAATAATATTCCTTGTCAATGATAATCTTCTCTTCCACGGTGTGGGACAGCAGCTCAAAGGAGTTCATCACCTCGATATTTCGGCCCTCCTGCTTGCCAATCAGAGCCCCAATCACTGGGAAAGAGAATGACATGGAAAAGGTGAGGGTAAAGAAACTTCTATGACCTGAGGGTCTGAGATCAGTGGGAACCATGTATTGGGGAAACGATGATTTGGGGGAGGGGGAATTGGCTCCAGTAGAGGAAGGGGAAAAGACCACTGCCTGGGGGAGGTGAGCAAGGAGAAGAGACTGGAGTCTATGCCCAACACTCACCCTGCACAGGCCGCCCCTCCTGGGAGCGCATGCGGATCCAGTGGTCTGAGATGTTGAGAATGACAAGGGGATGGAGAGCGACGGAAACACTCCCAGTCACTCCGCAGGCCATCACGCTGGGGACTACTAAGGGTGGAGGGAAAGGAGAGAGGGTGAGAGTCCGGGCCCCACGTTCTTCCCTGGAGATGGCAGTGGGGGACGGCGGAGCCCGGGCCACACTTTCCTCCCGTAACTTATCCCAGGGAAAGATGTTGCTGCTCCGCCCTCCTCCCTTCTCCCGGGAGCACAGGGAGGCCTCAACGAACCCCTGAAGGAGGTCTCCGGAAGCCACCCCCGCACGGCCCGTTACCTGCTGCATCCACCTCCATCCCGCTGCTTCCTCCGGTCCCGTTCGTAGCTGCAGCCGCCGCCGCCGCCGCCGCCATTTTCCCCGCGCCCGCCAGCCTCGGCCCCGCCCCCTTCCTTCCCGGCTTCCGTAAGGCGAGCGGCGCATGTTCGGTGTCCCCGCGGCGTGCGGCGGGCCTGGCGTCCGGGGAGCAGGCAGTTCCCGGGTCGCGGCGGGCGGCACTCGGTGCGGGGACGCCCGACGCCCTCTGGGCCTCGGTGCCTAGCGGGTTTTCCCAGACCCTGTCCCCGCCTGTCGCCTGCGGGTGACCTTTGACAAATTAACGACTTGATCGTCCTCGTCTGTGAAATTGGGATAAGAACGCCTAGTTCTTAAGGCTGTTGCAGAAGGAATGACATGTCGTGTTATTTCCCTCACAATAAAATCCAAACAACTAACCACAACCTGCAAGGCCCTGCCTGATCTGGCCCCGGCCTGGCCTCTTCTAGCCCTTGATCTTCAGGCTTCAGCTGCACTGGCCCTCATGTCTGGTGGTGGTGGTGGTTTGTTTTGTTTTGTTTGAGACAGGGTCTCGCTCTGTCGCCCAGGCTGGAGTGCAGTGGCCTGATGTCAGCTCACTGCACCCTCAAACTCCTGGGCTCAAGTGATCCTCCCAGTTCAGCCTCCCGAGTAGCTGGGACTACAGGCGCACCCCACCGCACCCAGCTAATTTTATTATTTGTTTTTATTTTGATAGAGACGGGGGTCTCACTAGGTTGTCCAGGCTGGTCTCCAACTCCCGGGCAGAAGAGATCCTCCATCCTCAGCCTCCCAAAGCACTGGGATTACAGGCATGAGCCACCGCACCCAGCTCTCCGTGTGTTTTTCACATGCTTTAGTTTCCCATTCAAAAGCCTGTGGTTCCTTCTCTTGTTCATCATGGTATCCCCTGTGACCAACACGGTGCCTGACACATTGGAGCCTAGATACTTTTTGAGTGAATGAAGGAATAATTAGGGGTGGAATCTGGTGTTGAGTTAGTTGCTCCATCTTGTGAAAGTTGCAGATACCAGGACAAAATCACATTGTCAGGTCCAAACAAATTGGAGCCATGAGAACACCAAGGAGAAGGTCTCATGCTTGCATGTCTGAGATAGGAATTATCTCAAGGACTTTCGAAAATAACCCCACAAGGCCAGGCATGGTGGCTCACACCTGTAATACCAGCATTTTGGGAGACCGAGGCCAGACAATCACTTGAGGTCAGCAGTTTGAGACGAGCCTAGCCAACATGGTGAAACCCCATCTCTACTAAAAATACAAAAATTAGCCAGGCGTGGTGGCAGGCGCCTGTAATCCCAGCTACTCAGGAGCCTGAGGCAGGAGAATTGCTTGAACCCGGGAGGTGGAAGCTGCAGTGAGCTGCGATCGCGCCACTGCACTCCAGCCCGGGCAAGACAAAGTGAGACTCCATCTCAAAAAAAAAAAAAAAAGAAAGAAAGAAAGAAAGAAAGAAGATAACTCCACAAGGCCAGGCATGGTGACTCACGCCTGTAATCCTAGCACTTTGGGAGGCCAAGGTTGGAGGATCACTTGAACCCAGGAGTTTGAGACCAGCCTTGGCAACATGGTGACACCTTGTTTCAACAAAACATGGAAACAAAATTCGCTGGGTATGGTAGAGGCATGCCGAGGAAATTTATGCTTGGGAAGTGAGTCAAAACTCCCTTCCTTTTTGTTCCCAGATAGCTGTAATTCCACAACCCTGTGTCATAGCCTCATACATAAGCCAGGCTCCTACAATGGCAAAAGGCATATACCTCCCCAGATGGTCTTCCTCACAAATTGCTTGCCAGGAAATTCCTCATTAGCCTCTGAATCTTTCAGCATAAACATTCCCCCTATAAACCAGCCCTAATCCGAGTTCTGTGAAATCTCATACTGACAATGTTGATTACAAGCTTATCTTCCCAATTATAGAACAAGGAAGAGACCAGGAATCATCCCTCCACCTATCCTGAGACAGATGCATAACTGACTTTTTCCTCCACTCCCTCTTTTCAAATGTTTATTGTATCTTACATAAAATGTAGATTTACTGAACACTAATGAGAAACTCACAAAAAAGTAACAATGTGCAGCAGGGTGTGCAGTGGCTCATGCCTGTAATCGCAGCACTTTGGGAAGCGAGTGGATCACTTGAGGCCAGGAGTTCAAGACCAGCCTGGCCAACATGGCAAAACCCCATCTTTACTAAAAATACAAAAATTAGCTGGGTGTGGTGGTGCCCACCTGTAATCTCAGCTACTTGGGAGGCTGAGGCAGGAGAATCACTTGAGCCTAGGAGGTGGAGATTGCAGTGAGCCGAGATGGACCCACTGGACTCCAGCCTGGGCAACAGATTGAGACTCTATTTCAAAAAATAAAATAAAATAACCATTTGCTGGACTGGGTGCAGTGGCTCACGCCTGTAATCCCAGCACTTTGGGAGGCCGAGGCAGGCAGATCACAAGGTCAAGAGATTGAGACTATCCTGGCTAACACTGTGAAACCCCGTCTCTACTAAAAATACAAAATATTAGCTGGGCATGGTGACACGCACCTGTAGTACCAGCTACTTGGGAGGCTGAGGCACAAGAATCGCTTGAACCTGGGAGGCAGCGGTTGCAGTGAGCCGAGATTGCGCCACTGCACTCCAGCCTGCTGACAGAGCGAGACACTGTCTTAAGAAAAACAAAACAAAACAAAACAAAAAACATTTGCCTCACTGCCTCTCCTTCTTCCTTATTTTCCTCTTGCATGCTTTCTTCCCTTAAATACTGAGTTCCTGGCCAGGCACAGTGGCTTATGCTTGTAATCTCAGCACTTTGGGAGGCCGAGGTGGGTGAATCACCTGAAGTCAGGAGTTCAAGACCAGCCTGGTCTCGACCAGTAGAGATGGTGAAACCCCATCTCTACTAAAAATACAAAAATTAGCCAGGCGTGGTGGTGCATGCCTGTAATCCCAGCTACTCGAGAGGCTGAGGGAGGAGAATCACTTGAACCCGGGAGGCGGAGGTTGCAGCGAGCCGAGATCACACCACCACACTCCAGCCTGGTTGACAAAGCAAGACTCTGTCTCATAAAAAAACCCAAAATTCACATCTGGCTAGCCTAGGCTGCTCCACCCCCTCCTTACCCCTAAACCTAAGCAAGTTGCACACACTGCTCCTCCTGCCACCCCTACAAAGAGGGGTACAGACACCTAGAAAGAGCCAGACATACTCTGGCTCTAGGTGTCTGTATCCCCACCCAAAGTGTAAGCTCCTAGAAAGCAGGTGAAGAACTGTGTTATGACCCTGAACAGCCCCATATGGTGATAGTTGTAATTTACAGGGGAATTATGCAATCTCTCCGTTTAGGAGCCTGGATGAAGGAAACTTGAAGGGGCCAGCAACCCTCAATGGAACGGACTTGAGAAATCCTGCAGGAAGAGGGGTCTTCTCGCCAAAGGGAAGTTAAAAAGGAATTTATTTTATTCTAGTCCCCAGTGATAAACCAACCAGGTCTGGACAAACTGAGAGGGTTGTCAAAGAAAAGTACCTAATGCCTTGTTTCTATTTGGAAAAACCAGGTCAGAAAAATGTATCTCTTTGGTGAGATGTTGGCTCACTGCAACCTCCACCTCCTGGGTTCAAGTGATTCTTGTGCCTCAGCCTCCCAAGTAGCTGAGATATCAGGCTTGCGCCACCACACCTGGCTCATTTTTGTATTTTTAGTAGAGATGGGTTTTCAGCATGTTGGCTAGTCAGTTCTCAGACTCCTGGCCTCAACCGATCCACCTGCCTCGGCCTCCTAAAGTGCTAGGATTACAGGTGTGAGCCACCGTGCCTGGCCAGAAAAATGTCTCTCTTTAAAGAATGCTAGGCAGCTTCCAAGGAGCATAGTGCTTCTCAGCTAGATAGAAGGCTAAAATAAAAACAAGATGAGAATTATTCTAGGGTTAGTAAAGTTGATCGTTTGCACTGCTCTCTCACACATTAAAGAACTCCTTTGCCTTGTTGTTTCAGGTGCTTTTGAAACATTGTTCAGATAATTATACAGCTCATAAAACAAGAGATTATTGTGGAATTTAAGGATGACTTTGACATTGAATCAGTTGATTGTGCGCATTTTAGAACTAAGTTTGCTAAACGTTTCTTTTTTTTTGTTTTTGTTTTGTTTTGTGTTTGTTATTGTTGTTTTTGAGACAGAGTCTTGCTCTGTCACCCAGGCTGGAGTGCAGTGTTACAATCACAATTCAGTGCAGCCTCAACCTCCTGAACTCAAGTGACTGTCCCATCTCAGCCTCCCAAGTAGCTGGGACTGCAAATGCGTGCCACCACGCCAGGCTAAATTTTGTATTTTTTGTAGAGATAGAGTTTCGCCATATTTGTTTGTCTCAAAACAAACAAACAAACAAACCAAAAAAATATCCCCACCCCAAAAACAAAAACGAACAAAAAGCAAGTGCTCCTTTTTGGTATGGGTCAGTGGTTATCTATTCACCTATCAGTCATTAATTTAACAAATATTTGGGAGTGCCTACCAGGCAGCAGGTACATCACTAAACAAAACGAAGTCCTGACCTCATGGAGCTTATACCCTAGTTGTAGGAAACAGACCATAAACATACTTCAGGATACGTATATATATACAGAGATGGAGTATCCCTCTGTCGCTCCCAGGCTGGAGTGCAGTGGTGCGATCTCGGCTCACTGCAACCTCCACCTCCCAGGTTCAAGCCATTCTGCCACCTCAGTCTCCCAAGTAGCTGGGATTACAGGTGCCTGCCACCACTCCCGGCTAATTTTTGTTTTTGTATTTTTAGTAGAGGCAGGGTTTCACCATGTTGGCCAGGCTGGTCTCAAACTCCTGACCTCAGGTGATCTATCTGCCTCGGCCTCCCAAAGTGCTGGGATTACAGGCGTGAAGCACTGCACCCGGCCAACAAATTGAATTTTAAAGATTGAGTTGGCTTTATTAGGGATTCATGAACTGGCAGCACCCAGTCTACAAAACAGAAAGGAAGCCAGGTGTGATGGTGCGTGCCTGTGGTCCCAGCTACTCTGGAAGCTGAGGAGGGAGGATCGCCTGAGTCCAGGAGGTTGAGGCTGTAGTGAGGTAGGATCGCGCCACTGCACTCCAGCCTGGGTGACAGAGTGAGACCCTGTCTCTAAAAAAAAAAAAAAAAAAAAGACTTCATATGTTGAAGAAGGCAGAGGAAAGCATGAACATGATGAGGTGCTTTCCTTCTATTGATGGCTATTGTGATACCTCATTTCTTATCTTCTTAGTTTAAAAGGATTTAAGGCTGGGTGCAGTGGCTCACACCTGTAATCCCAACACTTTGGGAGGCTGAGGTGGGCGGATCCCTTGAGCTCAGGAGTTTGAGACCAGTCTGGGCAACATGGTGAAAACCCTCTGTCTCTACAAAAAAGTAGCCGGGCGTGGTGGCATGCATCTGGGGTTCCAGCTACTTGGGAGGCTGAGGTGGGAGGATCACTTGACCTTGTGAGGTGGAGGTTGCAGTGAGCCGAAATCACAACACTGCACTCCAGCCTGGGTGACAGAGTAAGACCCCCGTCTCAAAAGAAAAAAAAAATTTAAACAAGAAACACACAGGAGGCCGGGCGCGGTGGCTCACACCTGTAACCCCAGCACTTTGGGAGATTGAGGCGGCAGATCATTTGAGGTAAGGAGTTCGAGACAAGCCTGACCAACATGGTGAAACCTTGTCTCTACTAAAAATACACACAAATTAGCCGGGTATGGTATCACACGCCTGTAGTCCCAGCTACTTGGGAGGCTGAGGCACGAGAATCAGCCTGGGTGACAAGAGTGAGACTCCCTCTCAACAACAACAACAACAAAAAAAAAAAAAAAAAAAGGAAAAAGAATAAAAGAAACACATGTCAAAGGAAATCCAGCATAGAGTAATTTATTGCAAAAGGAAAATAGTATTTTGAAAGTTAAGTGCAGAGTAGACAGTACACCCTGGGAGAGAGAGAGATAGAGAGAGAGTTAGTTCAGGGAGGGCTGCTCCTAAGGATGAAACAGCAAAGGCTGGCTCTAGAGAGACCCCCTTTGTAAGGGGTCTTACACGATTATTCATAAGGGGGTGGGAGAAGTGTTACTAGTAAGTATGTTCTGGGTGGTCCTCTAGGTGCACATGCGCAGTGGGTGTACAGGCTTGTTCATACATTGCATGTTTCATTAGCATCTTAAATTTCCACCCAGGGGCGTGTTTTTTACCAAGATAATGAGCAAAGGGTCAGTTTGAGGACAGGTGAAATCAAAATGCGCATGCTCCCTACAGGGGAAAGTCCCTACTGGAGAGCGCTCAGCTTGAATGAGCTCAATTACAATGCGAATGCTGGGGCTTACTGTGTTGACTGCGGTCACCACGGTTGCCGCGTCTCCAGGACACGGTCACTTCCTTGACTATCCCCGCCTCGCTTCCACCTGTAGCTTCCTTTTTTTTTTTTTTGAGACAGTCTCACTCTGTGGCCAGCCTGGAGTACAGTGGTGCGATG